>NC_000001.11:175002768-175305799 GCF_000001405.40 Homo sapiens | reverse complement strand
TCATTTGTTCATTCAACAAATACACTCCAGGCATTCTTCTATGCACTGGTGAAATAGCAGACGACAAAAGAGACAAAAATATCTGTCCTCACAGACTCTATACAATAGTGGATGAAGAAAACAAACAAATGAAATAAACTAGTACAATAAATACTATGTGAGATGGTGGTAAACCTCAGAAGGTAAATAAATAAACACAGAGAGCGGATTAGTCTGCTAGAGCTGCCATAAAAAATACCGTAAACAGCAGTGGCTTAAGCAACAGAAATGTATTCTCTCACTGTTCTGGAGACTGGAAGCACAAGATGAAGGTACCAGCAAATTCTGTTTCTCTCTTCCTGGCTTGCAGACGACTGCCTTCTTGCTGTGTGCTCACGTGGCCTTTCTCTGTGCAGGTGGACAGAGCGAGTGTTCTGGTGTATCTTCTTATAAGGACATGAATCCTACTGGATCAGGGCTCCAACCTTAGGACTTCATTTAACCTTAATGATCTCCTTAAAGATCTTGTCTCCAAGTACAGTCACATTGGGAGTTAGGATTTCAACATGTGAATTTTGGAGGACACAGTTCGGTTGGTCTCAGAGGATGGGGAGTGTTGGGGGCAAAGGAGTAGAGCAGAGACTGTTAGCTCTACCCCAGGTCACCTGTAGCTTTTGTGGGTAGTTCTCATTTATGCCAATGGAATTTCACCTCAAGCTTCAATGTTTTTCTATGGAAACGTTATGGAATGACTGTCCCTAGGAGTGATTCTCAAATAATTCGAGAAAGCAGGTGATGGATATACCCCAGCTTCCTTGCTCCTGAGCAAGACAGTTCTGAGATGTGCTCTACCTAGTTTCTCAGAGGGTCTCCCACAGTTGTGACACCTCCAACTGACTTTCACCCCTTCCCTTTTCCACTTCCCTATGACCTCACTATGCTTCAGTAAATATATATATATGTGTGTGTGTGTATATACATATACATATGTGTGTGTATATATATATGCATATATATATACATATGTGTGAAAGTCAATCAGAGGTGTCACAATGTTTGAATAACGTCCCAAGAAGGCGGGGAGCAAGTCACAGGGACATCTGGAGCTGAAGTGTTCCAGACAGAAAGAACAGCAAGTGCAAAGACCTCAGAGTTCTAGGCGCACCAGTGAAGCTGGTACAGAGAGACTGGAATAGAGCAGCAGGAAATGTGATTAGCTGGGTAAAATGTGAGGCTACATTGTAGAGTAGTGCTGGCCAATAGAAATAGAATGTGAGCCACAGATAGGATTCTAAACTTTCTAGTAGCCACACTTAAAAAAGAAACAGGTAAAGTAGATTTAATAATATATTTAGTCAATATATCCAAAATACTATTTTTTCAACATGTAATCAATATAAAAGAATTTTATCAAAAAGATTTTTTACATGCACCTGTAGTCCCAGCTACCTGGGAGGCTAAGGCGGGAGAATCACTTGAGCCCGGGAGTTTGAGGCCAGCCTGGGCAACATGGCAAGATCTATACCCGTCTCAAAAAGTGGGTGGGGTGGGGGGGTATTTTAGATTCTTTTTCTCATCGCTATATCTTCAAATTCTGGTTTATAATTTATGATTGCAGCCCATGTCAATTTGGATGCTAAATTTTCATTAAACATATTTAACCCATATTATGGGCTAAATTTCATTTCCTCAAAATTCATATGTTGAAATTCTAACTCCAAGGACCTCAGAATGTGATTATATTTGGAGAGAAGGCCCTTAAAAAGGTGAATATGGTAAAATGAGGTCATATAGGTAAACCCTAATCCAAATGACTGGTGTCCTTATAAGAAGAATCCAAATGACTGGCGTCCTTATAATGACTGGCGTCCTTATAAGAAGAGAGATCAGGGCACAGACACACACAGAAGGAAGACAGTGTAAGACAGCAGAAGATAGCCATCTGCAAGCCAAAGAAAGAGACCTCAGAAGATATCAACGCAGTGACACCTTCATCTGAGACTTTCACCCTCTAGAATCATGAGAAAATGGATTTCTGTTTAAGCTGGCCAGTCTGTGGTACTTTGTATGGCATCCCTAGTAAACAATTGCAACCTGTATTTAGCTTTCTAAATCAAAAACTAAGTAAAATTCGCACTTGGAAAAGTAGATTCACACACACATGAGTTCTTCCAAATACACTTTCAAAATTCCTTATTTGCTGAGGTTCCATTTCAATGCCTCAATAACCACATGTGACTAATGGCTACTATGTTGGACTGTATAGCTCTAGAGCCTATGGACCATAATAGCAACTTTGGTTTTTACTGTCAGTGAAGTGGAATGACATTAGAGATTTTTGCATAGAAGAATGGCATCATCACTGCAGCTGCTGTGTTAAGAATAGAGTAGGAGGCAAGTATGGAAGCAGAATGTCCAGTGAGGAGGCTAGTACAATAATTGAGGAAGAAATTATGGTTGCTTAAACCAGGGGATGTAGCAATGGAGTTGGTGAAAGTGATCTGTTTCTGGATATATTTCTAAGCATAGCTGGCAGGATTTCCTGATGGATTGGTTGTGGAATGGTAAAAGTCAAGAATGACTACAATTTCTCCCAAGCCCTGACTTTTGAAATAAGAATCTTTTAAAATTGAGGTATAATTTATATACCATAAAATACATCTTTTAAAGGTATACAATTTGGTGGTTTTAGTATACTCATGAGGTTGTACAACAATCACTAAGACCTAATTCCAAAACATTTTTCCACTCCAAAAAGAAACCTCTTACCCATTAGCAGTCATTCCCAGTATTCCCTTCCTCCAACCCCTGAAAATCACACATCTACTTTATATCTCTATGGATTTTCCCATTCTGGACATTTCATATAAATGGAATCATACATTATGTGGTCAGTTGTGTCTGGTGCTTTTCACTTCATGTAGTGTTTCCAATGTTCATCCATATTGCAACATGTACTTCATTCCTTTTTATGGCTGGTTAGTATTCTATTACACAGATATTCCACATTTTGTCTAGCCACTCAACAATTGATGGTCATATGAGTTGTTTCCACTTTTTGGCTATTCTGAATAATGCTCCCATGAACATTCATGCACAAGGTTTTTTATGTCGAGATATGTTTTTCTTTCTCTTGGAAACTTACCAAGGAGTGGAACTGGTGGGTCATATAGCAGCTAACAATGTTTCCAAAGCAGTTGCACCATTTTGCACCACCAGCAATGAACAAAGGTTTCAATTTCTCTACATACTCACCAACTTTTCTTATTGCCCTGCGTTTTTTATAATTGCCATAGTGGTGGGTGTAAAGTGGTATCTCATTGTAGAAATTTACATTTCCCTAATGACTAATGATGTTGAGTGTCTTTTCATGTGTTCACTGCTTGTATATCTTCCTTGGAGAAATACATATTAAATTATTTGCCCATTATTAATTGGGTTTTTTTTTTGCTGCACTGTAAGTTCTTTATATTCTCTCCATATTCTCATCATACCTTTATCAAATACACTATTTGCAAACATTTTTCATTCTGTGGGTTGCTTTTTTGCTTTCTTAGTAGTTTCGTTTAAAGCACTAAAGTTTTTTATTTTGATGAAGTTCAATTTATTTTATGTTAGTTGCTTGTACTTTTGGTATTAGATTTTGTCAAATGCTTTTTCTGCAACTATTGAGATAATCATGGGATTTTTCTGCAACTATTGAGATGATTGTGTGATTTTGTCCTTTATTACCTGGATGAATTGTCATGTATTGAAACAACCCAGCCTTCATGGGATAAATCCCAGTTGATCATAGTATATAACCCCTCTGTATATGTTACTAGATTCACTTTGCTAGTATTTTCTTGAGAATTTTTGTATCTATTATATACTTATAAGGGACATTGGCCTGTGGTTTTCTTGTGTGTGTCTGTGAAGTCTTTGTTATGTTTTGGTATTATAGTGATACCAGTCTCATAGAACAAATTCGAAAGTGTGTCCTCATGTTTTTATTTTGGAACAGTTTGTGAAGAACTGATATTAATTATTCTTTAAACATTTGGTAGAATTCATGAGTAACTTATCTGGGCCTGGCATTTTCTTTGTAGGAAGGTTTTTATTACTAATTCAATCTCTTGACTTGTTATATATCTACCGAGATGTTTTATTTCTTCTTTAGCCAGTTTCAGTAGTTTGTGTGTTTCCAGGAACTTTTCCATTTCATCTAGGCAATTGAATTTGTTGGCATAAATTTTTCACAATATTGTCCTAGAATCTTTTTTATTCCTGTAAGACCAGTAGCAATGTTTTCTCTTTAATTCCAAATTTCAGTAATTTGAGTCTTCTCTATTTTTTCTCAGTCTAGCTTAAAGTTTGTCAATATTGTTGATATTTTCAAAGAAGAAACTTTGAGTCTCATTGATTTTCTAAATTTTTTTATTTCATATTTCATTTATTTCTGCTCTACCCTTTATTATTTTCTTCCTTCTCCTGGCCTGGGGTTTTATTTGCTTTCCTTTTTCTAGCTTCTCCAGGTGAGGTTTAAGTTATTGATTTTAGATCTTATTATTATTTAGTATAGGCATTCACAGCTGAAAATTCCCTCTAAACACTGCATTAGCTGCATCTTATAAGTTCTGGTATGTTGTGTTTTCATTTCCGTCCAATTCAAAGTATTTTCTAATTCCCTTTGTGATTAGGTCTTTAAACTATTGGCTATTTAAGAGTATGTTGTTTAATTCTCATTAATTTGTGAGTTTCCCAAATTTCCTTCTGTTTATTTATTTCAATTGTAGACAGAGAATACATTTTATAAGATTTAAAACCTTTTAAATTTATTAAGACTTGCTTTGTGGCCTGGAGAATATTCCATGTGCCCTTGAGATATTGACTTTTCTGCTGATTTGGGATGGAATGTTCTATAGGTATCTTTTAGATCTAGTTGTTTCACAATGTTTTCAAGTCTTCTATTTCTTTCTTGATCTTCTTTCTGGTTGTTCTATGCATTATAGAAAATGGGGTATCGAATTCTACAATTACTGTTAAATTGTCTCTTTCCCCTTTCAGTTATATTATTTTGTGATTCTGGGCTCTGTTGTTAGGTGCACATGCATTTATAATTGTTCTATTTTCTTGATGGATTAACCCTTTTATCATTATAAAATATCTTTGTCTCTAGTAGCAATTTTTGCCATAAAGTCTGTTTTGTCTGAAACTAATGTAGACCCTTCAGCTTTCTTTTGAGAGATTAGTTTGCATGGTATAGCTTTGCTCATTCTTTTCCTTTCAGCCTATTTTTGTCTGTGAATCAAAAACATGCCTCTTACAGACAGCTGGTTATATCATGTTTTTTTAATCTATCCCACCAATTTTTTCCCTTGAATTAGGGTGTTTAATCTTTTTATATTTAATAAAACTACAGATAAGGTAGGACTTGCCTATGCCATTTTATTCTTTTCTACATGTCTTATATCTTTTTGTTCCTCTATCTCATTTTTTTGAGACAGAGTTTCACTCTTGTTGCCCAGGCTGATCTAGGCTCACCACAACCTCCACCTCCCAGGTTCAAGCGATTCTCCTGCATCAGCTTCCTGAGTAGCTGGGATTACAGGCACCCATCACCACGCCCGGCTAATTTTGTATTTTTAGTAGAGACGGGGTTTCTCCATGTTGGTCATGCTGGTCTCGAACTCCCGATCTCAGGTGATCCACCCGCCTAGGCCTCCCAAAGTGCTAGGATTACAGGAGGGAGCCGCCGCGCCCTGCCACTTATTTCTTTTACTACATTCTTTAGCTATTTTCTTTATAGTTTCCCTGGGGATTATAATTGGTAGGTGGAACATTACAACTTTAAAAGGTTGATGGGGAAAGGATCCTGAAAAGGAGAAGGTACTGAGAGAAGAGGAAAACTCGGGAGGGTGTGATATCCTAAAATCCAAGTAAAGGCTGGAAGCGGTGGCTCACATCTGTAATCCCAGCACTTTGGGAGGCTGAGGCAGGCGGATGACAAGGTCAGGAGATTCAGACTATCCTGGCCAACATAATGAAACCTCATCTCTACTAAAATACAAAAAAATTAGCCAGGCATGGTGGCGTGTGCCTGTAGTCCCAGCTACTCAGGAGGCTGAGGCAGGGGAATCTCTTGAACCCGGGAGGTGGAGGTTGCAGTGAGCCGAGATTGTGCCACTGCACTCCAGCCTGGCGACAGAGGGAGACTTTGTCTAAAAAAAAAACAAAACAGCAACAAAAATCCAATAAAGAAAACATTCAAAGAAAAGGGAGTGATCAATTGTGTTGAATACTGCTGAGAGAAGACATAAGGTCAGAAGTTTATTTGTGACCTTGACAGAGGACTGATGGTAGTGGTGTGAAAATATGACTAGAGTGAGTGAAACCCCTAGAGAAATACGGGAGGTGGGGGGCAGAAGGGTGGGGGGTCTATGTTCAAGAGAAACCTAAAAAAAGTCAGATTGAAAAAGGAAAAGGCATTTCAGATTCTCTGCCTCTTCTTTCTCTAAGAAGTCAAATAAAAATGAAAAAAAAAATGTGTGTGTATAAAGGATGAAATGGATTCTGAGGATACTCTCAACAGTCAGAGTTCTCTCTTCTTTGTCTGAGAAGCAGCCATACGGGCCTCTGCAAATATTTAGGCATTTTATTTCAGGATGTATAATAGTTTGCAGAAACTATTTGGAAGGCCTTATAAGTATACAGTTGGCTTGGTCACAACATCCAGCTAGGGAACTGGAAGCCCAGAAAATCACAGATTACCTAATAATTTAGGGAAACCATAATACTTTGATGTTGTCAACCTACATAACAAACAGAGACTCTCTTAAAAGAAAAATGGTATTTTGTGGAGAATACCGCTTTGCAATTGGAATACACATGCCATAGTAAACTACGTGCATAGTTGGGAAGATAAAGGAAGACAAAGACCTTTAAAGGAAAAGTAAGGAGGATTACATAATTGTTTTTGAGATTATTGTCCTTGACTACAAGGATCAGTAACAAGGGTGATGCCAATTCAATGTTAACAGGTAGTTGCTGGGCAGTGTTCCTACAGGAGTATTTTTCTGTGTGTGTGTTTAAGATTGCAATGGCCTTTGTGCCATGTTGTGATTTTTGCAGTCTTTCATGACAGTTTTTGTTATCAGCCTTTTATGCATGAGAACCTCCCCATCATGGCCTTCCTTGGTTTTGTCAGGATTTTGTTTGTTTGTTTTCTTGTTTGTTTGTTTAACACAAGTGACCTCATTTTGATTCTGAAAGCTTTCACATTTCCCCTTTTTGATCAAGATCTTTCTCCAAAAGCACCAGTGATCAATCATCCTGTAGTTAGGTTTTCATTGTCCCTGGATGCTGGGATGGACCTATCCCAGACTGTTGGTCTGGTTCCTCATGGGAAGGAGTGAATGGTGCCTAGGAGACATGTCAAAATCCCTTTAACCACATTTGAGCAACAAGGGAGGTTTGAAGGGAGTAGCTCTCAGGCTACATCTACCCCAATTCATTATTAGGTTCAATTTTGTCTGTTCCATAGTCTTTTATCATCATCTCAAGTGTTGGGCCTGCATTATTTTCTCAGGAGTTATATGTCTGCAAAAATTTAACAAGTAACAGATACAAAGTTTTAAAAATAAAAATACAAAGTAAAATTAATTGTAATATGCCAATCCCAGTTTGCATAACAGTTTTCAGCCATGAACCTTGGCTTAAAAAGACAACCAATTAAATAAATCATACAACCATTATCCTGCCAAATGAAAAAGGTAGAAATTAAGAGGCGTAAGACTCTCATTATGATATGGAATACTGTTCTAATATCTTGGTAAAAGCTGTCTACAGCATAAAAACATCACCTTCTTGTACTGGTTTGCAGTTCGAATGTCTTTGTTGATGGCATCAGACAGTTTGATGAACTTTGTATGACCTATACATCAACCCTGAGACTTGTTCCTTAAAATTTACCTATTAATAACTTCAGTGTATAGGGCTTCCAGAACAAAGCATTTCTTATTTTTGGTAATTCTATGGAAGAAAATTGAACTGGAAGAAACTAGAAGAATTTAGGATTTAGTCCAGTCTATAGATAGATAACAAGAATTTGGAAACAATGCATATGGCTACAGTTTAATAAAAGGAGTATTCTAGTGTTTTTAAAACATAGAAAGTACATAGGAATTGCATAGGAACTCAAATCTGAATTTCCTGTGTAATTCAACGTAGAGATAAAAAGTGATCAATGTTGAGATAAAAAGTGATAAAAAGAAATCAAAGTCTCAAAACTTCCTCAGGCTAGAAAGCCACATCAAGGAAGACTTTAGATTTCACTTATAGTCTGAAGGTTCTTGGGCCTGCCAGGAAGTGACAATTTTCATTCACTCACTGTAAGGGTGAGAATCTTTGAAGTCAGGCATTCTATGCACATTCACAAATACGACATTTCAGTCAAAGCCTTGGTAATATAACCAATGAATTCTATTGTATACTGTTATATTTTTTGCTTGTTTTATAAAATTTTTATTTTATGTAAAAATAGGTAACATGGTTTCTTTCATTGCATGGATGCCTTGGATAATCCATTTAAAGAAGATCACTTAGTCCAACTAAATGAAACCTATATCCTTCATGTACTGATGGAAACACCGGTGGCACCTACTGAGGCCATATTTCTGGATCAGACTATGCCAGTTTGAGCAGACGCAGCAAGAGTGCAAACCCTGGCTGAATTTTCTCCAGCAGAGCTGCTGGTGACCCATCTTGCTTTCAGGAGTATAATGAGGTAAAGGCATATCCTGTATAAAGGGAGCAGATTCTTATTGAATTTATGCAAGTAACCATATTGCAAAAAATAACAAGAAGAAGAAGAATACTCACAAATGTTTTCAAATTTTGGAGGGATCAAATAAGAAGAAAAAGCAAATGTTTTCACCTTTGTTCACAGCAGTATACCTTACCAAATAGATAGCTTAAGAGATAAAATTTCCTTAAATCTGAAAAATAAAGCATTTAAGTAAAGAACGAATGATGTTTCAAATAAAAGTCATAAAAACATTATTTTTGGCCTGGTGCAGTGGCTCACATCTGTAATCCCAGCACATTGGGAGGCCAAGGAGTGTGGATCACTTGAAGTCAGAAGTTGTAGACCAGCCTGGCCAACATGGCAAAACCCCATCTCTACTAAAAATACAAAAATTAGCCAGGCTTAATGATGTGCGCCTGTAGTCCCAGCTACTCAGGAGGCTGAGACATGAGAATAGCTTGAACCTTGGAGGCGGAGACTGCAGTGAGCCAAGACCGCACCACTGCACTTCAGCCTGGGCACAGAGTGAGACTCCGTCTCAAAGAAAAAGGAAACAAACGTTTTTTTCACCAGTTTTCCAATGTCATTAATTTTGTTCTGCTTTGTCTTGATTAGCATCTTCATGAATCCATCAGTATTTTTATTAGAATTCTGGGACATTTTTATTTAGTCCATTGATTTTAAAGCTATTAGAAACCTGTATTTAAGAATACTTGTTAGTATCTTTTCCATGAATCTGATTACAAATGCTTTTAGAGAAAAATTGAGACGATAACGTGGAAGACAGACTTAAAATAGCCATCGTTAAAAATCTGATGAAAGTTCATTACAATCAGCAATTGACAAGGGAATTTGGGATTTTTGTGGCATTCAATATAATAACCAGAACTGTTACAGATATGACATATTACACTTTTAAGAATTTTATAGGGCCAGGCGCGGTGGCTCACACCTGTAATCTCAGCACTTTGGGAGGCCGAGGCAGGAGGATCACCTGAGGTCAGGAGTTTAAGACCAGCCTGGCCAACATGGTGAAACCCCGTCTTTACTAAAAATACAAAAGTTAGCCCAGCGTGGTGGCAGGCATCTGTATTCCTAGCTACTCGGGAGGCTGAGGCAGGAGAATCGCTTGAACCTGGGAGGCAGAGGTGCAGTGAGCCGAGATCGCGCCATTGCACTCCAGCCTGGGGGACAAGAACGAGACTTCGTCTCAAAAAAAAAGAATTTTATATACAGTTTTGAAACATTTTTATTAGTAACATACCCATAAATGTAACTGGAAAAAGATCTAGTATCACTTCTCATTTGACAATGTTTCCCATATAATTTACCAAATAAGCCTAATCATTTAATATCTCTCTACAAGATGAGGAATACATCCTTTGAAGCTCTCCAGGGACACCACTGAAAAATATCAAAGTCAATTTTAGGTCAAAAATACTTAATTTAGAATTTTGATATGGGGAAGTCTTTCAAAGGTACCCAAAGGTTTAAAACACTTGATCAAAACAGGATCACAGGTCACTGTGGAAATACTAGCTATTCATTTAACTAGAGTGATAATCAAAAGACTTCAAAAGCAATACAGAAAGTTACGTGGATGTAAAAATCCTTAACCTCATCAAAACTCAGTTTCTCTAAGTAATCAAAAACCTAATAAACACAACATGAAATTATCTTAATAAAATATACAATCTTTGTTTCTCAGGCCAGTTACCAAAAGGATTTTGTTTTTATTAAAATCTTCTGGCAGTATGATTGCTTCTTTTTATGGGAAACCCATTTAGATATCCTGGAGTCAAACCTGATGAAAAGGCACTTGAATTTAATCAGACACAGGAAGAACATGTTCAAAGCTATGAGTGTACACCACATTAAAGAGGAACATAAACAGGAAAACCAACACCTTGAGCAGGGTAATCCATGGCTTTTAGTAATAGCATGGGAAGTTTTCTGGCTACATGAAGCAATCAAGACACATCAAGAAAAGCCAAGAATAGGGAGTCAAGTTATACTGGAGGAAAACATTGCTTTGCTAGGCTTTCAAGGGAAACATTTCAGTGTCAGGCCATAACAGTAGGGATAGAAATAGAGAGAACATTATAGGAGCTGGCAAAAATATTTAAGGAGAGAGTTCTCATCCCAGACCTTCTCAAGGAGAGAAAGGAGGAGATCAGAAGGCAATGATATGTGACCTACAAATCTCATGCAGAGACACAGCAAAAGCTGAACTTCTGATATACGAATCCAAGAATCTTCAAGAGGAAAACTTTACCTTGATAATTGAAATTATCATTCTAAATGAGGAAAACAGCATTTCTAACCAGAAACTAGGAAAAACTAAATGTATCTCAGGAAGAAATGTGGCAGAAACATAAACTGTACAACAGGAAGAAGCTGCAGTTCAGAAGATAACTGAAAATTAAAAGAAACAGATTTCAGAATCAAAAATCAAAACCTCTTGCAACTTTTACTAAGACAAGATCAATACTTCAAAAGAAACTTGGTTGTGCTAACACAGGGAACCAAAATTTTTTAGTTATATATCAAAGCTCAATCTTTTTAATTTTTCATATCAAAAGCTCAATTTTTATATCAAAGCTCAATCTTTAGAAAGACATAATTTCCATCTAATTATAGCCAACTTGATCACAGACAAAATTTCTTTCCTAAATTCATCCTTCACAAACCTTATCACAACTTACTCAGACTGTCAACGACATGCTTCAGCCTTTTGCTTTGTCCTGTGTTTCCTCTTTCTTAAATAACTAGTCATTTTACTTTAGGAAAAAATTCACTACACAAAATTCTTTCTCATAGAAAATTTTTCTTTTGTTCTTTTTTAATCTTCCTTACCAAAAATACATCTTTATACCTGTACCTTTCTTCACATCTCTCACTCTACTACTTACTGGTTCCTTTCTATCTTGTTCTACGTCTTTTCTAAATTTACTTCTGGAAACAAGCCTCTGGATTGAGACTAAATTTTTTTCTTCTCAATGAGGAATACGTTTTGTTGTTTTTTGTTTTTTTTTTTGAGTCAAAGTCTCACTCTGCTGCCCAGGCTGGAGTGCAGTGGCACGATCTTGGCTCACGGCAAGCTCCACCTCCTGTGTTCACACCATTCTCCTGCTCAGCCTCCCAAGTAGCTGGGACTACAGGTGCCCACCACCACACCTGGCTAATTTTTTTGTATTTTTAGTAGAGACAAGGGTTTCACCATGTTAACCAGGATGGTCTTGATCTCCTGACCTCGTGATCCGCTCACTTGCCTCCCAAAGTGCTGGGATTAGAGGTGTGAGCCACCGCGCCTGGCTGAGGAATACATTTTTATGCCTTCCTTATAATTTCTCTCATTAAAAACACATCTTACTTTTTGGTACACTTTGTGAACAGAATTATATATTACTTAGAATTTTTGACTCTTAGTAACCTCAATTTCTAGTGAAAACCTAGGAAGCAAGAAATTTTGAACTGTCAGCTACATCTCAGTATTTTATCTTATTTGTAAATGACCTAGACGTTAATATCTATCACTTAATTTAACATAATTTTAAGACTTTAAATCACATGAAAAGTTCATTTATAAACATGTATTTGACTTATTTTCTATTTTTTTATTTTTTCTTCTCATTATTGCATTTTTTTATTATTATACTTTAAGTTCTGGGTTACATGTGCAGAATGTGCAAGTTTGTTACATAGGTATACACGTAACATGGTGGTTTACTGCAAACATCAACCCGTCATCTACATTAGGTATTTCTCCTAATGCTATCTGTCCCGTAGCCCTCCACCCCTCTACAGGCCCTCGTGTGTGATGTTCCCCTCCCTGTGTCCATGTGTTCTCATTGTTGAACTCCCACTTATGAGTGAGAACATGCAGTGTTTGGTTTTCTGTTCCTGTGTTAGTTTGCTGAGAATGATGGTTTCCAGCTTCATCCATGCTTCTGCAAAGGACATGAACTTATTCTTTTTCATGGCTATATAGTATTCCATGGTGTATATGTGTGGGTTGGTTCCAAGTCTTTGCTATTGTGAATAGTGCTGCAATAAACATATGTGTGCATGTGTCTCTATAGCAGAATGATTGATAATCCTTTGGGTATATACCCAGTAATGGAATTGCTGGGTTAAATGCTATTTCTGGTTCTAGATCCTTGAGAAATTGCCACACTGTCTTCCACAATGATTGAACTAATTTACACTCCCACCAACAGTGTAAAAGCATTCCTATTTCTCCACATCCTCTCCAGCATCTGTTGATTCCTGACTTTTTAATGATCGCCATTCTAACTGGCATAAGATGGTATCTCAATGTAGTCTTGATTTGCGTTTCTCTAATGACCAGTGATGATGAGCTTTTTTTCATATGTTTGTTGGCCGCATAAATGTATTCTTTTGAGAAGTGTCTGTTCATATCCTTCGCCCACTTTTTGATGGGGTTGTTTTTTTCTTGTAAACTTGTTTAAGTTCCTTGTAGATTCTGGATATTAGCCCTTTAACAGATAAGTAGATTGCAAAAATTTTCTCCCATTCTGTAGGTTGCCTGTTCACTCTGATGATAGTTTCTTTTGCTGTGCAGAAGCTCTTTAGTTTAATTAGATCCCATTTGTCAATTTTGGCTTTTGTTGTCATTGCTTTCAGTGTTTTAGTCATGAAGTCCTTGCCTATGCCTATGTCCTGAATGGCAATGTCTAGGTATTCCTCTAGAGTTTTTATGGCTTTTAAGTCTTTATCCATCTTGAGTCAAATTTTGTAGGAACAGTCCAGTTTCAGTTTTCTGCATATGGTTAGCCAGTTTTCCCAACACCATTTATTAAATAGGGAATCCTTTCCCTATTGCTTGCTTTTGTCAGGTTTGTCAAAGATCAGATGGTTGTAGATGTGCAGCATTATTTCTGAGGTCTCTGTTCTGTTCCATTGGTCTATATATCTGTTTTAGTATCAGTACCATGCTGTTTTGGTTACTGTAGCCTTGTAGTATAGTTTGAAGTCAGGTAGCATGGTGCCTCCAGCTTTGTTCTTTTTGCTTAGGATTTTCTTGGCTATACAGGCTCTTTTTTGGTTGCATATGAAATTTAAAGTAGTTTTTTCTAATTCTGTGAAGAAAGTCAATGGTAGCTTGATGGGGATAGCACTGAATACATAAATTACTTTGGGCAGTATGGCCATTTTCATGATATTGATTCTTCCTATCCATGAGCATGGAATGTTTTTCCATTTGTTTGTGTCCTCTCTCTTCCCTTGAGCAGTGGTTTGTAGTTCTCCTTGAAGTGGTCCTTCACATCCCTTGTAAGTTGGATTCCTAGGTATTTTATTCTCTTTGTAGCAATTGTGAATGGGAGTTCACTCATGATTTGGCTCTCTGTTTGTCTGTTCTTGGTGTACAGGAATGCTTCTGGTTTTTGCACATTGATTTTGTATCCTGAGACTTTGCTGAAGGTGCTTATCAGCTTAAGGAGACTTTGGGCTGAGACAATGGGGTTTTCTAAATATACAATCATGTCATCTGCAAACAGAGACAATTTGACTTCCTCTCTTCCTATTTGAATACCCTTTCTTTCTTTCTCTTGCCTGATTGCCCTGGCCAGAACTTCCAATACTATGTTGAAGAGCATGGACTAATAGTATGGTGAGAGAAGGCATCCTTGTCTTGTGCCAGTTTTCAAAGGGAATGCTTCCAGCTTTTGCCCATTCAGTATGATATTGGCTGTGGGTTTGTCATAAATAGCTCTTATTATTTTGAGATATGTTCCATCAGTACCTAGTTTATTGAGAGTTTTTAGCATGAAGGGGTGTTGAATTTTATCGAAGGCCTTTTCTGCATCTGTTGAGATAATCATGTGGTTTTTGCCATTGGTTCTGTTTATGTGATGAATTGTGTTTATTGATTTGCGTATGTTGAACCAGCCTTGCATCCCAAGGGTGAAGCCGACATGATCATGGTGGATAAGATTTTTGATGTGCTGCTGGATTCGGTTTGCCAGTATTTTATTGAGGATTTTTATATAGATGTTCATCAAGGATATTGGCCTAAAATTTGTTGTTGTTGTTTTGTCTCTGCCAGATTTTGGTATCAGGGTGATGCTGGCCTCATAAAATGAGTTAGGGAGGATTCCTTTCTTCTATTGTTTGGAATAGTTTCAGAAGGAATGGTACCAGTTCCTTTTTGTACCTCTGGTAGAATTTGGCTATGAATCTGTCTGGTCCTGGACATTTTTTGGTTGGTAGGCTATTAATTACTGCCTCAGTTTCAGAACTTGTTACTTGTCTGTTCAGGGATTTCACTTCTTCTTGATATAGTCTTGGGAGGGTGTATGTGTCCAGGAATTTATCCATTTCTTCTAGATTTTCTAGTTTATTTGCATAGAGGTGTTTATAGTATTCTCTGATGCTAGTTTTTCTTCTGTGAGATCAGTGGTGATATCCCGTTTATCATTTTTTATTGTGTTTATTTGATTCTTCTCTCTTTTCTTCTTTATTAATGTGGCTAGTGGCCTATATATTTTGTTAATCTTTTCAAAAAACCAGCTCCTGGATTCATTGATTCATTGATTTTTAGAGGGGGTTTTTGTGTCTCTATCTCCTTCAGTTCTTCTCTGATCTTAGTTATTTCTCGTCTTCTGCTAGCTTTCAAATTAGTTTGCTCTTGCTTCTCTAGTTCTTTTAATTGTGATGTTCGGGTGTCGATTTTAGATCTTTCCCACTTTCTCCTGCGGGCATTTAGTACTATAAATTTCCCTCTACACACTGCTTTAAATGTGTCCCAGAGATTCTGGTACGTTGTGTCTTTGTTCTCACTGGTTTCAAATAACGTATTTATTTCTGCCTTAATTTTGTTATTTACCCAGTTTTTTACCTAAATTATTTATTTTTCAAAAATTTACCTAGACCATTTATGAAAACTGACATATTGAACAAAGCAAGTCATCACTTCAAGTTATTTCCCTGTTAATCATTTTTGTAGGCTCTGAATATTTGGTGTTCATCTCAACATCAGCACAAAGGTCAGAAGTAGGCTGGAAAAAAATAAATAAATAACGAGAGATCTTAGAAGGCTCTATATATTAACTCTGTAGTTGCAGTTTTTACTTCAGCTCCAAGAAAA
This sequence comes from Homo sapiens, assembly GCF_000001405.40. NCBI lineage: Eukaryota > Metazoa > Chordata > Mammalia > Primates > Hominidae > Homo > Homo sapiens. Next base: position 175,289,924 of record NC_000001.11, on the reverse strand, counting down.
ACAGGCTTGGTGAGTTCAAATCATCTCCATGATAGCCATGGATTTAGAAATGCACATGAGAAAAGCGATGTAGTCTGCTGGGGCCATAGAAAAACTGGCATGCCTTAGAATTTTGAGAATCCCATTCCCTTTCTTATCAATCTTTCCAGAGCAAAGAAAATCCTATAACTTTGATCGGGGGATATCAGGAGTTTGGACTGGTGTTTATATGGTGGTGACTGTCCTAAGTGGCTTTTAACTGGCCATCTTGCATCCACCATTTAGAATGTTCTTTTTTGCACTCAGAAGATTTTCAAAAACAAGCAAGGGAAAAGAGTCAAATCATTTGTACGCACACCTAACCACGCCAAAATGAAACTGAAATCAGTGTGTTCACAAATATTTTAAATCAGGCATACAGATCAAACACAATATTAAATTAGGCACGCAGAACCAAGATGAATTCACCAGAAAAGATATGCCCCACAGAGAATGTAAATCCTGTAGAAACCAAGCTACTCAGACCAGGACACTTGTCTTTATACAAGAAAAGGCTTTCAACAAACAAAAAAAAAAAGAAAAAAAAATAAAACACTTTCACGGTCCCAAGACAGATAGATGCAAGGTTTTTATTTAAGATAGCCTTATAACAAAACCAAATCCCGAATAAATTCAAAAAGCCTGTACCAAAAAGAAGGGGGTTTGGCTTGAGACAAGACTCCTTGTGCAGAAAAGGTGAGCCATGAAGGAGAGAGCCCATAGAGCTCAGGTGAGTACTGCATATCAGTTCCAGGAATCACCAATTCCTTCCAAAAGTGATCTTATGTAAGGTCCCACTTCTGGACACCATTTCTATCAGAGAAGCTGTATAGAAGAAAGTGATGCTTATTTGGGGGTGCAGCATTACAATGGGAACACACACACTGTAGTTAACTATCCTTGACTACAAGGATCAAGAACAAGAGTAGCACTAGCTCAAGACTGGACAGGCAGTTGCTGGGCAGCTGTCCCCACAGGAGTATTTTTTTGCGTAAGGTTGTAATGGCCTTTGTGCAAAGTTGTGTTTTTTTCAGTCTTTTGTGATATTCTTATTATCAGTCACATATGCATGAGAACCTTCTCTTCATGGCCTTCCCTGGATCTATTTGTCAAGATTTTTTTTTTAACACAAGCAACTCCATTTTGATTCTGACAACTTTCACAGTGTCCACCTAAGAGAGAATTTTCTTTTCCTTTCACTTCAGATACTATCACACTTATTCAATCCTTAAAGTATTCAAAGGCAATCAGCAACATTTGAATCCTTTTCTATTCCTAATGAAAGTAAAAATGTCTTCCCAATTTCCTGAGTGGGAATTGAGGCCAAATAGAAGATAGTTTTCCACAGGAAAGGTCTTCCAATAGACCAGAAGTGGGGAAAAGTATACGTAATAGACTTAATACTTGCCTGCCTCCCCAACATCTATTCCCTTTATTCTTGCTAAATTCCCCCAAATTCATTCAGATATACACACCTTCCCCTAGGGCAGAGTTTCTCAATGTTGGCACTATTGACATTCTGAGCCAGCTAATTCTTTGTTGGCGGGTGGAGGGATGGACCGTCCTGTGCACCATAACATTGCTACATGTTTAGCATCTTCCCTGGCCTCCACCCACTAGATACCAGTAGCACACCTCCCTCCCTCCAGTTGTTCCACGGGGGCAAAATCATTTCCCTTTGAAAACCACTGCTGCAGGGGTAGAACACAGTTGTTCAGGCCTACATCAATTATTACAATCCCATTCTGGCTCACAGTTATCTTTTCAAGGGGAAACACATGTCCCAATTCAGTTCAAGAGTATTACAGCAGATGTCTGTTAGCTTCACGAAATGAAATTCTCACTCTCTCTAAATTTTGTAGTGTATGAAAGAAACTCTAAGAACCAGTGCTTTCATTTTCCCTGCACTAGGGAAAAAAGCCAGGCTTAAAATGAAAAAAAGCCAGGCTTAGAATGAAGCTGACACCACATGAGGCTAAACAGAAACTCTGAAAGAAACTGAGTTCTGATTACATTTTCAAATTGCTAAGTCAGTTCTGACCCGGAATCATGAATGTATCTCCTTTTTTTGTTTGTTTGTTTAAGACAGTTTCAGTTGGGTTTTCTGTTAATTGGTACTGTTAAAAGAAAAGCTTTAGACAAATTAGATTTAGGAGTTTAATTGAGCAAAAAATATATTCTTGAATCCCTCAGAAGCAGCAGAGGTTCAGAGAGCTCCTCCCCACAACGTGGGCAGGAAGCATTAATGGACAGAAAACAGAAGTGAGGTGCAGAAACAGCCTTATTGGTTACAGCTCTGCGTTTACCTTTTCTGAACATCACCTGATCCGTGGGCTGCCTGCAACTGACTGAAGCTCCACTGTTGTGATTGGCTGAGCCTCAGCCATTTGTGACAGAAGTTAGGCTTTGAGTTACTTTATGTACTAAGTTAGGTTGCAGTTCATTATGTAAGGATTCAAAGTATGGAGGCATCCTCAGGCCAAATGTAGTTTAATTGAACACTATTAAAGGCATCTTACCTTGTAAAATATGGTAAGTAGATTTATGACATTTAGACATCAGGAAAGTTTTGACCCAGTCTAAAAAGAAGAAGTCTATTATTAACTTCCAGGTTTGAAAAAAAGTTAAGGAGAGTTGAACTTAATTTCTGTCCGTCTTTGAACTCACTGCATCCATCCCAAAGTCATGTCAGTTGTGTAGTCAAATGAGTTATGTCAAAAGTGCTTCATCATATAGAACCCATCAAAATGCCCTGATTACCATTTCAGGCAGAATGGTCCCAAGAGACCTTATGGCAGAAAAGAAAGATAATGACCACACGGATTTTAGGTGTTTTTATTACTACCTTGTTGACATCGGCAAAATCACCCCTCTGGGTCAACATTTGTCAAACTGTAGTCCATGGATCCTTAGGAGCCCATGAGGCCTTTTCAGGGGACCCACAAAATCCACACTATTTTTATAACAATATTAAGGAAAAATTTCTTCACATCGACAGTTGCACCAATGGTTGGCAAAACTACAGGGGTCTTAGCACAAATCAAGGCAATGGCAACAAACCGTACTCACAGTAATTATATTTTTTATTCCCAGTAAAACAAACAAAAAATCACTTCCCTTAAGAATATCCTTGACAAAAGAGCAGAAATTATTAACTTTAGTACATCTTGACCGTGATTGCATGTCTTTTTAATTCTGTGTGACTAAATGGAAAGAATGCTTAAAGCACTTCTGCGGCATACCCAAGTACAATGATCGTCTTGAGGAAAAGAACTTGCGTGATTGTTTGAATCACCAGCTGAACTAGTTGCTTTTTTCATGAAATGCCATTTTTACTTGAAAGAACAACTGACAAACTATGGTTTTCTCAGACTTGGGTATCTGGCAGACATTTCCTCAAAAATGAGCAAGTGAACCTGTCACTTCAAGGAAAACAATCTTGATAAAATTTGAGCTCTCAAGAGAAAATTAGAATTTTGAAAAATTTGTATCTACCACAGTAAGCTTGACAGCTTCCCAGCATTTAAGATCTTTTCTGATGAGATCAGTAGTCATGTTAAAAATGTAATTTTTTGATATTGTATAATAAGATATGTCAGATTTGAAAGATCTGCATAACTCATTGAACCATTTTTCTGTTAGGTTGTTTGTCATTTTCTTATTGGTTTTAGGAGTTTTTTTTTTTCTAGATAGGAAGCATTTTTCAGTTATGTGCATTTATATCTTATCTTGTACTATTTGCTTGTCTTTCCACCCTCTTTATGATGTCTTCAATAAAGAGAATTTTTTGGTTTTTATGTAGTCAAATTTATCAATCTTTTCCTTAATGGTTAGTGTTTGTTGGCCTTGTTTTCTGATCCTGAGACAAGAATATATTCTCCCATGTTATCTTCAGAAACGTTGTGGTTTTACCTTTTACATTTAGGTTTTTAATCTACCCAGAATTTTTAATTAGGTTGAATTAAATTATTATTAGGTTTCATTAGGTCGAATAAAATTGCCTATACTTGACAGCTTTTGACCTACAAAATTGCTATTCTATATCATTCAACACAATATATGATGTGAGGCAGGAATGTATTTTTGTTTCTTCCCATATGAGTAGCAAATTTCCCCATTACTATTTATTTACAAGTCTATCTTGCCCACTGATCCACAGTGCCATCTTTCTAATGTACTTCTTTTTGTTGATCTCTGTTCCAATACTACACCATCTCGATTATTACGGTTTTAAAACAATTATTAATATCTTTAGGGCAAGACCTCCCACCTTGTTCTTTCTTGTCAGTGAATTCGGCTATTCTTGACTCTGCCTTTCCAAACAAGTTCTTTAACCAGCTTGTAAGTTTTCAACAACAACAACAAACAAACAAACACAAAAAAAAACAGTGAGAATTTTAATTGGAATTGCACTAACTCCATACATCAACTTGGAAGAATAGGCCTTTTTGCAATGTTGGGTCCTCCAGTCAATGAACACCGAATACCTCTCAATTTATGTCTTATTTAATATCTTTCAATAAAAAGTTATAATTTTCATCTAAGAGGTTTTACATGTCTCTTATTAGATTCCCTTCCAGGTACTATTTTGGGTCTGAGATTTGATTTTATACTACTTACAAGCTAATAAGTTGACCTATTATTGTTTCATGAATGCTGGCAGAAGACACAAGCCTCCTGAAGAGATGAAAACTCTATTACTTACGGCCTAGCAAGCAGCATGTGCATTGGTTTTCCTCAACCCAAGTCCCATGAAGGATTACAGGTGGATGCTATGCACGGAGGGGGTTTGCCTGACAGCTGAGGAACACTGAGCTTGGGAAAGCCATTATTCCATTGCAAGCAAGAAGCAGGCTTGCTCTTTTCTCCAGAGGAAGACATTATCTTGTCCTGCAAGATTTTTCACTGCAAAAGCAACCCCTTGTGGCCTGCACGAAGAATTGTTGGGGCCTTGCATTCTTGTAAAAGTAATCTTGTAAATGATTACCTTTGTAAAAATTTCATTTTCTAACTCTCTGTTGCTGATACGCAGAAATATAATTTAATTTTGTACACTAATCTTTTAGCATGCATACCAAACTCATTAATTCTAATCATTTATCCTTCCATTCTTTTTTTTTTTTTTCTTGAGACAGAGTCTCACTCACTCTGTTGCCCAAGCTAGAGTGCAGTGGCACCATCTTGGCTCATTGCAACCTTCACATCCCAGGTTCAAGAAATTCTCCTGCCTTAGCCTTTTGAGTAGCTGGGATTACAGGCATGTTCTACCGCACCCAGCTAATTTTTGTATTTTTAGTAAAGACAGGGTTTTACCATGTTGGCCAGGCTGGTCTCAAACTCCTGACCTCAAGTGATCCGCCTGCCTCGGCCTCCTGAAGTGCTGGGATTATAGGTGTGAGCCACTGTGCCTGGCCTATTCTTCCATTCTATAAAATAATATCTTGTATGTTTTCTTTAAAAAAAAAAAAGGTAAAAGTAAACTGCATCAGTTAAAATAGTATGTAAATCATATTTTAAATAATAAAGTATTATTTCTTTTGTCCTAAACATTACATCTTTTATTCTTTTTTTCCTGCCTTATTTCATTGGTTAAAATCTCCAGAGCAATGTAAGTGGTGAGAGATAGCACTCTCATCTCATTTTCTTTTAATCTCAAAAAGAAAGTTTTCAAAATTGTATCATTACAAATGATGCTTTCTCTTCTTCTCTCCCCTTTTATTTTTATAGATACCTTCTATTAAATTAAATAATTCTTTTCTACTTTCACTTTGCTAAATGTTTACAATGCTTACTTCCACGTTGCTAAATGCTTTGCTAAATGTTATACTGGATAATATATTTTCTGCACCTATTGTTAGTTATCATAACATGACTTTCCTCCATTCATCTAGTAATGTTAAAATAAACATAATTTTCTATATTAAAATATTACATTCTTGAGATAAACTCAGCTTTGTCAGGATGTATTATCAGTTTTATACATTGTTAAATTTGATTAATCTTTTTATTTATGTTGGCATTTGGAGTACAAAATTTTCTTCAAGTCCTGCTTTAGCTTCATCTCACACATTTTGATTTGTAGTATTTTATATTTTCATTCGATTTAAATTTTTTCTAATTTCCATAAGCATTTCTTTTTTGAACCAAGGGTTATTTAGAAGTGTTTTTTCTTCCTCAAAACAATAAACCTTCTAGTTATCATTCTATCATCAATTTCTAGCTTAATTTGGTTGTGCTCAGAAGACTCCATCTACATTTTTCAGTCTTTTAAAACTTGTGTAGGTTTGCTTTACAGTCAGCATATAGCCAATTTTCGTAAGATATTCTGCGTATTTTGAAAAAAATGGATATGCTGCACTGGTCAAGGCAATGATATGTGTTCATTAAGTCAAGTTTTTCCATCGGGTTGTTCAAAATACTCTAAATTTCAATTGATACTTTTATTCGCTTGTTCAATCAATTATTGAAAAAGGAGTATTAAAATGACCTACTAAGAGGCCAGGTGCAGTGGCTCCTGCTTGTAATCCCAGCACTTTGGGAGGCGGAGCCGGGCGGATCACTTGAGGTCAGGAGCTCGAGACCAGCCCGGCCAACACGGTGAAACCCTGTCTCTACTAAAAAATACAAAAATTAGCTGGGTTTGGTGGCCCATGCCTGTTGTCCCAGCTACTTGAGAGGCTGAGGCACGAGAATCACTTGAACCCAGGAGGTGGAGGTTGCAGTGAGCCGAGATCACCTCACTACACTCCAGCCTTGGCCATAGAGCAAGACTCCATCTCAAAATAAAATAAAATAACCCAATATGATTATGGATTTGTCTATTTCTTCTTTGAATTCTGACCATTTTTGCTTGAATATTTGGATGTCTTATTATTAAGGTATATATAATTTAAAATTATTATAACTTTTTGATAAACTGAAGTGGGTTTTTTTGTTTGTTTCTATGAAGTGATTATCTCTGGTAAGAATTTTGGCTTTTCTGATCTTAAAATAATTACAGTAGTTTCCTTTTGGTTAGATTTTGCCTGATGTATCTTTTTTCATTCTTTTTTCTTTTACCCTATATCCTTATATTTTAGTGTTTCTTTTATAGATAGCATATAGTTGGATTTTGTATTTTATCCAATCAGATCATCTTTTTGCTGTTAACTCTGTAGCACTTATTCTTTTTTTATTAAATAAACTGTATTTTTTAGAACAGTTTTAGACTTACAGAAAAATTACAAAGGCAGCACAGAAGGCTTCCATATATTCTATACCCAGTTGTCCCTATTATTAACATCTTAAGTTAATATATTATATTTTTTATAATTAATTAGCTGATATTGACACATTATTATTAACTAAAGTCAGATTTCTTTTTTTTTCTTTTTTTTTTGTTTTTTGTTTTTTGGAAACGGGATCTTTCTATGTTGCCCAAGTTGGTCTCAAACTCCTGAACTCAAGCAATCCACCCGCCTCAGCCTCCCAAAGTGCTAGGATTACAGGTGCAAGCCACCGTGCCCAGCCCAGATTTCTTTTCACCTAATATCCTTCTTCTGTTCCCGGATTCCATCCAGGATAACACATTACATTTAGTCACAATGTCCCCTTAGGTTCCTCTTGGCTGTGATGATTTTTAAGGCTTTCCTTGTCTTTGATGACCTTGACAGTTTTGAAGATTACTGGCCAGATATTTTGTAAAATGTCTCCCAATTGGGATTTGTCTGATTTTTTTTCTTGTAATTAGACTTGACATAGTTTGTTTTGAGGAGGAATAACACAGAAGTAAAGTGCCATTTTCATCACATCATAACAAGGGTACATACTATCAACATGACTTATCACTGCTGAGGTTGACCCCACTCACTGGGCTGAGATACTGTTTATCAAGTTTCTCCATTATTAGGTTATTCTTCTTTTCCCCCATCCATACTGTATTTTTTGGAAGTCACTATGTGCAGACCACACTTGAGTTATACATCATCTCCTTGAGGGCAAAGTATCTACAGAAATTACTTGCAATTTTTCTGCATGGGAGAATTGTTTCTTCTCTTTCATTTACTTATTCATTCAATCATTTATTTTTATCTCTATAGACTCATGGATATTTGCTTTAACTTTGTGTTATAAGTCAATACTACTTCATTTTGTGGCTCAAATTCCTCCAGTTTTGGCTTTTGAGAGCTCTTCTAGTTGGCTCCCTGCACCCCTACATCATGGTGAAGTTTTTGTTTTGTTTTTTTTTTAATTTTTTTGTGTTTGTTTGAGCACTTTCTTACTTTATGGCATTCCAAGATGTTCTAGGCTTATTTTGCATATTTCCTGCCCCAGTCTTAGAATCAACCATTTCTCCAAGAAGCCTGACTTTTAAAATTATTATTATTGGATAATGGTATTATAAATCAAGATCTGGGAGCTAGGTGTGTTCATTGTTACTGGGTGTCATTTTTTTCTCTCAGGCCCTCTCAGTTGACAGGGCAAATAAATATCTGTGTGTATATTAACCCACACATAACCATTTTTATCTATATCAGATGACGTAAGTTCTTACTGATGTCCCCAACTCTAGTCCATATGGCTCATTCTAGCCTCTTCTCCATGCTTCTCTGTAAATTCCCACTCCAACAGTGAGACACCTAACTCCCACCATCTGCCATCCATTTACTTAATTGTACAATTCCAGTATACAGCCGTAGTAGTATCAGAATTGTTAACCTGTACCTCCATGGGAAGCAATTTTGTCAGCTAGCGTCCAGTGCTTATGTTCCATTTGCCTTTAGTCTTAACAGACACCATTTATTTCCAAACCTACCACCTATCTCTCCCACCAATTCTCCCACCCTGTTCAGTGAGATCTTTTAAAATGTATTTGTGATCTAGTTAGATTCTGTTGTCACAGTTGCATTATTTCTGGGGATCACTCAGACACCTAAATGATTTTTCTCTTAATTTGCAAGCATTGAGGTCCACTGTTTGTGTTGTACCGCCCTATGAGTTTTGACAAAAGCATAACATCATGTATCCTCCGTCATAGTGGCATACAGAATAGTTTCGCTGCCCTAAAAAAAAAAAAAAATTCCTTGTGCTTTGTTCATTCATTCCTCACTTTCTAAACCTCTGGCAACCACTGATCTTTTACTGACTGTATAGTTTTGACATTTGTAGAATTTCATGTAACTGTAATCAAATAATATATAGTCTTTTCAGACTGGTTTCTTTCATTAAGCAACATGGATTTAAGATTCCTCCACATCTTATCATGGCTTCATAGCTTATTTCTTTTATCACTGAATAATATTTCATGGATATACCAGTTTGTTCATCCATTCACCTATTGAAGAACATCTTGGTTGCTTCCAGTGTGGGGCAATTACGAGTAACACTCTTACAAACATTTGTGTGAAGGTTTTTGAGTGGACATAAATTTTCAGCTTAACTGGATGAACATGTAGAAATTTGATTGCCAGAAGGTATAGTTAAGAGTATGTTTAGCTTTGTAAGAAACTGCCAAACTCTTTCAAAGTGGCTGTACCATTTTGCATTCCCACCAGCAATAAATGTGAGTTTCTGTTTCTCGGAATCTTAGCCAGGATCTTATATTGTCAGTTTTCTACTTTTGACCATATAGGTGTGTAGTGGTATCTCATTGTTGTTTTATTTGCAATTCCCTAATAACAAATGTTGTTGAGTATCTTTTCACATGCTTACATGTCATCTATCTTCTTTGGTAAGGTGTCCATTCAGATTTTTGCTCTGTTTTTTGTTTTTTTGTTTGTTTGTTTGTTTTTTCAGACGGAGTCTCACTCTGTTGCCCAGGCTGGAGTGCAGTGGGGCGATCTCGGCTCACTGAAAGCTCCGCCTCCCAGGTTCACGCCATTCTTCTGCCTCAGCCTCCCGAGTAGCTGGGACTACAGGTGCCCGCCACCACGCCCAGCTAATTTTCTGTAATGTTAGTAGAGATGGGGTTTCACCATGGTCTCGATCTCCTGACCTCGTGATCCTCCCACCTCGGCCTCCCAAAGTGCTGGGATTACAGGCGTGAGCCACCGCGCCCAGACGGTTTTTTTTTGTTTTTTTGTTTTGTTTTGTTTTTTTAACCCCTGTTTTGTTGGGTGCTTAAGCTACTTGCCGTGAAATCTCCTGTGTGTGGAAAGGTTGAAGTTGGGTTTAGATCTCACTCACATCTACACTTAGCTTGTGACACGTTGGATTTACAGAATTTGGGAATAGGCTTTGAACTTTGTTTTCTGTCTCTCTCTTTCTCTCTTTTACACATACACACATGCACACACACACACACACACACCATACACACAGAGGCACTTGTCCTAAAATAATATGAAAATTGAAGCTCAGGCTCATCATGTTCAGCAATAGCCCTTAGGGTAAAACCAGTTTCGGAGTTTTGCTTACTTCTCTTGGTTCCTGCCTTCCCTTAGATGTTGGACTGATAAATCCTTGCTGCTATGTTTTACCAGTTCTTGGATGCCTTTAGGAAGAGTTTTTAAAATATGCATTAACTTGCTTTTTTAATATTAGCAAGAAGATTGTTGCAGGTACCTAGCCATTATATTACCAGAAACAGAGCAATGCATTTCTGAACAAGCATGTTTACAGCAAGGAGATTATTCACTGTGAATTCTGACTAAACAGGACAAAACAGAGATCTGTGGCTTGACAGTTTTTCAAAGGAAACTTAGAGAAATATGATAGTAATTACCTTTATACACACACATATATACTAAACTAGAAGTTTCAGGCTGGTGGGGATTCGAGGTTCAACCTCTGTCTGTGAGGCCTAGCCAAACTAGTTCTTCTCTAAAAAGATAGATTTCATTAATTCAACAAATATTTATAGTGCAACTATTCTACATCCTGGGGATATAGCAGTGAAAGAAAACCAAGTCCCTATCCTCATTGAATATAAATTCAAATGGAGATTCATGTCTGTGACTTTTTCAGTACCATGTTCTAACCAGCAGAGTTATGCAGCACAGTTGGCATAGAGCTATCAGTGTCATGTTTCCTGAGGCCAACTCAGCAGGTGAAAAAAAATACTAGAGTAAAAAGGAGGTTTTTTTTTTTTTTCCTTTAACAGCCCATGCTCCACAAATGATCCATTATTTTTCATTCCTCTGAGTTAAGTCTTCTTAAATCTCTGCCCCTTCCACAGTGGGCATAATTGAGAGCAAGGAGGATATTCTTTGTCCATTTACACGGCAAACCCTGCTGTAGTCGCTCATGCTTCAGTCTGGAAAATCAGTTTTCTTTTCCTCCTTTATAGTCTGTGTAAAATCACTGTAGAGGTCGCACCCTTAAGCTTGGGAAGTGAATGGGAAGTTGGATATGTTTTTTAGTGAGCTGGAAATACCCAAGTAAATTAAGTTTATTTCAGGATTAGGAGGTCTTGGCCCTAATTTCAAGGCCTGACAATCTGCTTCTACAAGAGTACACATGAGCGGAGACTATGTACCAAGATGCCATCTGCTAGCTCAGGGCAGGGGTTCTTACCTTCTCGCTTGCTGCTGGATCATCTCAGATTAACACTTACAGACCCCAGAGACTAATGGAGAGAATCTGCTTCTATGCAAAGCCTTGCTTCAAAGTCCCAGGACAGCATAGAAGAAAGCAGGAAAGAAAACTGCACATGCCCTATACTTATCATGACGTAAATCACTTGGATATGCAAAAAGAGCAGAAGGCAGCATTTTGCAGCATGTGTTCCTCAATATCCCTTGAAATGTTCCCGGGGGAAAAATGTAGTTGTTTATCCATTTCTTGAATCTTCTTAAAGTGTATTACCATACTAAAGATTTTGAGAAGTTATGCAACAAAGTAAAGAAAGCTGTGTAATATTATCAGAACATTTCTCAAATTTCTGAAATCATTTTATGATGGAGCCTTTTTTTGTCCACATGACATCCAGTGTTTTATGAAATCCTTTTGGGAGGGTGCCCTGAGGGAAACATAGCGGTCAGTATTTTTGTGTTAAAGCGATAAGGTTATGGGGCCTTTTTCCTCCTTTCCAAGCATGTTGTAATCCAAATTGTTTGATTATTTTGTTGGTTTATTTATTTTGGTGTCCGAGTTCTTAGTTGCAAGTTTGTTACTGGAAAGGGGTTCCAATCCAGACCCCAAGAGAGAGTTATTGGATCTTGTGCAAGAAAGAATTTGAGTCCACAGAATAAAGTGAAAGCAAGTTTATTAAGAAAGTAAAGGAATAAAAGAATAGACAGAGTAGGGTGTTGCCAAAAATAAAAGGAGGAACGCACCCACCTTAGGTATAAAGCTTGTTTATTTATCAGATAACCAAAATCAGGAGGGAGATGTACTCTACTACAGGGATTTGGGATAAAGGATTGCTGATCTTTGCATAACTACTACCGTTCACAAGAGTCTATATTATTATCTTTAAAGCAAAACTTATTCTTAAACTAGGAATGGTTTTGTTCTTAATATATTGGGACATCAGGACATTTCCTGGGTCTATTAGGTCTTGGGTCTGTTTCTGTTTCCTTATGCAAAAATATCTAGTGGCTAAGAATGCCTAACCTTCCGGAAGTGCCGCCCAGCAGGCTTTGGCCTCATTTTACCCAGTCCCTATTCAAGATGGAGTTGCTCTTGTTCAAATGCCTCTGACATTTCCCCCCTTCCTTTTACAAGGAGATCCTTAATCCTAAGAGTTGCAGAGGGATGAAGATCCATCGTCTGTAGCTTCTTTATGCTGAACAGAGGCAATGATATTCCCATCTAATCATTAGGGTCTCTTGTATTCAGGGTATGGAGGAGCTCAGTCAGAAAGCATTGGTATGGTGAGGGTCTTTTACAACTCTGAGTCCTGATAAAAGGTGAAGTCTGGAAGATTAATAAGTATCCAATTTATGAAAGCATTGAGTAAGGTTATCTTGCATTCTTACACAAAGAGTACCACTGCACTATATTCCACAACAGCAAGGCAATATAAGTAAAAGTACTCCAGGTAAACTAAACAAGAAGGCTTTCCAAGAACCAGACAATTGCTAGAATCAAGCCAATATGGGGTCAACCAACGGCACATCAGTGGCAGAAATATGAATGTCTAAAGCCTTTATAGCTTGGGTAATAGTATGTGAGTAGTCTGTAACATATACACAACATTCAGTTTTGATCAAAGCACAAGTTCTCCCTTGAGCCGCTGTTAAAATGTCCAAACACATGCAGTTTTGTAACGCTGCCTGCCTAATTTGAGAAGTTTCCCCAGTTAGGAGGGTAAGGGCATGGTGTGTATTATTGAAAGCTGCAAGTGTGAGTTTGGTGAGTTCAATATCAATCACGGCTGCCTGTGGGGAAACTACAGCCATCAGGTAAAACCACCAAGATGCTTGTTTTTGTCACCTATGGCGAGCCTTTACAATTTCCCAGTTAGATGGCAGAGAGTCCAATTTAGTGAGCATACATCCTAGGAGATAAGAACAACCCCACATACACCTTCCAATCCAATTTTAAGGTAAGTATGGCTAGCCATGAGTTCTACAAGCCCATAACCATCCCCAAGGAGAAGGGTAGGCACCTATTTTTGGTGAATTATGTTTCCATCCTAACCACATTTGGTCTGTTAAAGAAGGGTCTGATTACATTGTTGAGGTGGCAACCATCCCATGTCATGGGTCCCTGTCTGGTGGTGACTGTTATTGTGCCTTTCAAGACATAGAGACACTTTGCTTGATACCTGTCATCCACCCAAGTCCATCCTGTACAGTATAACCTAAGTTGGGATGGAATTTATCTGTTTCCTAATTAGACAAAAAAAAAAAGTGCCTTTTTGTCTCTCTGTATGAGAGGAAAGGGGCTTAGGCCACACAAGCTATAGTGCATGGGGAAAGAGGGTGTATGTTTATTATTTTCAGTTTCCCAATCATAATAAAGTCCCCATAAACTTAGGTTGGCTGGTTGAATATGCCAGGGCAATCTGGAAGTGGAGGAAAGTGGTAATTTTACACATACCCAACATTTGGCGTGATTATGCAGGGAGGCTAAAGTCTGTGCCCACGCAGCAAATAAGTTATTCTCCGTGTGATTCTAACTTATACCCAAAAGTAGAATGCCAGTCCATATTTTATGTTATCCATCCTTTTTGTTTCTTCTGAACAGGAGCCAGAGGTCACTGATTGGCTCATAGGAATAAGTGGGATCAGTCTCCATCTCCAGTGGCCTGTGGGGCTTCATAAGGGACAGGTTTAATTCAAGATAACTGGACTTAGCTATTTATTCCTAGAAGTTTAACTGCAATTGGGGTACTAAGGAGGACTTCATAGGATCCCTTCCATTTGGGAGAAAGCTGATCTGCTTTGGATACTTCTTTCCAAGTTTTTCATAGGACCCAGTCTCCCCACTAGGTTATAGTAAGATTCCCTTCCTAAGGAGAGAAAAGAAGTCTTTTATTTCCATATTCAAGGAGTGCTTTTTGCACTTGTCCTAAGTTGATTACATTATTTTGTAGCTTGAAAGTATCTATGTCTATTAGGAAGTCTGTAGTTAAGAAAAGTCTTTCAAACATTATTTTAAAAGGGCTGAAGTGTAGGTTTCCTCTAAGGGCAGTGCAAACCCGCAACAAGGCCATAGGCAATAGAGTCAGCCAGGCTTCTGATGTTTCCTGGCAGAGTTTAGCAACAGTTCTCTTTAGAGTTCGATTGGCTCTTTCTACTTTCTCTGAAGACGTGGCCTCCATGCTGAATGAAGGCAGTACTGAATTCCTAGGGCTGAAGATATGTTGTGGGTTATTGTTGCAGTTAAAGATGGGCCATTATCAGTCTGCAAGCTTTTAGGCAGCCCACACCTAGGAATTATTCATTTAATAAGAATTTAGAAACCTTGATTGCCTTTTCAGACCAGGTAGGAAAAGCCTCAATCCGACTAGAAAAGGTGTCAACAAATACTAATAGATATTCAAACACGTTTCACGGGGGCATCTGAGTGTAGTCTATTTGCCAGTCTTCACTGGGATAAGTTCCCCTATGCAGAACAAGCCTTACTGAAGGAGAAGGTAAAGCTGGGTTACTTGGATTATTTCAGGCACCAAGTTCACAGGCTCAAGTTACCTGCTTTACGGTTTTACGTAAGCCTTTTCCTATAGAAAGATGAAACATTTATTGAAACAAAGAATCTCTTCCCAAGTGAGTAGAGTCATGCAAATGTTTATTTTCCTTTAATTAGCATCTGGTGTCAATAGTCTGCTGTCAATAGTCTGATTACTGAATCAGCCAGCCAGAAGGATCTTGAATTAAGCCATGACAGTTAGCCCATTCTTGTTCCTCTTTAGTGTATCTCAGTTCTGTTATTACTGGGGCAGTGGGCACTAACATATCTACAAGTTTAACTGGATCCTTTAATGCAGTGACTTTAGCTGCATCATCTGCAAAGGAGTTTCCCTTTTCACACTGGAGTTCCCTTTCAGATGCCCTCTGCAATGGATTATAGCTACTCCCTTGGGCAGCAAAATGGCGTCTAACAGATTTAGAATTTCCAAGTGATGTTTTATAACGGAACCCTTAGCAATTAGGAGTTCTCATTCCTTCCAGATAGCAGCATGAGCATGAAGCACCAGAAAGGCATACTTAGAATCAGTGGAAATGCTAACTCTTAAACCCTTTCCCAACTGTAGGGCAATAAGAGCCAATAATTCAGCCTTTTGAGCTGAGGTAGAAGCCAGTAAGGGCTGAGCTTCAGTTATGTCATGTTGACTGACAATAGCATACCTGGCTTTTCTGTTTCCCTGGTGCACAAAGCTACTTCCACATGTAAACTGCTCTACCTCAGGATTATCTAGAGGCTCATCCTTTAAGTACAACCAGTTGGAATAAACTTGCTCCATAACTTGTATGCGAGAATGATCTAGGGTGCCTGTGAATTCAGGCAGATAAGTAGCGGGCTTTAAAGTCTGGCAGACTTTAAGGGTTACATCAGGAGTGTCTAGCAACAAAACCTGATACTTTAATACATGTCCCCCAGTCATCCTCTGGTGTCTTTTAGCTTCTAGTACTCCTTGTACTTGGTGTGGGGTCAAAACCTCCAGATGTTGTCCCAAAGCCAGTTTATTGGCTTCATATACCAAAAGAGCCATTGCTGCAACTGCCCTGAGACATCTGGGCCATCCCAAAGCTACATGGTCTAATTACTTAGAAAAATATGCTACTGGTCAGGGATGCCTCCCAGTTTCTGGACAAGGACTTCCAGAGCGTTCCTTGTTTTTCAGCCAAATAAAGGAAATGGCTTATCAAGATTGGGGATCCCTAGGGCTGGAGTTGTTCCCAGTTTCTCCTTGAGAGTATTAAAAGTATGTTTTACAATTGATACTGCATTCAAAAAGATCACGTGTGCTCCTTTTAGAGCCTTACATAAAGACTTGGCCATATGCCCAAATCCAGGCACTCATTAAGAGCAGAATCTTCCCATCCTTAGGAAATCCCATAGCTGCTTTCTGGTTTGGGGTTCCAGGATTCCCAAGATCACTTCCTTTTTTTCTGGGGGCTATTGCCCAGGTGCCAGGGGTTAAGACATATCTTAAATATTTAACTTCTTGAGTTGAAACATGGGCCTTATGCAGTGACACTCTATACCCATTAGTGTCCAGAAAATTTAGCAACTTAATGGCATTTTTATTTGAGCCCCTTTTAGTTGGGCTAGCTACCAACAAATCATTCACATACCAAATACTAGTGCCCCTATTCAATTTTAACATCTTTAATTCTCTAGTCAATGTATTTCCAAATAAATGTGGGCTGTCCCTACACTCCTGGGGAAAAACCATCCAAGTTAATTGAGAAACCAAATGACTATCAAGGGTCAGTCCATCCAAAAGCAAAGATAAATTTTGAATCAGGGTATACTCAAATGCAGAAAAAAAAAAAATCCCTGAGATCTAAGACTGTAAACCAACTTGCATCCCCAAGGACCTGGGCTAACAGCATGTAGGGGTTGAGTACTACAGGATGTTTGGGAATGACAGCACTGTTGACAGCTCAAAGATCTTGAACAAATATATAGTCTCCATTTGGCTTTTTAATTGGCAAGATTAGAGTATTACAAGGAAACTTAAAGGGTCTTAACAAACCAAATTGCAAAAACTTAGTTCTTAATGGATGAATCCCTCTTTATGCCTCTGGTTTTAGGGGATCTTGTCTCTTCCAGGAGTACAGGGCATCAGGCTTAAGCTAAATGCAAACCAGAGGAACATTTAATGCTTTGTCTGGAACCTCAATGTCCCATACTACAGGATTTATTTGGGAGGTTACTTCAATAGGCAAGCTAGATAAGTCCCTATTGACTTTCCTCCCTTATCACAGAAAAGGAGAAGAAGCAATCCTTTATCTGCCCTGTGATCTCCAAAAGATGCCACTGTTTGCAGCTGAGTCAACAAATTATTTCCTAACAAAGCGGTGGGACATTCAGGCATGATAAGAAAAGGCATATGAGAAAGCTGAAGTCCCTAAAGAACATCTTAACAGACAGGTAAAATGGTATCCATGAGTTTGTCCATCTATCCCCATGACCACACAGTTTTAAGATGACAGTGGCCCATTATAATGGTTCAAAACAGAGAAAGCAGCCCTTGTATCCAAAAGAAAGTTAATATTCTTATCTGCCACTTCAAGGTTTACCTGAGGCTCCTCCAAAGAAATGGTTAGTTGTCCAGTGGGACCGGTGGCTGAAGGTCTGAGGCCCCATCACTCATGGGCTTGCTTGGCTATTTTGGCCATCATTTGTTCAGGTGCTGATGGCTCCCTTCAGAACACTGGGAATTCCCTCTTCCAATCGCCAATTTTCTGACAATGTGCACACTGATTTGTGCCCAAGGCACAGTGACTTGGAAGCCCAACTCAGGGCTTTCCACCTTCTAGCTTCCCTTGTCCAGGCTAATAGCCTTAAGGGCAACCCATGCAGGAGGTGAACCTAAGGCTGCAACCAAAAGCTTCACTTTGTGGAAGGTTCTTTTAGCTCTTTCCGCTTCCTTTGTTTTGTCCTTGTTATTAAAAACTATCAATGCCATATCCAAACGCTGATTCATAGGAGTCCGGGGACCCAAGGCTGCTTTTTGTAGTTTCCTATTACTATCAGGGGCAGATAGGGTTATAAAATGTACTCCCAATAAAGTCTGTTATTTCCTTGAGGCAGGATCAGTGTTACATATTGCCTGATTGTCTTAACTTGACACAACGCTGGATGCTCATCTTTACGGTGAATACTTTTCTTAACCTTTTCATAATTAACAGGTTTTTTCATATACTTCAATCCTTCCAAAAAACAAATGACCATGTGATCTCTCTTCCCCAAGTCCTCACTGCCCCTTTGATAGTTCCATCCTGGATCTTGATCAGGGACTGCTGCACCCACTGCCTGGTAGATATTATGGTTAGGGTTATGGGCCAATACCTCATTTGCATGGGTCTGAGCCATTCCCAGAATGTATTGCTTCCCTTCCACTGTACAACAAACAGACAACAAAACATACAGATCCTACCAGGTCAAGTTATAAGTCAGAGTTAATTTCTGAAACTCATCTATGAATTTCCCTGGATCTTCAGAGAAATGACCAACTTTCTCTACACAAAGTCAAATCAGACATAGAAAAGGGGACATGTGCCCTTACAGTGCCTTCTTCCCCATTTGCCACTGCTCTAAGCAGACAAAAATTTCCCTTTGGAAGTTGATAAGAGGCTCCACTACAAGTAGTACTAGCAGGGCTAGGGTCCTCAGGGAGTAGCAGGTATAGACTAGGATTAGACAGGTAGGGAGGAGGGGACAAAGGAGTCTCAACAGGACTTCCAGAGAGGCTAGAAGAAGAGGCCAATAGACCTGAAGCATCAGAGCTGACATGTTCCACACAAAAGTACCTGTTGAACTGGTTGGCGGGGGCGGGGAGGGGGGTGGTCTTGCATCAAGTGATCATCTAGTATGTCTAATTCTTTTTCTTCCTTTCCTTTCATTAAACATGCACATACCTATTGCAGAGTTTTATTTTGACTGGGCAATAAAAATGCTTGAACGTATTGGTTTTATCCCATTTGCCCTCACACTTACAAAACAAATCAAGTGGAAGTATAGTATTAAAGGCCATAGTTCTGGTAGTTGACCATTTTTCTTATTTTTCCAAGTATAGTAATTTGAGGCCAGACAGTATTATATGAAACCACCAACTTTCTTTTCTTAAGTCCATTTGGTTTAAACTTGTCCCAATGTTCAAGAATACATCCTAGTGGTGAGTCCTCTGGGATCCATGCTGTATTCCCCATAAAGGAGGCAGATGACGTTGAAAGAAAACTTCCAAACCCGTGAGACTGTATTGCCATTGGCCAAGTTCCATCAAAAAGGAGACAGTTCTTAAGGCACGCTGCATTATGACGGAAAACCTGCTGAAAATTGAATTCCCTTATTTATATTGGCCAGATAATATAAACAGGCTGAGCCATGGGCCCTAGATAAACCATGATATGGAAGCTGACAAAAGAAATGTCAAATAAGGCAAAGGAAATGAGAAGGATTTAGGTGCGGATGACCAGAGAGAGCAGGTTCCGGGCAATAGTGGCAGCATGAGTTGGACAAACAAAGCCAATTTGCCTGAATCCAAGAAATGAAAGAAGCTTTGTTAGTGTACAAATGAAACAAAACAGCAAGGAAAATCCCCTGATTTCCATCCTGGTACTCAAAATCCCAAGACCAGTTAAATGAGGTCTCCTGAAAGTGGCCATGAAACAAAGGCAGCAACCAGGGAATTGATTCAGGAAGCAAAGAGGACAAGGTGAATTAATCCAAAGTTAATAGTGATAAACATCCTGTAGAGTCAGATCTATTTTTAACCAAGAGGGGGCTTACCAAGGGGCATCTCTAATGCCCTATGTCTTAGGAGGGACTCTAACCCCCCTAAGTTGGGCCTTTAACCCAAGTTTGGACAACTATCCTTGCTCTTTACCAAGAGGAGTCTTTAAGCCCCTATGTTTTAGGTGGAGCTCCAACCCTTCCAGGTTGGGTCTCTAACCCAATTTCATTCTTTACCTGGTATAGAATATACCCCCACCACTTACCCAAAGTTGGCCAATTGGTGTTGCAGTTTATTTCCTTTGGGTCAGGGGTCTCTTCATTAGTCCCTTTGTGGTTCACCAGGAGGAAGTTACCAGAAAGTTGTCCCCATCAAGACCCCAAGAGAGGGTTCTTGGATCTTGTGCAGGAAAGAATTCAGACCAAGTCCACAGAGGAAAGTGAATACGTGTTTATTTTAAAAACTAAGGGAATGTAAGAATAGCTACTCCATAGACAGAGCAGGGTGTTCCTGAAAGTAAGCACAGGAATGCACCCACCTTAGGTATAATACTTGTTTGTATATAAAGACAAATCATGGGAGAGATGTGCTCTGCCACAAGGATTTGGGATAAAGTATTGCTAATCTTTGTGTAACTACTATCTTTCACAAGAGTCTATATTATTATCTTTAAAGCAAAACTTGTTCTTAAACTAGGAATGCTTTTGTTCTCAAGATATCAGGACATCAGGACATTGCCTGGATCTGTTTCTGTTCCCTTAACTGTAAATACCTTGTGACTAAGATACCTAGCCTCCTGGGAATGTGGCCCAGCAAGTCTCAAACTCATTTTCCCACCCCTATTCAAGATGGAGTTGCTCTGCTTCAAACGCCTCTGACAAGCTGAGTGATTAAGGCAGAAAGGAAATTATTGAAGGATATTGTGTTACTCATGGAAGTTCCAGGAGTGTCAGAATCATCTTAAATGCCACCCACCCAAGAAAAACGTTCAAAATTCCCTCATATAACTGATTCTGTGAAGGCACAACTGTTGCTTTTACCAGGCACAGACTCAACTGCTTGTCCCACTGGCAACACTGATGCTGGACATTGGCCCCTGCTGGCTGCTGGAACCATTACCATGAGCCCTGGAAACTGGATCTAGCCACCACAGACACCATTAACTTCACCAAGATAGCTTCCTGGTGGCCCTGGCTCTTTGGATTCCTACCTTCTAAGTTACAATCTGCCTTGGATGGAACTCATGAATCATCATGTATCTTGAGTCATATGCCTATAATCTATCTAGAAGGAAGGTTAGAATGGTATGTAAGTTCTACTGAGTGAAGAGGACTCTGCTCTCTGCCAAAAAGGAGAATGTCTCAAGATAAAAGGAGAAGAGTTGAGTAGTCAGCCAAAAAGAATGACAAATGTCCAGTTTCCCAAAATATTTTTTATCCTCCCCAACTTCCTTACTTCATATTCAGTTAGACTTTGCTCTCTCAACCTCCTACAACACATACATTCCACCTCCTCTGTCTAGTACAAATGTTAAGGCAAAATGAATTTTCAGAAACTAATCTACAAATAGCTGAGACTCTCCAGCAAACATTATAATAACATGTTATTTAATGAGCCAAGCTGCCTCAAACCTGTGGAGCTACCACTGCTGGCAATGGCTCAGGTTTGAAAGTTACAATCAAAACTTCACGTGTTTTTTTGGTTTTGTATGCCCACTTCACCACCCTTGCCCCAAGTAACCCTTCTAGGCATTAATATACATGTTTACATTTTTAAAGATAATTTTATTAGTTTTCTCA
Organism: Homo sapiens; assembly: GCF_000001405.40. NCBI lineage: Eukaryota > Metazoa > Chordata > Mammalia > Primates > Hominidae > Homo > Homo sapiens. Next base: position 175,268,333 of record NC_000001.11, on the reverse strand, counting down.
CACTTAAATTAAAAATATGCCTCCTATCCTAACCTCCCCCCACCCCTACACACAGCTGGCTAGGTCAGTGTTGTGAAATTAGGCAACACTTTCTTCAAGAAATTCTTGGGATTCCTTGAGCATGTTTTAGGGAGCATCTTAACTGCCCAGAAATATTAAAGGACTCTAAAGTGGCTACCCAATAACAGCCCTGCTATGCCTAATGGCCAAGAACAAAACAAACATATAAGTGAGCTTAGTGGTAGAATAGGTCTGGGATTTGGAGGAGTGAATGTTCCAGGGGAGTGTGATGTGGAGTCTGACATCACCCAACCAAACTCCTCTTAGCTGAGCTGTCCACTCTGGGAAGGCATGGGCTGTAGGGCAAAGGAGAGACTGTGTCACTGAAGTTCAACAGCTGTGCTCTGCAAAACACTCCAGAAAGAGCTGATTAGCAGAGAAAGGCATTCCCCCATGGACGCAGAGGGAGAAGCATCCTAAAGCCATCAGGCCAGCTGGAAGAATACACAGCATCCCTGGCTGACCAATGGCTGTGGAAGTCAGAGCTGCTGGCAGAGGCTCTGCTGACAACTGTGAGAAACTGCTGGCCCCCCACAGATCCCAACCTAGCATAACCCCAGGAAACCAAGGGAACATTTGAGATGCACAAACATCTGTGAGAGCAGCCCCAGAAATATTTAGGAAGAGAAACTCCTGGAAGCAAAGGGATCTCTGCCTGTCAAGGATGTTTAGGCTCTGAGCATTGATATTTGGAGTATTACTGTAAATCTGATTTGACTTCATAGCCAAAGATAAGTAAGATCTGGGTCTTTCAGTTACAAGTGTTGAGGTTCCTTGTTTAAATTTTGATACACTCTTTGAGCACCCAGCAGCTCAGGAGTATCACCTTACCCATGCACCCCAGTTTATAATTCCTTTGTAGGAAGTATGCTATTTTGTAATACATATTTGGTCTTCATCCTATTTCCTGACATTCATCTCCTAAAACCCTTGGAAATCTCTGGTGTGATGAGTGTCTTTTGTATGCTGAGATGCCTGGTAGATGGGGGCACCTTGAGAGCTTCAGGATGGGGGTTAGTCACCCGAAAGACCATGGCCTAATTAGAAAGTTGGGTCCCCCTAATCTCTGGGAAGAGGAGGGAACACTGAAGGTTGAATTGGTGACCAATGGCCAATGATCTAATCAATCATGCCTACTTAATGAAACCTACATAAAAATCCAAAAGGACTGGTTTCAGAAATCTTCAGGATAGCTGAACACATGAAGCTTCTTGGAGGGTGGCACACCAAGAGACGGCCTGGGAGCAATGTTCAGTGCCCCTTCTTCTAAACTTTGCCCTGTGCATCTCTCTACTAGCTGTTTTTCTGTATCCCTTGTAATACTCTTTATAATAAATGGGTAACATAAGTAAAGTGTTTCCTTGAGTTCTGTGAGCCACTCTACCAACTCAAAGAGGGGATTATGGGAATCCCCATTGATAGCCAGGTGATTAGAAGCACAGACCATGCTAGTATCTCAAGGGTGGGGGCAGTCTTGTGGGACTGAGCCCTCAACCTGTGAGATCTGACGCTATCTCCAGGTAGATAATCAGAATTTAGTTAAACTGTAGGACACCCACCTGGGTTCTACTGGACAATCTACTACAGAATTGCTTCGTTGTATGTGCGGAGAAATCCCCACACATTTTGATAAACAGAGGTGCTGTGTTGTATTAAATGTGAGAGTGGACAGTAGGAAAAACAGTTTGTTTGTTTGTTTGTTTGCTATCCTTTGAAGAGGGAGCTTTATAACAAACTCCAAAAACAAGCTTCAGATGGAGCCTCCAATTCACCCTCTATTTGCATATGAGGCACAGCTACACAATTTGAAAGCAGTCCTGTAGGTTGAGAGTTCACAACCCATACCACTTTGGAAAAACTGAGGTAACACTTAGATCAGATGGGGGACAACGTCAAGGCAAAACCATTAATACACTTCATAGGAGACCCCACCCCACTTTAGTCCTCCTGTGTATGGCTGATTTGGATAGAAGACCCTCCAGAAGAAGAAGGTCCTCTAGTCCTTTTTACCTTGTACCAGTGCTACTTGGGCTCATGAACCATCCCTTTGCTATAAACTTCTTGAGAGCATGATTCATATTTGCTCCATGTTTTATCTCTATAACTCCTAGGATACTGTAAATAAAATAGTCTTCCCTTCTCTGCAGTTTTGCTTTCCATGACTTTAGTATTACCTATGATCTGAAAATATTAAATGGAAAATCCCAGAAAATGACAATTCATAAGTTTTAAATCACGTGGCGTTCTGAGTAGAGGGATGGAATCTAGCCCTGTCTCCCTCCATCCCACCCAGGACATGAGTCCTCCCTTTGTCCAGTGTATCTACACTGTATATAGTACCTGACCATTAGTCCACTTAGTAGCCGTCTCAGTGATAAGATTAGCTATCTCAGTATCACAGTGCTTGTGTTTAGGTCATTCTTATTTTACTTATAATGGCCCCAAAGTGCAAGAGTAGTGATGCTGTCATATTGTTATAATTGTCCTATTTTATTATTGTTGTTGTTAATCTCTTACTGTGACTAATTTATAAATTTAACTTTATCATAGGCATGCATGTACAGGAAAATAAACATTGTATATATAAAAGTCTGTTCTATCCACAGTTTTAGGCATCCATTGGGAGCTTTGGGACTTATCCCTGGTGGATAAAGGGGAGACTACTGTATTTGAATAAATGAATAAATGATAAATAATGACAGATATTTGGAGTAGTAAGGTCATACCACCTGAAGTTTCAGTGACAGATGAATAGCACCTGTTCTATTACAGGGAAGCTCTTACTTTTCTAGCAGTAGTTCTTGGCCCATGTTGAGAGATTACTTAAACAACAAGGTAATACAACACACTCTTCCCCTGGTCAGTTTAGGACTCATCCCATGTCAGCTTTCACAAAAAAGAAAAAAAAACATAAAAATAACAATCTAAAGAATGCAATAATAAGATTGGCCAGGGTCCCTGAATCCCTAGAAATGTTCTCATAAAGTTGTTGTGGAAACCCAATGTTGTGTGTCTAAGTGGTCTCCTGGGTGAAAACACGGTTCCCTCCTAGATGTGACTTGGAATATGAATGAAATGTTAGCTTTGGTTCAGAGATGGGCATTAAGAAACAGCTAGTTTCGGCTGACTGATTGCTGGGTTCCAAGTACACTGAAATCTGGCTTCTGAATACCACCTACTCCAGTGAACTGCTTCAACTAAGGTCACTCACAACTTCCTTATAGGTAAAAATCAATAGCCCCCTTATAGTCCTTACTTCATGTAACTTCTCTGCATCTGTTGGCGCCTCCTATGTACCTTCTCTTTCAAAATCCCTTCTGTATCTTCTAGATGCCATGTTCTCGAGTATTTCTTATTACTCCTTAGTCTCTTTGTAGTTGCTTCTTGCCCTGCCCATCTCTAAACTGTTAGTGTCCCCTAGCAGTTATCCTTGGCCCTCTTCCAGTTTCATCTACTCCCCAGACAAGACAGACAATGAGTTCAAATCTCTATTTCCCACAGTACCGATCAGCCCTTCTCAGTTGCTTTTGCAAGGACATTAAGCTCTAGTGCCCTTAGGTATGACTTGTATATCATTAATGGACTTCTCTCCTATGTATTTAGAATGTGAGTAGTTATCAATCATTCTGGGAAATAATTGAGAAAAATAGTCATGCAAATAATTTTATGTAGGACTTAATTCCTTCCAAGAACCCTTCTTCAAGCTGATTGGCACTGGACCCATAAAGCCAACTGCCTAGCAGACATCTCCACTTGGTTGTTTCACAGATATCTCAAAACCCCCAATTCAACAATACATCTTATTACAGCCCTCATAATTCCTCTCCCCTGTGTTACCTATCTTGATAAAGACCATCACTATATTACTACTTCCTGATTTTTCCATTATTAGATGTAACCTATTGATTTTCTACTGTAGAAGATGAGGATAGGATGTTCTCTCTCACATACATCCCTGTTTCCAGCATACACTTTCCATCCCTCCACCCTACTTGTAATTTAGAATTTTGGTAGCATAAATATTACTTGCTTATATTATGATGACTATGTAAACATGTTTTGTAACTGAGCCATGTAATGTACTATAATGACTTTTCCTTTCTTGCAAAACTTTCTGGTTTCCTTGAAGTTAGTTGTCTTTTGTTTATTTGCTTAGATTTTTATGAATGCACCTTTAGTTTTTTCTGTATACTTACCAGTAATTCAGCTGATTGAAAGCTCTATGTCTAGGGGTAGACTCATGGTCTTCATTCACATTTCCACCAATTGTATAATCCCTCTTGGTATATTAGGTATCCTATCAATTTTCTATCAATTTCTGTTTCTTGAGGAAACCATCCTGAAGCCTTCTAACCAGCTCCATCCTGAGCTTCCAGCTGTCCAACTATATTACAAGACTGTTCATCTTGTTAAGTCTGCTCACCATCATTATGGGGATGCCACTCAACTCTCTCTGTTGTTTGATCCTTTGTTTCCTGGATTGCACAGTTTTCTCTTACATGGTATTACTCCCTCATTTTGGTGGATCACACCCTCCACTAGCTTCCTAATAAAAGATGTATGTTAGCAGATTTTTAAAATGTTTCATGTCTCAAAACGTCTTTAATTTACCCTAAGTAGGAATTTGGGTGGTATAGAGTTTTAAGTTGTATTGCTGTCCCTCCATATTTTGGAGGCATCATTCCATTACCTTCCAGTTTTCAATGCTGATAAGGAGAAGTCTGATGTAATTCTGAATCTTGATCCTTTGTATGACATCTTTTCCCCCATCTCAAAAATTGTAGATTTTCATTTTTTATTTGTGTTATTCTGAAATTGCACAGTGATGACCCTCTGTGTGATTTTATTTTCATTCATTGTACAGAACTCTGGTACTCATGTCTTTTGGTTCTAAGAAATTTTCTGATTTAATTATTGATACTTTCTTTCTCTTCAATGTACCTTTTCTCTCTGTCTGGAAATTTTTATTTGGATGACGGACAGTTTTTAAAATCTTTTCTCTCCTATTTCCTTTTGCTTTTATATTCTTCTTTCTGGGAGAGTTCATTAACCTTATATTCCAAAGCTTCTACTGAAATTTTTATTTCTACTTTTACATCTTTAATTTCCAAGAGCTCTCTTTTTGTTCTCTGGGTGTTATTTTTATAGCATCATATTCCTGTTTCTTTGAGGCAGTACCCTCTTTTGCCTTCCTATGGATATTAATTACAGTATATTATTTAGGTTTTTTCTTCCTTTGTTCTCTACCTTGTCTAAGCTGCTTATTTCTGTTTGTTTTTATCTCTGTCTTTTATATTTTAGCTTTTCTCAGCCAATCCTTGGTGCTCGAAGAAGTTGATTGGAAACTCTCAGTCTGTGGATGAACTTGTAATCTTCATTGTTGGTATCTCACTGGGCTCCCTGGTAAAGCCCTGATGTTGTAACTTTGGATCATTTTTCTTGGGTTAGTCATACTTCCAGAGAAGGCTTTTTTAATCTCCTTCTCTAGTATAAAGATGACTATTAAAATTCTAAGAGCCTGTTAGGAGATGAAGACTTAGGGTGTTTCAGTTTCAATGTGTAAACTTTTGCTAACTCACCACATTTTCCATATGATATTCCCATACCCAACTCTACATGGCATCTAATTTATTCCCTTAAGAGAATAATCCTCCAGTCTTCTGTCAGAGTTGAAGTGGGAAGTCATCTTATTACAAAGGAGAAATGATTTGGGAGTCCAAATCTTTCTTTATAAGAATTTGAGGCCAGGTGTTGTGGCTCATGCTTCTATTCCCTCCCTTTGATAGGATGAGACAAGAGAATCACTTGAGCCCAGGAGTTCATGACCAGCCTTGGAAACACAGTGAAACCTCATCTGTACAAAAAAATAAAAAATTACATGGTTGCTTCCAAGATGGCCATATAGGAACAGCTCCGGTCTACAGCTCCCAGTAAGATTGACACAGAAGATGGGTGATTTCTGCATTTCCAACTGGGTACCTGGTTCATCTCACTAGGACTGGTTGGACAGTGGGTACAGCCCACAGAGGGTGAGCCGAAGCAGGAAAGAGCATCGCCTCACCTGAGAAGCACCAGGGGTTGGGGGATTCCCCTTTCTTAGCCAAAGAAAGCCATGAGTGACTGTACCTGGAGGAATGGTACACTTCTGCCCAAATACTGCACTTTTCTCATGGTCATCGCAGCTGGTAGAACAGGATATTCCCTCCCATGCCTGGCTCAGTGGGTCCAATGCCCACAGAGCCTTGCTCACTGCTAACACAACAGTCTGAGATCGACCTGGGATGCTGGAGCTTGGCAGGGGGAGAGGCATCCGCCATTGCTGAGGCTTGAGTAGGTGGTTCTATGCTCACAGTGTAAACAAAGCGGCAGGGAAGCTCAAACTTGGCGGAGCCCACTGCAGCTCAGCAAGGCCTACTGCCTCTCTAGATTCCACTTCTGGGGGTGGCATATCTGAACAAAATGCAGCAACTTCTGCAGACTTAAACTTCCCTGCCTGACAGCTCTGAAGAGAGCAGTGGTTCTCCCAGCACGGTGCTCAAGCTCCAATAACAAACAGACTGCCTCCTCAAGTGGGTCCCTGAACCCCATGTAGCCTGACTGGGAGACACCTCCCAGTAGGAGCCAACAGACACCTCATACAGGCAGGTGTCCCTCTGGAATGAAGCTTCTAGAGAAAGGATCAGGCAGCAATATTTGCTATTCTGCAGCCTCCACTGGTGACACTCAGGCAAACAGGGTCTGGAATGGACCTCAAGAAAACTCCAACAGACCTGCAGCTATGAGGCCTGTCTGTTAGAAGGAAAACTAGCAAACAGAAAGGAAAAGCATCAACATCAACAACAAGGACATCCACACCAAACCCCATCCATACGTCACCAACATCAAAGACCAAAGGTAGATAAAAACCACAAAGATGGGGAGAAACCAGAGCAGGAAGGCTGAAAATTCCAAAAACCAGAACACCTCTTCTCCAAAGGAACACAACTCTTCACCAGCAAGGGAACAAAACTGGATGGAGAATGAGTTTGATGAGTTGACAGAAATAGGCTTCAGAAGGTCGGTAATAACAAACTTCTCCAAGCTAAAGGAGCATGTTCTAACCCATTGCAAGAAAGCTAAAAACCTTGTAAAAAGGTTAGACAAATGGCTAACTAGAATAACCAGTGTAAAGAAGAGCTTCAATGACCTGATGGAGCTGAAAACCACAGTACAAGAACTTTGTGAAGCAAACACATGCTTCAATAGCTGATTCGATCAAGCAGAAGAAAGGATATCAGTGATTGAAGATCATATTAATGAAATAAAGCAAGAAGACAAGATTAGAGAAAAAAGCGTGAAAAGAAATGTACAAAACCTCCAAGAAATATGGGACTAGGTGAAAAGACCAAATCTACATTTGATTGGTGTACCTGAAAGTGACAGAGAGAATGGAACCAAATTAGAAAACACTCTTCAGGATATTATCCAGGAGAACTTCCCCAACCTAGCAAGGCAAGCCAACATTCAAATTCAGGAAATACAGAGAACACCACAAAGGTACTCCTCAAGAAGAGCAACCCCAAGATACATAATTGTCAGATTCACCAAGGTTGAAATAAGGAATAAATGTTAAGGGCAGCCAGAGAGCAAGGTCGGGTTACCCACAAAGGGAAGCCCATCAGACTAACAGCTGATCTCTCTGCAGAAACCCTACAAGCCAGAAGAGAGTGGGGGCCAATATTCAACATTCTTAAAGAAATAATTTTCAACCCAGAATTTTATATCCAGCTAAACTAAGCTTCATAGGTGAAGGAGAATTAAAATCCTTTACAGACAAGCAAATGCTGAGAGATTTTGTCACCACCAGGCCTGCCTTACAAGAGCTTCTGAAGGAAGCACTAAACATGGAAAGGAACAACCAGTACCAGCCACTGTAAAAACATGCCAAATTTTAAAGACCATCAACGCTGTGAAGAAACTGCATCAATTAATGGGTGAAATAACCAGCTAGCATCATAATGACAGGATCAAATTCACACATGACAATATTAACCTTAAATGTAAATGGGCTAAATGCCCAATTAAAAGACACAGACTGGCAAATTGGATAAAGGGTCAAGACCCTTCATCAATCTTGAGATAATTTTTGTGTAAGGTGTAAGGAAGAGAACCAGTTTCAGCTTTCTACATATGGCTAGCCAGTTTTCCAAATACCATTTATTAAATAGGGAATCCTTTCCCCACTGTTTGTTTTTGTCAGGCATGTGTGCTGTACTCAGGAGTCCCATCTCACGTGCAAAGATACGCATAGACTCAAATTAAAGGTAGGGAGGAAGATCTACCAAGCAAATGGAAAGAAAAAAAAAAAGCAGGGGTTGCAATCCTAGTCTCTGATAAAACAGACTTTAAACCAACAAAGATCAAAAGAGACAAAGAAGGCCATTACATAATGGTAAAGGGATCAATTCAACAAGAAGAGTAAACTATCCTAAATATATATGCACTGAATACAGCAGCACCTAGATTCATAAAGAAAGTTCTTAGAGACCTACAAAGAGACTTAGACTCCCACACAATAATAATGGGAGACTTTAACACCCCACTGTCAATATTAGATAGATCAACGAGACAGAAAATTAACAAAGATATTCAGGACTTGAACTCAGCTCTGGACCAAGCGGACCTAATAGACATCTACAGAACTCTCCACCCCAAATCAACAGAATATACATTCTTCTCAGCACCACATCACACTTATTCTAAAAGTGACCACATAATTGGAAGTAAAACACTCCTCAGCAAATGGAAAAGAACAGAAATCACAACAAACTGTCTCTCGGACCACAGCGCAATCAAATCAGAACTCAGGTTTAAGAAACTCACTCAAAACCACACAGCTACATGGAAACCGGTCAACCTGCTCCTGAATGACTACTGGGTAAATAACGAAATGAAGGCGGAAATAAAGATATTCTTTGAAATCAATGAGAACAAAGACACAATGTACCAGAATCTCTGGGACACATTTAAAGCAGTGTGTAGAGGGAAATTTATACCACTAAATGCCCACAAGAGAAAGTGGGAAAGATATAAAATCGACACCCTAACATCACAATTAAAAGAACTAGAGAAGCAAGAGTAAACAAATTCAAAAGCTAGCAGAAGACAAGAAATAACTAAGATCAGAGCAGAACTGAAAGAGATAGAGACACAAAATACCCTTCAAAACATCAATGAATCCAGGAGCTGGTTTTTTGAAAAGATCAACAAAATAGATAGAACACTAGCCAGACTAACAAACAAGAAAAGAGAGAAGAATCAAATAGACACAATAAAAAAAATATAAGGGGGATATCACCATCAGTCCCACAGAAACACGAACTACCATCAGAGAATACTATAAACACCTCTACACAAATAAACTAGAAAATCTAGAAGAAATGGATAAATTCCTCGACACATACCCCCTCCTAAGACTAAACCAGGAAAAAGTTGAATCTCTGAATAGACCAATAACAGGTTCTGAAATTGTGGCACTAATTAATAGCCTACCAACCAAAAAAAGTCCAGGACCAGACAGATTCATAGCCAAATGCTACCAGACGTACAAAGAGGAACTGGTACCATTCCTTCTGAAACTATTCCAATCAATAGAAAAAGAAGGAATCTTCCCTAACTCATTTTATGAGGCCAGCATCACCCTGATACCCAAACTTGGCAGAGACACAACAAAAAAGAGGACTTTAGGCCAATATCCCTGATGAACATCGATGTGAAAATCCTCAATAAAATACTGGCAAACCGAATCCAGCAGCACATCAAAAAACTTATCCACCATGATCAAGTTGGCTTCATCCCTGGGATGCAAGGCTGGCTCAACATATGCAAATCAATAAATGTAATCCATCACATAAACAGAACCAAAAACAAAAACCACATGATTATTTCAATAGATGCAGAAAGGGCCTTTCACAAAATTCAACAGCTTTTCATGCTAAAAACACTCAATAAACTAGATATTGATGGAACATATCTCAAAATAATAAGAGCTATTTATGACAAACCCACAGCCAGTATCATACTGAATGGGCAAAAATTGGAAGTATTCCCTTTGAAAACCAGCAAAAGACAAGGATGCCCTCTCTCACCACTCCTATTCAATATAATATTGGAAGTTCTGGCCAGAGCAATCAGGCAAGAGAAGGAAATAAAGGGTATTCAATTAGGAAAAGAGAAAGTCAAATTGTCTCTGTTTGCAGATGACATGATTGTATATTTAGAAAACCCCACTGTCTCAGCCCAAAATCTCCTTAAGCTGATAAGCACCTTCAGCAAAGTCTCAGAATACAAAATCAATGTGCAAAAAACAGAAGCATTCCTATACCAATAACAGACAAACAGAGAGCCAAATCATGAGTGAACTCCCACTCACAATTGCTACAAGGAGAATAAAATACCTAGGAATCCAACTTACAAGGGATGTGAAGGACCCCTTCAAGGAGAACTACAAACCACTGCTAAAGGAAATAAGAGAGGACACAAACAAATGGAAAAACATTCCATGCACATGGATAGGAAAAATCAATACCGTGAAAATGGCCATACTTCCCAAGGTACTTTATAGATTCAATGCTATCCCCATCAAGCTACCATTGACTTTCTTCACAGAATTGGAAAAATCTAATTTAAATTTCATATGGAACCAAAAAAGAGCCCATATAGCCAAGACAATCCTAAGCAAAAAGAACAAAGCTGGAGGTATCACGCTACCTGACTTCAAACTATACTACAAGGCTACAGTAACCAAAACAGCATGGTACTGGTACCAAAACCGATATATAAACCAATGGAACAGAACAGAGACCTCAGAAATAACACCACACATCTACAACCATCTGATCTTTGACAAACCTGATGAAAGCAAGCAATGGGGAAAGGATTCCCTATTTAATAAATGGTGTTGGGAAAATGGGCTAGCCATGTGTAGAAAGCTGAAACTAGATCCCTTCCTTACACCTTACACAAAAATTAACTCAAGATGGATTAAAGACTTCAATGTAAGACGTAAAACCATAAAAACCCTAGAAGAAAACCTAGGCAATACCACTCAGGACATAGGCATGGGCAAAGACTTCATGACTAAAACACCAAAAGCAATGGCAATGAAAGCCAAAATTGACAAATGGGATCTAATTAAAGAGCTTCTGCAAAGCAAAAGAAACTAGCATCAGAGTGAACAGGCAACCTACAGAATGGGAGAAAATTTTTGCAATCTATCCATCTGACAAAGGGCTGATAACCAGAAACTACAAAGAACTTAAACAAATTTACAAGAAAAACAAACAACCTCAACAAAAAGTGGGCAAAGGATATGCACAGACACTTCTCAAAAGAAGACATTTATGCAGCCAACAGACATATGAAAAAATGCTCATCATCACTGGTCATCAGAGAAGTGCAAATCAAAACCACAATGAAATACCATCTAATGCCAGTTAAAAGCAATCATTAAAAAGTCAGGAAACAACAGATGCTGGAGAGGATGTGGAGAAATAGGAATGCTTTTATGCTGTTGGTAAGAGTGTAAATTAGTTCAACCATTGTGGAAGACAGTGTGGTTATTCCTCAGGGATCTAGAACTAGAAATACCATTTGACCCAGCAATCCCATTACTGGGTATATACCCAAAGGATTATAAATCATGCTACTATAAAGACACATTGCACCCATATGTTTATTGAGGCACTATTCACAATAGCAAAGACTTGGAACTAACCCAAATGTCCATCAATAATAGACTGGACAAAGAAAATGTGGCACATCTATACCATGGAATACTATGCAGCCATAAAAAAGAATGAGTTCATGTCCTTTGCAGGGACATGGATGAAACTGGAAACCATCATTCTCGCAAAATATCACAAGGACAGAAAACCAAACACCGCATGTTCTCACTCATAAGTGGGAGTTGAACAATGAAACCAAGTGGACACAGGGAGAGGAACATCACACACCAGGATCTGTTGCGGGGTGGAGGGTTGGGGGAGGAATAGCATTTGGAGAAATACCTAATGTAAATGACGAGGTGATGGGTGCACCAAACCAACATGGCCCATGTATACCTATGTAACAAACCTGCACGTTGTGCACATGTACCCTAGAACTTAAAGTATAATAATAAAAAAAATTAAAAATTAGCAGACTGTGGTGCATGTGCCTGTGGCCCCAGCTACTCGGGAGGCTAGATGGGAGGATCACTTGAGCTGAAAAGGTCAAGACTGAAGTGAGCCGTGACTGTGCCACTGTACTCCAGTCTGGGAAACAGAGCGACAGAGTGAGACTCAGTCTCTCGAAAACAAACAAACACAAAAAGGAATTTGAAATAATCCTCCTGGTTTTACATCTTCCTTTAGGTCTAGTTCCAGAGTGTCTATTATCTCTGTTTCTTAAGATTTTTGCAGGGCAATCCCTGGTTCAAACCAGCTTCCTGCTTAGTTTGTCCACTGCTTACTTAAGGTTCAAATTCCACTTTCTCCAGTATGCTAAATCAGTTGACAGTCTTCCACGTATGGCTTAGCTTCTAAAAATTTTGTTACTATTGTCTTTTTCCTGTTCTGTTTGTTCTCATATTTATATATATATTTTTAAAAACCCTATTATTGGCCTGGTGTGATGATTCATGCCTGTAATCCCAGCACTTTGGGAGGCCGAGGCAGGCAATTCACAAGGTCAGGAGTTTGAGACCAGCCTGGCCAACATGGTGAAACTCTGTCTCTACTAAAAATACAAAAATTAGCCAGGCATGGTGGCACACGCCTGTAATCCCAGCTACTTGGGAGGCTGAGGCAGGAGAATTGCTTGAACCCAGGAGGCGGAGGTTGCACTGAGCCGAGATCATGCCACTGCACTCCACCCTGGGTGACAGAGCAAGACTCCATCTCAAGAAAAAAAAAAAATCCTATGATCATCCCTTTAATAGAGTTTTGTCAGGGATGAAAGATAATGCATGTGTTCAAATTTTATTCAGTCTCTTGATGCCCTTCCAAACACATTCAACTTCCAGTTTTCAAAATGTGTTAGATTCTTTGCACTTGCACTCTCCCTCTCCCTCTATCCCCCACCCACCCCACACACACACATACACACACATTTGCCCTTCTAACCCTCTCCCCATTCCTATCTATGCCTGAGGAACTCCTGCTCATCTCTCACCAGGAGCTCTCACCTCCATTGGGACACTTCCAAGACCCCCTCCTGTGATCCTACAGCTCCTTGGATAACTCCCTATCACAGCATATATCTTCCTGGATAATAACTGCTTGTTTACTTTTTTGTATTACCCACTGGACTGTAAAGGCACACTTGCCGCTCGCTCTCTCACAAGGTCTTCCTCCTCCAGGGATGCTTCTGGCAAAGAAGTCTTTTCAGCAAGTCTTTTCACTAAGGAAACTAGAGACTGTATAAGATGCTCCTCTAAGAGAATGTTCCAGACCAAGAGAAGGTTTCAGTCCAAATCATTAAATAACTATTATTGTTATTTATATTATTGCTGTAAAAATCTCTTTCCCAAATTGGTCCTCATAGTTAGACCAGATATTAACTGCCCTGAAATTATGCTTAGTGCTTTGTTTAGTCAGAGCACTTTAGTATTCATTAATTAATGAAGGTAATTTACCATCATGAATTAGCTAATTAAATTTGAAACTAAACCTCCAGAGGAGAAATACCAATTTGGAACTACCACTCCAGGCAGATGTCCATAGGCCCAGCTCCTTATTTCTTGACCTTCCACTTAAAAAAAAAAAAAAAAAAAAAAGCAGTGAGCTCTGGGATGAAACTGGGCCAAGAAATGATCCCATGGGACCCTCTTCCTCATTATGCAGTCCAAACCCAGTGCCAATCCTCTCCAGAGCTTTCACAACAAACAGCAGTGAGAGTGTCCTCACAGGTGTTATACACATCCAACACTCTTATTTTCAGCCCAAAACAAGAGGCTATTTCTAATACAAACAACACACAAAATGTAGAGCTCCTCTGGCCCTTACTATTGTAACAAAAAGAGTAATGAAATGGCTATAGCTGTAAACAAACCAAGTCCTGCGGTGTTTAGGGGCTGCTTAAGAAGTAGTTGCAATGGACTGAATGCTCGTGTCTTCCCAAAATTCGTATGTTGAAATCCTAACTCCCAATGTGATGGTATTGAGTGATGGAGACTTTGAAAGGCAAATAGGTAAAACTTTCACAAATGGGATTACTGTCCTTATAAGAAGGACCCTGAATCACAAAGAGCTCTCTCACTCTCTTCCAATCCTAAGAGGATACAACAAGAAGGCAGTCTACAACCTAGAAAAGGGCCCTAACCAGAACCCAATCATGCAAACACTCAGATCTTGAGCTTCCCAGCTTCCAAAACTGTGAAAAATAAATTTCTGTTGTGTATGTGCCACGCAGTCTGTGCTACTTTGTTATAGCAGCCTGAAAAGACTGACAGTGGTCTTGTCCAGGGGAGCAGTGAGGACAAACAATGAAATGGAAGAAAGCCCTTTAAAAATCTCTACTTGGGGAACTGCTGCTTTCAGTAATACAGTGCAGTTGGGCTCCTAGATATATTTCTTTTCCACGCATCAAAGACATGACCTTTCACCTGAAATTTGTGAGCTCTCCACTTCTCAAAGCAAAGGAAAATGGAGGGAAGTTACCTGGTGTGTGTTGCAGCCCTGCATATGTAGTGAAATGCTGGAAATACTCTCATGGAACATTAGCCCCAAAAGCAATCTGATGAGCCCCCTTTTGCTTGTCAGGAGATGTTGCTCTCATATTCCATTGAATTCCCCTCATTCCAAACTATAGCCAGCCTGACTTTTTGTCATGTGCCCTTAGGAGAAAGGGGAGGTTCAAATGTCCCAGGATGCAGTGATTTTCCTGGAAACAGAGAAAGACTTGAAAGCATTCTCACTGCAGATTGCTTATGATGAAGTCTGATTATGGTGCTGTTATTCTTATATATCATGTAATAGTAATAAATAGAATAGTAATAATAATAATTTTCAGGTGTTTTTATATTTTATGTTAGAAATTCTACCTTATAAAGTATTTTTATAAGGAGTTAGGCTCTTGGAAAGAAAATAACTCATTCAAGGTTACAAAGCTAGTTGGTGATACAGTTGAGATTTCAACTCTGGTTGTTCGATGCCAGTTATGGCAGAGTGAATCTCCGTCACTCTGTATTTGTTGGGATGCTTTTGGCTGCTAAAAAAAGAAACCCCAGATAAAATCTGAGGGAAGAGCAGTCCTGCATTTGGTTGATTCGGTGCCTCAGTAACATCATCAAGAACCCAGGTCCTTTCCCTTTTTCTTCTCTACTATTCACATTGTATTAAATATATTCTCATGGTTCCAAGTTCCAGGCATCACCTGTAGTAGGCAAAGTCCAGAGGAAGAAAAGGGAATATCTCTGTAATGTGTGCCTTTTTGAAAGCATAAGCAACCTCCTTTCATGACTGATTGGCCACAGTTTCACCATATGCTCTCAGTTCAACAGTCATTTGGCAAGTGAAACTATATTAACTAGCTTAGATCAATTAAGATTCAGTGCCCTAAGGCTAAGAAGATCTCAGCCCCTGCTGAAGAAAGCAGATTCTCAGAGGAAGACAAATAAAATGTGTCAGCGAAGAAGAAAGAGTAAATGTTCTGGGATTGACAACCAACAACGACTGTCACTCCCACCAATATGGGAAACCATTTACTTGTTACAACATTTTGCTATCAAATAATGAAACAAAGCATCTTGTAAATGTATAATCATAATGAATACAAAAGGTTAGTGGAGTATTTGAGAAAAGTCAAAGTCCAATATATTTAAATACATGTGGTGCTAGGTACATAACACTGTAGAGGGAGCCCCACTGATGGGATGAAGAGACATGAGATCTCTTCCAACACTAGCTGGCTGAGTTCTACCTCCAACACTAACTAGCTGGATGGTCTCAACCTGCCTAATATTGATTTCTTCCTTTTTTACATTGAATCACAATGCTGCCTTTATAAACCCCATAGAATTTTTACTTAATATCCAATGATTACTAAATATTATTGCCATGAACCTGAAGTCAATGTTTCAATGAATAAATGCAATAGGGAAGATTTCTGGTTTTGAAGGCATTTAGAGTGTTTATCTTTCTGTGTCCTCCTCACGTTTTTCTTCCCCTCCCAGGTTCTCAGACAAGCCTGAGACCTGTGTTGTGGATCCTCTACTCCTGGTGCCTGGCCTTAAACCAAAGACTAGGATGTCTATAAGTCAACATCTGAATGGCTTTTCAGAACGCTCTATAATGGGTTTACAAATGAACTCCTTTTCTGTCTTTGCATTTTAGAGAAACTAAGTGACTAAGGAGGAATGTCAAGGATCATAGTGACAATATGTTCTTCAAACGAAGCTAGGAGACTGAGAGGGAACTGATGGAGGGCTGACAGGGCTCTGACTCCTTCTGTTCCTTTGTAGTATAAGGGATGCTTCATTAAGGACTTTCAGTCACACAGGATTCCTAAGTAATCCATTGATCTTCCCTCTCTCTGGTCACATTCTTTGGACTGAGATTCTTTCCCTGATTTTAACTTGGCTCTGCTTCTCTTACTCACTGAGTCACTGAGTCAAACTTAA
This sequence comes from Homo sapiens, assembly GCF_000001405.40. Classification (NCBI taxonomy): domain Eukaryota; kingdom Metazoa; phylum Chordata; class Mammalia; order Primates; family Hominidae; genus Homo; species Homo sapiens. The sequence continues at coordinate 175,251,634 of NC_000001.11, read as the reverse complement.
CTGCTAGGTCCATCCTATTGAGAGCCCGCATCTCTTGATTTTTTTCTTATTTAGTACAGTAGTTCTTCTCATTATTTTACCTTCGTTCTTATAATACAAAGTTTTTAGCTGATTGCTTGCGAAAGACTATGTTATAAAGCCATGTTTAATTGAACTGGAAGAGACATGGAGATCATCTAGATCCTTACTATTCAGAGTGTGGTCCACAGAACAGTAGCACTGGCCTCACCTCATTAGAATCTCAGACCAGTCCCAGACCCTACTGAGCCAAAATCCACATTTTTAACAAAAATCTTCAGATGACTCATATGCATATTAAAGTTTGGGAAGTGCTGAACTAGAATAGCCACCCCATTTCACAGAGAAGCTAAGTGACTTCTCCATGGTCCCAAAGCAAATAGGCTGTCCCCAAGTCTCCTGATTATTTAAACTGCATTCACTACCTCTTAAATACCATTGATTGATTTTTATACTTAGCTAGTTTATCCAACTTTATTTCCAAATAAGGTATTGGGCACTGACATAAGGTATGCTAGTATTTGGCATTCAAATTGACTTATCTGACCCACTGTCACCTATTATTCTAATAACATAGCTTGATAGTTGTCTGCAACCTTCTTCTCTTTCATTTCTTGATTTAATTATCTCACCAGGGCATGCTCCGGTCCAAACAATTGAGTAGAGCTTGTCTTTAATGTCTTTTTACTCACCTCTTTATTCCCACCTCTTTTTTGATTTCCTTACCTGATTATAAAGTGGCCCTCCATCTGCTAATATTTTATTTACAATCCCTATACCTCTATCTATAAAAGAAAATAATCTAAAGTTTTCTTTTTATTTTAGTTCTTGGTTAAAACCTGAGGTTAAAATTACGGTTGCTTCATAAAATGGATAGGGGAGTTCGATCATTGATTTTAAAACCTACAGACCTTCTCAGTGAGGGATTAATTTTGTGGGTCATAATCCGTGACTTATCTATATTGTTAACACTTTTACAAGATTATCACGGTTACAGAATCGCAACTTCCGAAAATCAAAGCAGAATGTTTTCTTAGACAAAATATGCTGCCATGTTTGCACCATTGAGATTTCTGGTACCTCTTAAGAAGATTTTGTCAAGAAAGGGTGCAGAAGGGGAAATATGCCCCTCAGATCTCCAACTCTACCTCTCCCTCACTGCCCCAGTCCTGAAGAATACAGCCCCACGTATCTGTAACTCTGTTCCTCTAACCACAGCCTGCATATACAATGCCTCCATTGGCATTCTTCTAATCCCTTTTATTTAACACCAAACAGCTAAGTACACCAGGATTAGGAGCCCTAGAACCCACTGCAATGCATTCTTGGGATTTTCCATCTCAATGCTCTAAAAGTAGGGAAAGAACATTTAGACAGCTCACAGACACACTCAGGACATCTGACAGGGCACATCTGGGAGCATCTTGGGGTGACTCTGAGGCCTTCCCTGATCTGGAAAGGTTTGGTCATGACTCATGTTTCTGCAGCAAATGACAAGAGGAAGAATAGAGTCTGCCACTTATTGGCAAGTATCCTTGCTGTTCTTGTCCTCACAAACTGTCTTTCCTAGTTTAGAATTGTTTCTTAACCTCAGGAACAGCCTGTGTGTGTAAGTACTTGCATAACAAAAAAAAAAAATCTGTAATTTTATCAATACCACCCCAGCCCCTCAGTTTGCTTTAAGAAGTCTTTGTAATTGGAAGAAGTTAAGGAATTTACAGGAAGTCTTAAGAATCTTAAAACTTATTGGCCAAAGATAAATGTTACCCTATTCTGATTAACAGGTCAAATAGGCAATGGCCTCTGTAATGTGGCCTGAAGACATGAATCAACAAAAGGCCTGCCTACCCCATATATTTCCATCTCTCTGGCCTGAAGTTCTGCCTCTGATTCACTGATGAAGGTCCCTTCTTTTCTCTCTGTGTTGCAGGGAGGAAAGGGACATGAGACAGTGCATTTAAATCCACGTATTCCACAGTGTGCCCAGGGCTAACCTTCTTCTACATTTTTCATATATGGCCAGCTGAGTACAGAGGCTTCCAGGTGGGTATTTGGGAAACAGCATTTCCCAGATGGATGGTGGAGGGAGAGTAGCATTCACGGAGAAAGGAGCATTTCTAAACTGGAAAAGACTTTTATGCAGTAGGCTATAAAATCCAGGAAGAGGAAAAGTTCTCAGGGACCACTGCTTTGTTTCTCAGCCTCCTCCAGCTCTAAGATTTTCCTTCTTTTGACAGGGGATCTCTTCATCCAGCAGTTCTGAGGTTATGAGAGTGGGAGAATAAGGAGGAGAAGGAAAAAAAAGAATTAGAAAACAACATCCTCTATGGTAGCTTGAAAATGGACCAAACAGTTTATTTATGCATATGTTCGTTTTATACAAATAATCCCAGAATCATAAGTTGTTTTTACTATTTCTTGCATGTGGACCCATAGAGAAATCTTTCTACATTCCAACACCAGAACAGTGACAAAACAATCTAAGAATTACAATAGGATGGGATATATGGGAACTATGACAAGGTAATCTCAGAGGTATCTGTAGGCACAGTTCTTAGTTCACTCTACAGGCTCTGAGTTGAAGGAACAGAGAGGCCCAATCTATAGTCAAATCCAGGAAACTGAACCCCCTAGAGGATATATTTATTCATCCATTTATTCATTCAACAAATATGGAATCCCTGCTCTGGGCTAATCACTGGCAACCCAGATAGTAATAAGACTCCTCTCAAATGACAGAGTCCTGTGATAGGATTGTAAAATGGCATCCAACTTAGAGAATGAGATAGGCAAAGTGGTGTGTGTGTGTGTGTGTGTGTGTGTGTGTGTGTGTGTTCATGTTTTGTGAAATAATACGTTATTCATGGCATATTAGTCAGGGTTCCCTAGAGGGACAGGACTAATAGGATATATATATATCAGATATATATATATACCAGATTAAGGATGGGTCTGCCTTCCCCACCCCACTGACTCAAATGTTAATCTCCTTTGGCAACACCCTCACAGAAACACCCAGGGTCAATACTTTGCATCCTTCAATCCAATCAAGTTGACACTCTGTATTAACCATCACAAGTTCACCCCTTGTCAACTTGAACCCATACACATCTCCTGAGATCATACATAATCTTCAAATAAAGACAATAAGAAGGTCATAATTATGCCTAACATAATAAAACTATCCTATGTACAACCTGAAATGCACCAATCCCCAACCCAAATACTATTACATAAAGTTAACAATACTTAAACGCTGATATTAAGTCAATAAATCTTATGTCACATGATAAAGGAAGAGGAAATAGAATGAAGATATTTTCTTAGTACAAGTGTATACATGCACTTTTGTTTTTAGCAAAAGAAGGAGGAAATACTCATGACAGTTACAGTCCTCGTGTCTGCAGCTCTTCACGTGGTCATAGCTGGTATTGATGACTACCTTCTTCTACTACCCATTCTGAATTCCCTTTGCCTTCAGCAAGCACCTCAGCAAGTCATGGTTTTTTCCTGGTGGAGTGACCCAAACCTTCATTCCTGAGGGGTCTAGACCATTTATAGTTCTGCCTGGATTGGGCTGTTGTAGTATCCCACTGACCTTAATCACAGGGCACGGTAATACTAAGAGATGTGCTAATGGATCTCCTGTATTCCATGCATACTCTTCCTTACCTCTGTTATGGAGTAGTAGACTGATTTCATCTTGATAGTCTGGGTCAATCACCCCAGCCAACACTGTAACTCCCTTCTTAGCTTGTTGACTTAAAAGTAGCAGGAGCCCAAAGTGTCCAGTTGGCAACCTTAACTTCCAGTTTAATGGAATCATTGTCATGTCTCCTGGTGGCAGGGTTCCTTCCTCTGGAACTAAGACCTCTAGGCCAGCAGAACGTAATGTCATGGGAACAGGAAGCAAAAATTTTGCTAATGGATCACTAGGGGTGACGGTGAGTGGTGCCACTTCCACCCCTTGATTCCTGGACCTGTGAATCCTGGCTATGGGAGAAAGAGTACCATATATTGGATGCTGATTCAGAGCATGCACAGCTTTCTGGAGAACTTTGTCCCAGGCTGGCAAAGTATTGTCACCTAGTTGGCATTGTAATTGTGACTTCAAAAAGCCATTCCACCATTCTATCAATCCAACTGCTTCAGGATGACAGGGAACATGGTTAAGACCCAGTGAATTCCATGAGCATGAGCCCACTGCCACACTGCTTTAGCCGTAAAGTGAGTGCCTTAGTCAGAGGCAATGTTGTGTGAAATACCATGACGGTGGATAAGGCATTTTGTGAGTTCACAGATGGTAGTCTTGGCAATAGCATTATGTGCAGGATAGGCAAACCCATATCCGGAGTAAGTGTCTATTCCAGTGAGAACAAAACTCTGCCCTTTCCATGATGGAAGATATCCAATATAATCAACTTGCCACCAGGTAGCTGGCTGACCACCCCAAGGAACGGTGCCATATGGAGGGCTCAGTGTTGGTCTCCGCTGCTGGCAAATTGGGCACTCAGCAGTGGCCATAGCCAGGTCAGCCTTGGTGAGTAGAAGTCCATGTTGCTAAGTCCATGTGTAACCTCCATTCCTGTCACCATGGCCACTTTGTTCACGGGCCCATTGGGCCATGACAGGGGCGGCTGGGGAAAGAGGCTGAGTGGTGACTGCAAAACAGGTCATCCTATCCACTTCATTATTAAAATCCTCCTCTGCTGAGGTCACCCATTGGTGAGCACTCACAGGGTATAAAAATATCTTCACAGTTTTTGACCACTCAGAGAGGTCCATCCATATACCTCTTCCCCACATTTCTTTGTCACCAATTTTCCAATCATGCTTCTTCCAAGTCCCTGAACATGCAGCCAAACCATTGGCTACAGCCCATGACTCAGTATATAATCACACATCTGGCCATTTCTCCTTCCATGCAAAGTGCACAACGAGGTGCACTGCTCGAAGTTCTGTCCACTGGGAAGATTTCCCTTCATTGCTGTCCTTCAGGGATGTCCTAGAAAGGGTTTGTAGTGCTGCAGCTGTCCACTTTCAGGTGGTGCCTGCATATCGTGCAGATCCATCTGTGAACCAGGTCCTAATCTTCTCTTCCTGTGTCAACTGATCCTAGGGAACTCCCCATGAGTGCAGGCTGGGAAAGAGAAGGCAGGGTGGCAGGAATGAAGACCATGGGCATTTGAGCCACTTCCTCATGTAACTGACTTGTGCCTTCAGGACCTGCTTGAACGCGATCACATATATACCACTTCCATTTGATGATGGAATGCTACTGTACATGACCCACTTTACGGCTAGACGGGTCAGAAAGCACCCAGTTCATGATAGGCTGTTCAGGTCACATGGTGACTTTCAGTTTCCACCAAAGCCCAGTAACAGGCCAAGAGCTGTCTCTCAAAAGGAGAGTAGTTATCTACAGATGACAGGGCCTTGCTCCAAAATCCTAGAGGCCTCCACCGTGAATCACCTATGGGAGTCTACCAAAGGCTCCAAACAGCATCCCTATCTGCCACTGATACCTCAAGAACCATTGGATCTGCTGGGTCATATCGCTCAAGTGGCACAGCAGCTTGCACAGCAGCCTGCGCCTGTTGCAGAGCCTTCTCTTGTTCTGGACCACACTCTAAACTGGCAGCCTTTCAGGTCACTCGACAAATGCGCCGGAGTAACACACCCAAATGAGGAATGCACTGCCTTCGAAATCCAAATAGGGATGCCTTTTTCTTGGTTGTAGGAGGGAACAAATGCAGTAACTTATCCTTCATCTTAGAAGGAATATCTTGACAGGCCCCACACCACTGGACCCGTAGAAATTTTACTGAGGTAGAAGCTTCCTGAATTTCAGTCAGATTTATTTCCCATCCTTTGGCACACAAACGTCTCACCAGTAAGTCCAGTGTGTATGCTAATTCTTGCTCACTGGATCCAATCAGCATAATGTCATCAATGTAATGGACCAGTGTGATATTTTGCAGAAGCAAAGAGATCAGGGTCTCTCGGAATAAGATTATAACACAAAGACAGAGAGTTGATATATCCCTGAGGTAGGCCTGTAAAGGTATATTGCTGGCCTTGCCAGCTGAAGGCAAATTGCTTCTGTGGGCCTTATAAACAGAAATGGAGAAAAAGGCATTTGCCAAGTCAATGGTTGCATAGCAAGTACCAGGAGACATGTTAATTTGCTCAGCAATGAAACCACATTTTGTACAGCAGCTGCAATTGGAGTTACCCCTTGTTAAGCTTATGATAATTCACTGTCATTCCCCAAGATCCATCTGTCTTCTGCACAGCCCAAGTGGAAGAGTTGAACTGGGGTGTGGTGGGAATCATTACCCCTGTCCTTGATGGTGGCACTAATCTCTGCAATCCCTCCAGGGATGCAATATTGTTTTTGATTTACTGTTTTTCTAGGTAGAGTAAGCTCTAATGGCTTCTGTTTGGCCTTTTCCACCATAATAGCACTCACCCTACCAGTCAGGGAGCCAATGTGAGGGTTCTGCCAGCTGCTAAGTATGTCTATGCCAATTATGCATTCTGGCACTGGGAAAAGGACCACAGGATGAGTCTGGGGACCCACTGTAAGTCAGATCTGAGCTAAAACTCCACTAATTACCTGACCTCTATAAGCCCCTACTTTAACTGGAGGACCACAATGACGTTTTGGGTCCCCTGGAATCAATGTCAGCTCAGAGAGCCAGTGTCCAGTAGTTCCTGAAATGTCTGATCATTTCCTTTTCCCCAATGCAGTTACCCGGGTACAAGGCTGGAGGTCTCCTCGGGGAAGGACGGGAGAAAGATTCACTGCATAAATTGTCAGTAATGTAGTGGGGTCCTTCCTCAAGGGGACCTGGTCTCCCCTTCATTCAAGGGGTTCTGGGTCTGTTAACTGACTCAAGTCTGGAAATTGATTGAGGGGCTGTGATTCTCTGTTTTTATAATTCAAATTAGTCTTTTGTCTATTTGACCTAGAATTTTTCTGTTTGTATAATTTAAGTAGGAATGCAGTATGTTTCCTATCAATTTCACTTCTAGGAACCCTGTGATTAATTAACCAATGCCAGAGCTCTACATGAGTCATACTATTCTGATTTCCACTTTGCCTCTGTTGTCCATTACATAGCTATGCCCACCTTACCTTTGACAGTTGAGTGCTGCCACTTGGCCCATGCCACCTCAGGATCCAATTATTCCCATTGTACGTACATTTTGTAGTTGAGTGACTGCTGTTCCCACCATTAGATCTGACATACAGAGAAGAGCAATTATAGGGCTCTTCAAAGATGCAGGTGCTGCCCTCAAAAATCCACTTCACAAGGCATTGGTCAAGAGTATATATTCTGGATCCTCCCAGCTGGAATGAGTAGTTTTAAAGTGACTAATCTACTCCACCATCCCAATCTCCCTAAGCCTTCAGATACCTTCCTCTACATTAAACTAAGGGAGATCAGGTATTTCCAGCTTGCTCACAGTGGGCCATTTTTTAATCCATATTTCAGCTAACCAACCAAATAAATTATTAGAACTTTTTTAATTCCCCTAACTGCAACATTAAATGCAGAGTTCCTACTTAGTGGGCCCAAATCAATAAATTCACCCTGATCCAACTATATGTTCTTTCCCCCATTATCCCATACCCTTAATATCCATTCCCATGCATGTTCTCCAGATTTCTGTTTATGTAAATTAGAGAACTCAAGCACTTCTTTTCCAGTGTAGTGCACTTCCTCATGAATCACACTATCAACCTCACCTCTAGATGCCCACCAGGACTTTAGTCTAGTTATAGGTCTAGAAGCAAACAGGGGTGTTGGGGGTGGCTCCTGAGGAGAATCAACATTATTTTGCCTGGCAACTGCCTCAGGTGAGGCTATCACTGTTGTCTCAAGCAGCACTGGGTTTATCTCCTCAGACAAAGGTAGAAAGGCTAATGGCAGCATGGATCAGGGAGAGGGTGTTGCCACTACTGAGGATGGGGAAGCTGTTCTTTGTGGCAAAAAAGTTTCATCAGAGTTTAAAAACTCAGTGTCCCCAGCTTCATCAGGGCCCTCCCACACATCCCCATTCTAAGTTGCAGGGTCCCATTTTTTTCCGATCAATGCCCTCACTTTAACAGTAGACATCTGGAGAGGCTGTGCATGCACCTTTCATTATAGATCAGCCACTCACATGATAAGAGCTTGTGTCTGCTTTTCAACAATTTCAGCTCTTTCTCTACAGGAGATAAGACTCTCACTCAGGGCAATCTTAGCAGATTTGAGGCTCAGTATCTGCTTCTGAAGCTTGGAGAAAGAATCCCTGAGTTCATCATTTTCTTTCATCACTTTGTCCACTGAACTTAGGAGCAACCAACCAGCTTCATTATGTTCCTTGATTCTCCACATATGGTCAAAGGTATTATGTATAGAATAGCTAAACTTCTTGCCTCTCATGAGCAGTGAATCAAGAGTGTCAAATGCATTTATTTTGCATATCTCTCACAGTTTATGCCAAGGACTATCAATGTTCTCCATACTATTAAAAGTAGAATCCTTAGCATTTTGGGGTCTAATCATATTAAGCAATCCGCTCCAGAAACTCCCAAATCAACAAAAGAACCCCATTGTTAATATTCTGTTCCTCTAGAACCACTCCTGGTACCAAAATCTATATTAGTCAGGGTTCCCTAGAGGGACAGAACTAATAGGAGATATATATATATGTGTGTGTGTGTGTATATATACATACATATATATGTATAAATATGTAGATATATATATATCTACCCTTTATATGTATATAGTTTATATATATCTACATATATGTAGGTATATATAAACTAACCTTTATATGTATGTGTGTGTATATATATCTCTCTACATATATATGTGTATATATATCTACATATATACACATACATATGTAGAGAGATATATATATACATATACCTATATATGTAGATATATATATATGCACACACATACATATAAAGCATAGTTTATTGTTTATTAAGTATTAACTTACACAATCACAAGATCCCACAATAGGATCTCTGCAAGCTTGAGGAGCAAAGAGAGCCAATCTGAGTCTCAAAACTAAAGAATTTGCAGTCAGATATTTGAGGGCAGGAAGCATCCAGCATGGGAGAAAGATGTAGGCTGGGGGGCTAGGCCAGTCTCTCCTCTTCACATTTTTTTGCCTGCTTTATATTCATTGGCAGCTGATTAGATTGTGCCCACCAGATTAAGGGTGGGTCTGCTTTCCCCAGCCCACTGGCTCAACTGTTAATCTCCTTTGGCAACACCCTCACAGACACACCCAGGGTCAATACTTTGCATCCTTCAATCCAATCAAGTTGACACTCAGTATTAACCATCACACATAGGGAGCAAAAGAAACTTCTGGTTGCTAAAGAATAAGTTGTGAGGCAAGATGCCAGGAAATAAACCTGGGAAAGCAAGCAGAGGTTGCTCATAAAAAAATTTGTATGCCATATTAATGCAAGTTCACTTCACTTCACTCTATATATAATAACTGAGAAGCCATGGACAGAATTCAATCAAGGGTATATCATAGTCAAACTTGATTGTGAAGATGTAACTTTCTGCTGGCTGTATGGAGAATGAGTTGGAGAAGGTAAAGAGCATCATTGTGGTTAGGAGGGAGGTGATGGGAGCCTGAACCGGAGGAGTGGCTGTGGGAATGAAGTGGCAGGAACAAAACTGAGAGCTCCATGGGGGGCAAAACTACCTTTGGTAGTACATTGAATGAGGAGAGGGGAATAAAAGGAAATGTTCAGGGTAGCCCTCAAGTGTCTTACACAGATTAGTAGATGGTGGGGCCACAAACATAGCTGGAGAATACAGGGTGGTGGAAGTTTTGAGGGGAAGATGATGAGTTCAGCCTAGCCACATTAGGTTGAAGGGGCTGAGTGGCAGTCCGGTGCAGATTTTTAGCAAATCGTTTAACAGAAGGATCCGAACATCAGGCAAAAGATTTGAGATTTGGAAGTCATCAGCAGCAAGGTGGGGACAATTTAAACCATAAAAGTGGATGCACTGATCCAGAAGGAATAAGTGGAATGAGAAGAAAGAATGGCATAACCATGAGGAATACCAAAATATAAGAGGCAAGAGGAGAGAGACATGTCTATATACAAGAGACCTAAAGAAGTGTTATAGAGCTAGGACAGTGGCTCCATGGAAGCCAAAATAGTAAAGAAATTCAACAGCTTGCATCAAAGGCAGCAGAGGTACAGCAAAACATAAAATCTTAAATCATGGTGGTTAAGAAATCATTAATAACTTTTTTTTGGGGGGGGAAGGAAGATCATCTTTATTTTATTTTTTTTAGAATGCTGGGGAGGTTTTTTGTTTGTTTGTTTGTTTCCATAAGTTATTGGGATACAGGTGGTATCTGGTTACATGAGTAAGTTCTTTAGTGGTGACTTGTGAGATCCTGGTGCACCCATCACCCAAGCAGTATACGCTGCACCATATTTGCTGTCTTTTATCCCTCGGCCCCCTTTCCACTCTTTCTCTCAAGTCCCCACAGTCTACTGTCTTGCTCTGTTGCCCAGGCTGGAGTGCAGTGGCGTGATCTCGGCTCACTGCACCCTCTGTCTCCTGGGTTCAAGCGATTCTTCTGCCTCAGCCTCCTAAGTAGCTGGGACCACAGGCATGTACCACCACCTCTTGGCTAATTTTTTGTGTTTTTAGTAGAGACGCGGTTTCTCCATGTTAGCCAGGATGGTCTCGATCTCCTGACCTTGTGATCTGCCCACCTTGGCCTCCCAAAGTGCTAGGATTATGGGCATGAACCACCGCGCCTGGCCTACTGTATCATTCTTATGCCTTTGCGTCCTCATAGCTTAGCTCCCACATGTCAGAGAGAAAATACAATGTTTGGTTTTCCATTCCTGAGTTACTTCACTTAGAAGAATAGTCTCTAATCGCATCCAGGTCATTGAAAATACTGTTAATTCATTCCTTTTTATGACTGAGTAGTATTTCATTGTATATACCATATATATGAGATATATGGTATATATATATATACATATATGAGATATATATGGTGTATATATATATACCATATATATGAGATATATATGGTATATATATATACACCATATATATGAGATATATATGGTATATATATATACCATATATATCTCATATATATATACCATATATATGAGATATATATGGTGTATATATATATACACACACACACCAGAGTTTCTCATATATATATATATATATATATACACGTTTTCCATCATATATACATATATATGATATAAATGGGGCATGTGTGTGTGTGTGTGTGTGTGTGTGTATACTATATACATATAGAGTATATATATACACCACAGTTTCTCTGCTTGTTGATTGATGGGCATTTGGGTTGGTTCCACTATTTTGCTATTGGGAATTGTGCTGCTATAAACATGCATGTGCCAGTATCTTTTTTGAATAATGACTTCTTTTCCTCTGGTTAGATACCCAGTACTGAGATTGCTGGATTAGATGGTAGTTCTACTTTTAGTTCTTTAAGAAATCTCCACACTGTTTTCCACAGTGGCTATACCAGTTTATATTCCCACCAGCAGTGTAGAAGTGTTCCCTGATCACTGCATCCACGCCAGCATCTACTGTTTTTTGATTGTTTTATTATGGCCATTCTTACAGGAGTAAGGTGGTATCACATTGTGGTTTTGATTTGCGTTTTCCTGATCATTAGTGATTTTTGAGCATTTTTCCATGTTTGTTGGCCATTTGTATATCTTCTTTTGAGAATTGTCTATTCATGTCTTTAGCCCATTTTTGATTGGATTAATTGGTTTTTTTCTTACTTATTTGAGTTTGTTGTAGATTCTGGATATTAGTCCTTTGTCAGATGTATAGATTATGAAGATTTTCTCCCACTCTGTGGATTGTCTGTTTACTCTGCTAACTGTTCCTTTTGCCATGCAAAAGCTCTTCAGTTTAATTAGGTCCCAGCTATTTATCTTTGTTTTTATTGCAATTACTTTTGGGTTTTTGGTCATGAAATCCTTGCCTAAGGCCATGTCTAGAAGGGTTTTTCTAATGTTATCTTCTAGAATTTTTATAGTTTCAGATCTTAGGTTTAAGTCCTTTATCCACCTTGAGTTGATTTTTGTATTAGGTGAGAGATGAGGATTCAGTTTCATTCTCCTACACGTGGCTTTCCAATTATCCTAGCACCATTTGTTGAAAAGGGTGTGCTTTCCCCACTTTATATTTTTGTTTGCTTTGTTGAAGATTGGTTGTCTGTAAATATTTGGGTTTATTTCTGGTTTCTCTATTCTGTTCCATTGGTCTAGGTGCCTATTTTTATACCAGTACCACACTGTTTTGGTGACTATGGCCTTATAGTATAGTTTGAAATCAGGTAGTGTGATGCCTCCAGATTTATTCTTTTTGCTTAGTTTTGCTTTGGCTATGCAGGCTCTTTTTTGGTTCCATATGATTTTTAGAATTGTTTTTTCCAACTCTGTGAAGAATGATGGTGGATTTTGATGGGGATTGTGTGAATTTGTAGATTGCTTTTGGCAGTATGATCATTTTCACAATATTGATTCTACCCATCCATGAGCATGGGATGTGTTTCCATTTGTTTGTGTCATCTATGATTTCTTTCAGCAGTGTGTTGTAGTTTTCTTTGTAGAGGTCTTTCAGCTTCTTTGTTAGGTATATTCCTAAGTATTTTATTTATTTATTTATTTTTGTGGCTATTGTAAAAGGGATTGAGTTCTTGATTTGATTCTCTGCTTGGTCACTGTTGGTGTATAGAAGAAGTACTGATTTGTGTACATTAATCTTGTATCCAGAAACTTTGCTGAATTCTTTTATCAGTTCTAGGAGGTTTCTGGGGGATTCCTTAGGGTTTTCAAGGTAAATGATCATATCGTCAGCAAACAGGGACAGTTTGACTTCCTCTACCAATTTGAATGCCCTTTATTTCTTTCTCTTGTCTGATTGCTCTGGCTAAGACTTCCAGTACTATGTTGAAAAGGAGTGGTGAGAGTGGGCATCCTTATCTTGTTCCCGTTCTCAGGGAATGCTTTCAACTTTTCCCCATTCAATATTATGTTGGCTGTGGGTTTGTCATAGAAGGCTTTTATTAAATTAAGGCATGACCCTTCTATGCCAGTTTTGCTGAGGATTTTAATCATAAAACATTGCTGGATTTTGTTGAATACTTTTGCTGCATCTATTGAGATGGTCATGTAATTTTTGTTTTTAATTCTATTTATGTGGTGAATCACATTTATTAACTTGCATATGTTGAACCATCCCTGCATCCCTGGTATGAAACCCACTTGATCATGGTGGATTATCTTTTTGACATATTGTTGGATTTGGTTAGCTAGTATTTTGTTAAGGATTTTAGCATCTATGTTCATCAAGGTTATCAGTCTGTAGTTTTCTTTTCTGGTTGTGTCCTTTCCTGGTTTTGGTATTAGGGTGATATTGGCTTCATAGAATGAATTAGGGAAGGTTCCTTCTTTCTCTATCTTGTGTAATAATGTCAAAAGGATTGGTACCAATTCTTCTTTGAATGTCTTGTAGAATTCTGCCGTGAATTCATCTGGTCCTGGACTTTTTTGTTGTTGGTAATTTTTTAATTTAATTTTTAAATTTTTTTAATAAAAAATTAATTTAATTTTTAGTTTCAATCTCATTGCTTGTTATTGGTTTATTCAGGGTATCTAATTCTTCCTGATTTAAGCTAGGAGGGTTGTATTTTTCCAGGAATTTATCCATCTCTTCTAGGTTTTCTAGTTTATGTGCATAAAGGTGTTCATAGTAGCCTTGGACGATCTTTTGTATTTCAGTGATGTCCATTGTAATATCTCCTGTTTCATTCCTCAATGGGGTTATTTGGATTTTCTCTCTTCTTTTCTTGGTTAATCTTGCTAATGGTCTTTCAATTTTATTTATCTTTTCAAAGAACCAGGTTTTTGTTTCATTTCTCTTTTGTACTGTTTTTTGTTTGCTTGTTTCAATTTCATTTAGTTCTGCTCTGATCTTAGTTATTTCTTCTTTTGCTGGGTTTCAGTTTCTTGTTTCTCTAGTTACTTGAGGTGCTTAGATTGTCTGTTTGTGCTCTTTCAGACTTTTTGATATAGGTATTTAGGGCTATGAACTTTCCTCTTAGCAGCACCTTAGTTAACCCAGAGGTTTTGATAGGTTTTGTCATTATTGTCATTTAGTTTGAAGAATTTTTAAATTTCATCTTAATTTCGTTATTGGCCCAATGCTCATTCAAGAGCAGGTTATTTAATTTCCATGTATTTGCAAGGTTTTGGTGTTCCTTTTGGAGTTGATTTCCAGTTTTATTCCACTGTGGTCTGAGAGAGTGCTTGATATAATTTCAATTTTCTGAACTGTATTGAGACTCATTTTACGGCCTATCATGTGGTCTATCTTGGAGAAAGTTTCATGCACTGTTAAATAGAATATATATTCAGCAGTTGTCGGATGAAATGTTCTGTATATATCTGTTAAGTCCATTTGTTCCAAGGTATAGTTTAAATCCATTGTTTCTTTTTTGACTTTCTGTCTTCATGACCTGTCTAGTGCTGTCAGTAGAGTAATGAAGTCCCCCACTATTATTGTGTTGCTGTCTATCTCATTTCTTAGATCTATTAGCAATTGTTTAATAAATTTGGGAGCTCCAGTGTTAGGTGCATATATGTTTAGGATTGTGATATTTTCCTGTTGTACAAGGCCTTTTACCATTATATAATGTCCTTCTTTGTCTCTTTTAACCACTGTTGCATTAAAGTTTGTTTTGTCTGATATAAGAATAGATACCCCTGCTTGCTTTTGATGTGCATTTGCATGAAATGCCTCTTTCCACCCCTATACTTTAAGTTTATGTGAGTCCTTATGTGTTAGGTGAGTCTCCTGAAGGCAGCAGATAAGTTGGTTGGTGAGTTCTCATCAATTCTGCAGTTTTGTATATTTTAAATGGAATATTTAGGCCATTTACGTTCAATGCTAGTATTGAAATGTGAGGTACTTTTGCATTCATCATGCTCTTTGTTGCCTGCATCCTTCGAGTTATTTGTTTTTTGTTTTTGATTTTTAACCTGTATTTTTGTTTTATAGGTCCTGTATGCTTTAAAGAGATTCTGTTTTGATGTGTTTCCAGGATTTGTTTCAAGATTTAGAGCTCCTCTTATTGGTTCCTGTAGTGATGGCTTGGTAATGGCGAATTCTCTCACCATTTGTTTGTCTGAAAATGATTGTATCTTCCTTCATGTATGATGCTTAGTTTCACTTGATACAAAATTCTTGGCTGATGATTGTTTTGCTTTGTTTTGCTTGAGGAGGTTGAAGATAGGGCCCCAATCCCTTCTAACTTGTAGGGCTTCTTCTGAGAAGTCTGCTGTTAATATGATAGGTTTTCCTTTGTAGGTTACCTGGTGCTTCTGTCTCACAACTCAAGATTCTTTCCTTCACCTTAACTTTGGATAACCTGAAAACAATGTGCCTAGGCAAAGATCTTTTTGCAAGGAATCTCCCAGGTATTCTTTGTGCTTCTTGTATTTGCATGTCTAGGACTCCAGCAAGGCTGGGAAAGTTTTCCTCGATTATTCCCCCAAATATGTTTTCCAAGCTTTTAGAATTGTCTTCTTCCTCAGGAACACTGATTATTCTTAGGTTTGGTAGTTTAACATAATCCCAGAATTCTTGGAGGCTTTGTTCCTATTTTCTTAATCTTTTTTCTTTGTTTCTGTTGGATTTGGTTAGTTCAAAGACCTTGTCTTGGAGCTCTGAATTTCTTTCTTCTACTTGTTCAATTCTATTGCTGAGACTTTCCAGAGCATTTCACATTTCTAAAAGTGTGTTCAAAGTTTCCTGAATTTTTTTATTGTTTTTTCTTTAAGCTATCTATTCCCTTGAATATTTCTCCCTTCAATTCTTGTATCATTTTTTGGGTTTCCTTGCTTTGGGCTTCACCTTTCTCTGGTCTCTCCCTGATTAGCTTAATAACTAAACTCCTGAATTCTTTTTCAGGTAAATCAGGTATTTCTTCTTGGTTTGGATTCATTGCTGGTGAAGTAGTGTGATTTGAGGGGCATGTTGATGAGCCTTGTTTTGTCATATTACCAGGATTGGTTTTCTGGTTCCTTCCCATTTGGGTAGACTGTGTCAGAAGGAAGGTCTAGGGCTGAAGGCTGTTGTTCAGATTTTTTTGTCCCACGAGGTGCTCTCTTGAAGTAGTACTCTCCCCCTTTTCCTGCAGTTGTGGCTTCCTGTGAGCCAAACTGCAGTGATTGTTGCCTCTCTTCTGGGTCTAGCCACCCGGCAAGTCTACCCAGCTCCAGGCTGGTACTGGGGATTTCTGCACAGAGCCCTGTGATGTGAACCATCTATGGGTCTCTCAGCTGTGGATACCAGTGCCTGTTCCAGTGGAGGTGGCAGAGGGTGTTAGTGGACTCTGTGAAGGTTCTTAGCTTTGGTGGTTTAATGCTCTATTTTTGTGCTGGTTGGCCTTCTGTCAGGAGGTGGCATTTTGCAGAGGGCATCAGCTGTAGTAGTGTGGAGAGGGACTGGCAGTAGGCGGGGCCCAAGAACTCCCAAGATTATAGGTCCTTTGTCTTCCTCTACCAGGATAGGTAGGGAAGGACCATCAGGTGCGTGCAGGGGTAGGTGTGTCTGATCTCAGACTCTTCTAGGACAGGCCTTGCTGCAGCTACTGTGGGGGATGGAATGAGATTCCCAGGTCACTAGAGTTTTGTACCTAGGAGGATTATTGCTGCCTCTGCTGAGTCATGCAGGTTTTCATGGAAGTGGGGGAAGGCCAGCAGTCACAGGCCTCACCCAGCTCCCACACAAACCAAAGGGCTGGTCTCACTCCCAACATGCCCCCCACCACAGCCTCGAATCTGTTTCCAGGCAGAGGGCACACTTGAAAACTTGCCCCAGACTTTCTGCCTCCCATTTGTGAAAGAAAAGGGCTTTAGTTCTTCCTCAGTCTGTGAAGTCTGCAAGCAGGATTTGCACCCTCCCCCAAGTTCTGGCCAGATTGTTACAAAGTTCAGCTAGGGAAGTCCTTCTCCTTGTGAGGTTTTACCCCCTGCCCTTCTGGCCTCCCTCCTGATGGATCCCTGTAGTGTCAGGCAGGAATGGGCTGCTTGGGGATTCAGTGAGCTCTCAGGGCCTCCCTGCTGCCTCCTCCACCCCTGTATTTTGCTAGGCTCAGCTCTCTAACTTGACTCAGTTCCAAGTAAAGTCAGGGACATCTCCTGCAAACAGACCTTCAAATTCTCCAGTGGGTGTGTGTGTGTTTGGGAGAGGAGGGTCTCCCTTTCCCACTTCTGCAGTTGGGGCACTCACAGTATTTGGGGTCTCTCCCAAGTCCTGCAGTAGCAGTCCGCTTCCTTCAGAGGGTCTGTGGGTCCTCTCAGGATTGCTGGTTTGTTCTTGCAGTCGATCTGGAGCTAAAATGTACAATGCAAGCCTCCGCATGCTGCTGTCTCCGGAGCTGCAATCTAGTCCTACCTCCCGTCTGCCATGATCTTCTCAAGTCCTCATTAATAACTATAACTTGACCATTTTGATGGAATGATGGAACCAGAAGCCAAATTCAGTGAATTGAGAAGAAATGGGAAGTGAAGAAGTAGAGATGAGAATTACAATGGACTCCAAAAAATTTGTATGACAAGGGGAGAAGAGAGGTTTGTTGAGAACTAGAAGATGTGATTCAAGGGAAGCTTTTAACATTGGAGAACATAAGTAAGTCAACAGACTTAGAGAAGGAAAGGTAGAAGATACAGGATGGAAGGGGGATGAATGATGTAAAAAGTCCTTTTAAAAAACAATAAGCAACAGGATTAAGAGCACAGGTGAAGAGATTGACCTTTAAAAGAGGAGAGTGACTTTAGGGACTGGAAAAAAGGGGCAGTGTAATATTTAGAATGATTTTGCTTGCAAGCAATAGAAAATCCAACCAACCACATAAAGTTTAAAGAATAAGACAACTTTATTATTTTATTTATCAAAAAGTCAAAGAGTGGGAGGGTTACAGGTAGGGTTGGCTAATTTGATGGCTTAACAATATCATCAAGGACTCAGTTTCTTTCCTTGTTTCTATCCAGCACTCTCAACACATCAGCTACTCCCGTCATGGTAAACAGACCACTGCAGTAGCTCCAGTCTACATTCAGAACAAAACAGGGATAAAGAGCTCTTTTTTGGGCTCCATTTTTTGAGAGAGAAAAACACTCCCAGCATCCCTCAACAGACTTCCATTCAATGGCCAGAATTTTTTCACATGTCTAAACCAAGTGCTGGCAAGGGAAATGAAGTAATCATAGTTTTGGGCTAGGCTAATTATGATCAATCCACTGGGGCTAGGCAAGAGACTGGTCTCCCTGAAGAACATGAGTACCAGATACCTAAACCAAATCAAGGTTCTGTTATCAAGGAAAAAGGGTGGGCATAACTATGGGTAAATATCTATCACAGTTGAGGTAAATGTGGAAAAGTTTATATTCAGGGGTAGAAATTATGCTTAATTTCATTGATTTTTCTTGATTTTCTGCTGAGAGTGAAGAAATAGGGGTTGAGTATGAGGATTGAAAAAATGAAGATATGAAAGTCATTGAAGGAAATGAGAGAAAGTGTTAATTAAAGATGAAAGATTGAGAGGCAGGGCTAAGGGACAAGCTAAAATGGGAGACCATGAAATTTTTAGCACATCAACGCCAACCCGTACGACTACACAATTATTTTTCCAGTATATTCCTCTCTCTCTTCACAGGTACAGAACAAAGGAGACAGGGAGTAATAGTACTATTGATTCTAGTTTGGAATTTTACTAGGTGGTATAACAGAAGCAAAAGGATGAAAAAGAATCAAAGATGCTTGCAGAAGAGTGATTCAGATATCTGTATAACCCATGGGATCTAGGTTGCATACAGAAAAAAAGTAGTCAGAAAGGTGTTAATAAAATGTGAGGAAAATGGAGTGATCAAGGGACAGGAAGTGCATATGAGGTCAAAGTGTAATGGAAGAATATTTTAAGGACTGGACATTGGGATCAGACGGCAGGATCCTGGAGTACTGCCCAAGCAGACGTTGGTTGATGAGGAAAGAAATATAATACACTTGAGTCAACAATGTCTAGCAGTTTGGAGACTGGGTTGTTGGATTGTCTGACAAATGTTAAAATATCCTGGGACTGTGTCCAAAATAAATGGGGACAATGACTGACAGACATCCCAAAATCATCAATTAAGGAAGGGAACTGTGATAGTTAATACTGAGTGTGAACTTGATTGGACTGAAGGATACAAAGTATTGATCCTGGGTGTGTCTGTGAGGGTGTTGCCAAAAGATATTAACATTCATGTCAGTGGGCTACGGAAGGCAGACCCACCCTTAATCTGGTGGGCCCAATCTAATCAGCTGCCAGCAAATATAAAGTAGACAGAAAAACGTGAAAAGGAGAGACAGGCCTAGCCTCCCAGCCTACATCTTTCTCTGTGCTGGATGCTTCCTGCCCTCGAACATTGGACTCCAGGTTCTTCAGTTTTGGGACTTGGACTGGCTCTCCTTGCTCCTCAGCTTACAGACGGCCTATTGTGGGTCCTTGTTCCTCAGCTTGCAGACAGCCTATTGTGGGACCTTGTGATCGTGTAAGTTAATACTTAATAAACTCCCATATATGTATATAGATGTACATGTACATGTGTATGTATATGTGTGTATGTGTATATATATACACATATATGTATATATACATATGTGTGTATATACACACATGTATATATACATATATGTGTATATATACACATATGTATATATACACATACATGTATATATACATGTGTGTGTATATATACACATACATGTATATATACATGTGTGTATATATACACATACATGTGTATATACATGTGTGTATATACACATACATGTGTATATATACATGTGTGTATATACACATACATGTATATATACATGTGTGTATATACACATACATATATACGTGTGTATATATACACATACATATATATACATGTGTGTATATATACATGTGTGTATATATACATACATGTATATATGTGTATATACATACATATATGTGTATATATACATACATATATGTATATACATACATACATATATGTATACATACATATATGTGTATATACATACATATATGTGTATATATACACGCATATATGTGTATGTACATACATATATGTGTGTATACATACATACATATATGTGTATACATACATACATGTGTGTATACATATATGTGTATACATACATACATGTGTGTATACATACATATATGTGTATACATACATATGTGTGTATACATACATATGTGTGTATACATACATATGTGTGTATACATACATATATGTGTATATATACACAAACACACACACATATACATACACATGTATATGTGTGTGTGTATATATATGTGTGTGAATATGTGTGTTTATATAGGGAAGTTCATTATATATACTCTATTATACATATATGTGTGTGTGTATATATATATAAAGGGGAGTTTATTAAGTATATATATATATATATATATATATATATATATATATATATATGTCCTATTAGTTCTGTCCCTCTAAAAAAACCCTGACTAATACAGGAACTAACCAGGACATAGGCTGATGTCAGTGACCAGGAGGAAAGAACACGATATGAGTGAGTGATAAGACTTAGAAGAAAAAAAAGCTTCCATCAGAAGATTAATGAGTGCTGATCTGGAGGTGGAGGTGTGAGTTAGGAAAACAGCAACTTTTTCAGGGGTGGAGGATGCATGGAATGTACAATGAGTAGCCTCTATTGGTGGAGGCTGCAGAGGAAGTCGGGTCTTCAAGAAGATCTAGGTCTCAATTAAGAAAAAGGGGTTGTGAAACCCTGTCTCTACTAAAAATACAAAAATTAGCCAGGCTTGATGGTGCGTGCCTGTAATCCCAGCTACTCCAGAGGCTGAGGCAGGAGAATCGTTTGAACCCAGGGGACGGAGGTTGCAGTGAGCCGAGATTGCGCCACCTCACTCCACCCTGGCTAAAGATGAAACTCCATCTCAAAAATTAAAAAAAAGAAAAAAGGGTTGAAGAGTCTCACTTTTGGGGGACATAGAGGAGAGTATTTTAACAATGGAAGGAGGGCTAAAGGTCACCAACACCACTGAAGAATTCTCAGGTCCTTGGTAGGGGTAAATGACAGTCTGACTCAAACTCAGTATATTTTTCAATAAAAATAAGAATCCTCCATCTACCGAAGGAGGATTTCAATGTGACCATGACCTCTACACCCTATAAAACATTAACAGTATCAATACTAATGCAAGGAAAGCTTTTTATGCCAGGATAAATAAAAATAAATGTGTGAGTTTACGTAGGAGACAATGTGGCTCTCAGCAGGAATTTGTAAGTTTCATCTAAACTTGCTCCGGCTCACTCACACTCTTTGTCTCCTTTCATTTGCGTTTCTGGTTGCTTTTCTCATTATCAAAACTATTTACTTGACAGATGATAGAACCCCAGCTGAAGGTGGAGTACAATTAGCATATAAACAAGATTTTTAAAGTGCTGGAACAGAGATGGACTTTAGGGCCTTATGCTCTCTGGAGACTTGACCCCAAAATAATCAAGAGAGATTGTGCTTGGGCGATCCCCAGCCAGTTCTAAAAATGCCCCTGCCTTGCCTTAGGTGATGTAGGGTGCATCATCATATAACTTGGCTGCAAGTTGCCACTAGGTCTTTCATTTGGCTTTAATACTCTAAATAAAGACTTAGTACCAAGTACATAGTCCTTGAAATAAATGTGGTAGAGTGGAAAAAATGAAGATATTAAGACTCAGATAAGCCTGGTTCTGAATGCCAATTGCCATGCCAAACTTTACTTCCCTTGGCAAGTTATTTCAACTCTGAATAATAATAGCAGAAGTCACCATGTAAGATAAGTCAGTAATGGGCCAAGTATTTTATGTGCAAAATCAGAATATCCGCTACTCTACTAATATCCTGGGGTCAGCCTCCCCTAAAAAAATAGCCTGAGCCCCTAGGTAACATGCTATGTCAGAGAAGTCTAATATTTTCTCCAGTGTTTCTAATATGGGTTCAAATGTTCTTCAAATTCCTATTGTCAGCTCACCTCTTACCTCCTCTCTCCCTCTTCCTCCTGAGATGTTGTCCTCTCTCCTCTCCTCTTTCATTGAAGGTTAGATATGGCTCCTTCTCCTTAGGCCTCCACATAATACCAACACAAAGTTTTCCTGATAGTTTGGTGATAATGGAAGCAATTACAGAAAAGGAAACAGGCTGGAGTTTAATATCACAGTCTCACCAACCCCCCCTCTTCTAGAGCCTAGGCCTAAGGCTGCCATGTACCTGGGATCTCAACCTCCCACTGCGAGCTTTCTCTCATTCTCTCTTTTCTCTCGGCTCCAGGGCTAGAAAATAGAAATTTTCTGTTACTTTGTTAAGCAGGGCACTTTTAGATCCCCTTAGTCTTACTTCATGCCCCTGGGCTTTGCCTTCAATAACCACGAACGACCCTTTAATGTGAGTTTTCTAGGCTGAATGATATGAAGCTTTGAAATAGCAATTTTCTTGCACTTCTGGTCAGAAACCCCTCTCTTATCAATAGTTCTTGTAAGTGGAAAGGAAGTGAATAGAAAAGTAATTCTCACCCTGTCCCTACCATAGGCGTCATGAAGTTCTAGGATTCCATTCTCCTCTTATACAGATATCACTTTAAACCTATGAGGAAGTTTAAGCCTAGAGAATTGAAATAATTTTTCCAGTGTCATAAAGCTAGTAGGTAATATTTTAGAACTCAGTGCGTGGACTGCTGCTCCCTCTTGGAAGTCAGTTGCTATGTAAAAAGTCCAACCACCTTGAGACCACCATGATGTAACAAAGCCCAGTTAGCCATATGGAGAAAAAAAGGCCTTGTAGAGAGCATCAAGGAACCAGACATATGAATGAAGCCTTCTTGGATCTCCCAGCCCATGTTAGGCACCAGCTGAATGCAGATGAATGAATGACAACAGCCAGTGTCACATGAAACAGAACTATCTGGCCAAACCCTATCCAAATTGCTAACTATTCCTGTTTATAAACCCAAAAGATTAAAGAAACAATAGATTAAAGACTATTTGATTTGATAAACAATCTCATTCCTTCATTTATTCATGTACAACACATTCATTAAGCATCTACTATGTGCAGGGCACTGCTCTAGGACCATTGGACTCCACCACGGAAAGGGTAAACATGGCCTTTTCTCAAGGAACTTCAATTCTAATGCTAGGAAGACAGACAACACATAAAGAAACAAATCAATAAAGTATAAAATGTGGGGGGATAGGCCGGGCACAGTGGCTAACACCTGTAATCCCAGCACTTGGGGAGGCCAAGTGGGCGGATCATGAGGTCAGGAGATCGAGACCATCCTGGCTAACATGGTGAAACCCCATCTCTACTAAAAATACAAAAAAAATTAGCTAGGCATGGTTGCAGGCGCCTGTAGTCCCAGCTACTCGGGAGGCTGAGGCAGGAGAATGGCGTGAACCCAGGAGGCAGAGCTTGCAGTGAGCCAAGATCACGCCACTGCACTCCAGCCTGGGCGACTGAGCAAGACTCTGTCTCAAAAAAAAAAAAAATGTGGGGGGTAATGGTAAAAATTATGAAGAAAAATAGTGTGATCCAGGGATACAGGTGGGAGCAGGGAAGGACGTTGGTCAGGAAGCAGTGTCTATTTTTAAAGTCCTCTCTGAAAAAGTGACTTTTGAGCAGCTTTGAATGAATCAAGAAGGTGAACTATGTGAAGGAATGAAGGAAGCACATTCTATGAAAAAGGAAAAACAAATAAAAGCCCTAGGGAAGAAACAGGCTTGGTTACTCAAGGAAGAGCAAGAAGGGCAGTGTGGCTGGAGTGACAAGAGAAAGGGGTAAGATTGGAGAGACTCACAGGGGTCACACACTGGAGGGTCCACATGCCTCAGTGGGGAGTGTGGATTTTATTCTAGTGTGCTCTCGGAAGGCACTGGAGGTCCTTGAGCCATCTATCCTGGCTGCTGTGTGAAGCACAGACAACAGAGGGGAAAGCATGTAAGCAGAAAAACTGGTAGGTTATTGTAATTGTCCAGATGAGTGATGATAGTGGCATGAACCTGGGCGGTAAGAAGTGATAAGACGTGGGATTTAGTCTGAACAGAGTACCTCAATTTCACATAAAATTATTATTCAGAGTGAATCCTCAGCTCTGAGGTTTGGAAGCATTTCCATTTTTTTAAACTGATGATTGAAAGAGCTGAGCTGAGTATTTCATCAATGCCCTGGGAGGCAATGTTTGGCATTCCAAGCCTGCCCATTGAGTGCAGAGAGGCCCAAATCACCAGGACAGCACTCAGGTGGGCAGAGCAGTAGATTTTATTGGATCCAAAGGGAAAGCCCTATGTAAGCATGCATCAAAGCGGCCCCTGCTTCTCTTCCTAGGTGAGAGATCAGCTAACTTTTCAGTCAGTCATACAACTATCTATTGTGGCTATCCTCTCTGACACCTTAGAGGAGATCTTAGTTGTTTGGCACATTCCTTGGAGAACAATGGAATTAAATCTTTTGTAGCCTAACAAATATTCCTCAACATGCAGAGCTGATTTCTGGGGAAAAGAAGGACCAATTGGCATATGGCATTCGGAATCTTTTGGAAAGGAAGTAACCTAGACTCCTACACCTTTCTATCCAAGATTTAAAATTACAGAAGCAGGAGTGGCCTGACCATGTTTTGTTGGCAGGAGAGGATCCTAAAGGCCCCAAAGACAAGAGGAGTGAAGGGATGCCATGCTGGGGACTCAGACTTATCACTGGGGCCTGAGGCTTATGGGTATGAATCAACTCTGGGAGAGTGTGTGGCTGAGGCAGAAAGAGGCTCATAGTGCAGCCATCAGAACTCATGGTAGTCCTTTGGGAGCAATGTTTGAGAGTGACAGTGTGAACTTAGGGAGCTGTACCCTTGCAGCCTAAGTGTGGGTTCAACAGTACTGACAATAGCCTAGAACTTTGAAGATGCCATGGGATTGGCAAATAGTTTTCAACAGGGATACCATGTGGCAGCAGGAAAAATAAGCTGCATTGGATCAGACCCTGCTTTGTCACCTACTGTGTTTGAGCCAAAAGTCTGGCTCACTTTGGATTGAGTGACCCCCTGGTGTTCAGAACAATGGAAGAGAAAAGGGCTTCTCATGAGATCCTGGACTTCCTACAAATAAGGATAAAAGTGCACCCTGGTGATTAACTGAAAAAATGAAAAGCACCATCTACTTGGAAGTGGCCATATATGCAGTATGGTATATGGTACGCCATATATATGACAAATAATATATATACCTGATATGTATGGAAAAGACATGCTGCTTTACAATCATGAAAATTTGGCTAAAGCTGTCTTTTCTGGGAGGACAATGGGTGTTTTTATTTATCTTTTTAATTGTATGGACTTTCAAATACTCTAAAAATTTTCTACATGCATTACTTTTTCTAAAAAAAGTAAATCAAATATAAAAGAAGAGAATGTTTAGCCCTCATCCTGCCAGACAGATGCCCCTGCAGGTGACCCCGGGAACTTATCACCAATGATAACTTCCACATCCTTTTGTGGCTCCTGTGATGTCCATAGGTGGTGATTCCTAGGCCAGTGAGTGGCCAGGACCTGTGCTCCCCTCAAGCAGGAATCCTGGCCCACCTGTCTTCCCCAGCCCAGAATAGGATGAATAGGAGGACCTTCCTGGCCTCCTGTTACTGATCAGGCTCCCTCCCTCTACCATTCTGGGGATGCTAATGAGGTGACCGCTCATGGGTGTCAAGAAGGGATTTCCCACACAGGCTCCTCTGTACCACACGTGTGCTTTGCAGATTTTCACTTCAGGTGCCAGGTGGCACGCCCACACAGAGACAAACAGACCCTCTCCCATGTGATTTGCATGCCCCGGCCTATCCTCCTGGGGTCACTTCATCGTTACTAACATTTATATATGGCACTCACCTGGCCAGAGCTCTGTGCTGAAGGCTGAGGGGCACGCAAAGATGAAAGCTCTGACTGTCTTTAACGAACCTTCAATCTAGATGGGACCTGGGGGACATAGAAGAAAGAGTCGCTTCAAAGTAGAACATGCTGAGTGTTAAAATAGGGATAATCTCCTGATTGACTTCCTCCCATGCCAACCAAAATTACTCCTATCTGTTATCAGGTTCTGCCTTCCAAACCTCTCCAATGAGTGCCCTTGTATCCATTCCCACTGCCTCTGCAATGGTTCAGTCCTCATCCAGCTGTTACCAAGGCTCTTATACTGGCCTCTGACCACCATTCTTCCTTCATGCATTTGCATTGCCGGAAGGCAATCCTTCATTGCTGTGTTAGTCAGCATTCTTCAGGGAAACCGAACCAATGGGCTATATAGGGTGAGTGTGTGTGTGTGTGTGTGTGTGTGTGTGTGTGTGTGTGTCCTGTCCTAAAAACAGTGAATAGCCCCCCATTACCTTCAGAAGGAAGTCTTAACTCCTTAGCACAACACTCAACGCCTTTCCCAATGTAACTGTAACCTATCTTTTCCACCTGAGCTCTGTCTTTAAATTTTTTCTTCTCACACTCCAGCCCCAAGAAGAAGGCCCCTATAGCCATCCACCTCCCCACTTTATTCCCCACAAATACAGCACTTTGGGAAACCAAGGCAGGTGGATCACCTGAGGTCAGGAGTTTGAGACCAGCCTGGCCAACATGGCAAAATCTCATCTCTCCTAAAATACAAAAATTAGCCAGGTGTGGTGGTGGGCTCCTGTAATCCTAGTTACTCGGGAGGCTGAGGCATGAGAATTGCTTGAACCCAGGAGGCGGAGGTTGCAGTGAGCCGAGATCGCGCCACTGCACTCCAGTCTTGGTGACAGAGCGAGACTCTGTCTTGAAAACAAACAACAACAACAACAACAAAAATACTCTAATAAGACCAGATTTATCAACATTCCTCAAATTCGACACAGCCTGGAATATCCTTTTCTTTAACTTCTGCTTTTCTTTTTTCTTTTTCTGTTTTCTTTTTTGCGATGGAGTCTCATTCTGTTGCCCAGGCTGGAGTGCAGTGGTGTGATCTCAGCTCGCTATAACCTCTGCCTCCTGAGTTCAAGCAATTCTCCTTCCTTAGCCTTCCGAGTAGCTGGAATTACAGGCACACGCCACCACACTCAGCTGATTTTTGAATATTTAGTAGAGACGGGGTTTCACCATGTTTACAGGCTGGTCTCGAACTCCTGACCTCAAGCGATCTGCCCTCCTCAGCCTCCCAAAGTGCTAGGATTACAGGCTGAGCCACCATACTCGGCCTAAATTCTGCTTTTCAAAATTCTGTTCACTCTTCAGGCTACAATTTAAATGTTTTCTTTTCCACAGAGCCTTTTTCAGACTCCAGCTGGGAATTAATCCCACCTCAGACCACAACACTTGGCTTATATCTTCTTAAACGCACTCATTATGTTATGCTTTGCCATCATCAACTTAACCTTGAGTTCCCAGAAAACAAATACCATATATCATTCCCCTTTGTGTCCTCTACAACACAGGGCACATAGCAGACACTTCTCCTCCTCATTGAATCAAGTAGCAAGTTATTCTTATCTTGTTTTCAATACAAAAAAATATTTAAGAAGCCCCATGACTCAGGGCATGGTCCACAGATGCCAGATGACTGAGAGGTACCAATTGATCCAAGGATGGATATCAATCTTCATAATTTAATTTTGTTCAGTGAATTTGCTTATATTGGTGTCTCTTTCCCTCCCCAATACTCCCCCTCTCTCTGTACACACACACACACACACACACACACTCACACACACATCTCCTATATATCCCATTGGTTCTGTTTCCCTGGAGAATCCTAATATGGCTGTGAACACTTAATGGGCCAAAAAACTAAGCCACTCCTGCCAGTATAGAGGGTCTGGCCCCAACAGAAGTTGCATGTCAATACAATACAGTTGTTCATATAGGAACATGTTTTCCCTAGCTCTGACGTTTCTCCCACGTGGAGGGACGTCCATTCATTGACATTCCTGGCCCTTCCCACCCTTCACCTGTTGATGAGTTGGAGGGAAGCACCAGAAAGAGTCATCCAGCCCCTTCCTCTATTTCTTCTTATTCCCTTCTGCCTTCTTATGTTCAAAGTCTTACCTGGAAAAATGTCCCCTGCTGGGACAGGGTAGGCAGGTCTGCCCAATCCTGTGCTTAAATAGCAGGGTCATTTTTTTCTCACTGTAAGTTGCTTCTTCCCACTTAGGCTCTAGCATTAATAAAGATAATATTTTTTCTCCCTCTTTAGTGTTGTGTCTCCTGTTCAGAACCCCAGGCAGGGAGGAGGCCCCCAGGCAATGCATGTGTCTTGACTTCACAGCTGCTAAAGTGTGCCTACTTAATGAATAGCCCAAGGTGGGCCCTTGGACAATGCCCAAGAACCGTGGAGTGATGGAGCTGAAGTGGTCTCAAAGGTGTCGAGTCCAGCCCCGCTTGGTACTGAGGAAGATTATTACACTTGCTTCTACTACATGGGAGGTCATGAGGAGCAAATAAGAACATATATGTGAAAATTTCTGTAAAGCCCATTCTGGTATAAAATGCAAGGCGGAATTACTATTGTGGCTGCCGTAATCCTGTTGATGTGAGATCCCAGATACCCACCCCACCAAGCTCCACCCGAGTTGTTCCAGGAGTCCTCAGAACTGACCTGCATGTGCCCTCCACCATTTAGATCAGTGATGATTTGGCTCCCACAAAGACTTCCCATAATAGCCTCATCACCCACCAGATACTAGCTATCTATGGCACCATATGGAGGAGAATGCCTCCCTCCACATGTGCAGTTAGGAAGTGTTTCAGGACTACCAAAGCAGAGATGCTCCTGCCCCACGTCTTGGGAGTTTACACTCGCAGCTAGTTCTCTCTCTCGCTAGGGCATGGAGCCAGGACTGGGACAGGCGTGCCTGACAGACACTGGGCTCACACCGTCACTCCTCCCCTCAGAAGTCTAAGGCCCTGTTATGTGGCTGAGATCGTGGTGCTTGGTTTCTGCCCCCATAGGATGAGGAGTCTTCCAGTAGATTCCTGAGTCCCTGCCTGTCTCACTGGACCAATTCGCCAGAGATGCCCAGACATGTCTGAATTCCAGTGGTGGCTACAGCACACCCTGCATTATAAATGGTGATTGACATGAGCAGGCCTCAAGTCCCCCTAAGGCCATTACATTCATGCCCTCAATAAAGACAGTTTTCCCAATCTTATACTCGGTTCCTGGCCAAACCACTTTCAAACCTGACTTTGTGGCTTCCCTCCCTCTCCTTCCTTCTCCTCTCTTCCATCACCTCCCTCTCCTTCCTTCCCTCCTTCACTTATCCAGGACAAGGAGGTGGGGTTAGAGGGGTGAGATGTGGAGAAAGGCAAAAGCATGACTCAACCTGAGGATATTTTTCCTCCACTGCTCAAGCAGATAAGTATTTTATAGTTTGCCAGTCCTCAGAGAAAGTTGGGAGCTTTTTGGTTTTATCCCATACTTGTGTGCACTCACCTCCTTTGGGGAAAAGGAAAACATTCTAGCAGCACAAAGCAGTCCCGCCCCCACGGAAAGTCCTGCAGACTTAATTCACAAGCCCTTGGAATTCCTGTAGGTGGGGCCAGGAGACTGGTGAGTCTGCAAAAGGAACGGTGCACCTTGCTGCTGCCCGCTTAAGCTCTCTGCCGGAGAGCAACTCTGCTTCCGAGATGGCAGCAGCAATCCCATCTCTAGCTTCCAGCTCCCATTTGGTGGAAAACTCTCTGCACAAAAATCTCACCCTGAGCCAGCTGGTTTCCTTCTTTCCAGGTCGTTCTCTAGAGAGAGGGGTGAGGGAAGAGGACCGAGGAGGAGACGGGTATTTAGAACATGAAAAGGGTCAAGAAGGGTTTTGTTTTCTTCCCAGAAGGACTGAGCTCGCAGAGCCTAGGAATTCCTCTTTACAAGCTGGGAGGATTGAGGCCACAGCCGACCAAGGGATGCTATGCATTTGGCACTGATCATCCCTCATCTGGACCATAAGAGGCCTGTGATGCCTCAACCTCACCCCTGTTGCCGGAACATATGTGGCAAATGCTGTGACTGCAAATTCCTAAGGAACAGGGCGTTGGAGCAAGTGAGGCCTTACTCTGGGTGGGAGTTCAAACCAGGAGACACATCCGGGAGGACACGGTCCAAGGGTGATCTGGAAGGTGCCCAAGGGAGTTCAAGAGGACCCTGGGACTAGGAGCCTGTGTTGGGGCACAGTTTGATGTTATACTTTCTCCCTTCCCAGCTGTCTTCCCCACTTTGACAGAAACAAAATATGAAGCACTGTGAATGAGTATTAGTCCACAAACTTGGTTGTACAAGAAATGTCCTACAGCTTTATTTACTTTCATTTTAATGTGCCTCTGAGTCCCATTCCCTCCAGTCTGGTGGGAAATCCAGTCCGGTCATTACTGCAGCCCCCACCTACCCACTAGGGTTATGCAAGGGGCCCGGGGATGCTTAGGCTACCCAAAATATTTGGCAGGTCCCCGCCTGCCTTATAACTGGTGACTGCATTGTGCCCGCCTCGTGATCCCTTGGAATTTGACCTCCCCACCACTTTCATGTAAACCTAGAGAGGGACTGTGAGCCCCAATCCTCCTGGGGCCTACGGTCCTGCCCCCTTCTGAAATCTCACCACCTCCCCAAAGACATTGTCAGGGAGAAGAGCAGGGGTCCCCACTCTTTGTGGGACCCTCTGATCATTGAGAAAAGGAGTCTTCCCCTGTCTCCTCTCTTACCTCTTTCCCCTAAAAATTCCCAACCTCTCTCTCTCCTCCCTCCAAAATACTTAGCATAGTATCTGCAATGAATTTAGGGCAATGACTCCAAACCAGAAGCTGGCAGGACAAATAATCCTGCAGATGTGATTTATTTGACTAACACAGTATTTGAACAATTTTAAATAAATTGCCACATCAGGAGAGAATACCTAACATATGAATTTCTGGCTTTTCTTGAAAAATAAGAAAATATGAAAAACTAGGTACTTTTGATGAGGTCTGAGTTTTCCGTTCATTCAGCAAATATTTATTGAGCACCTATTTTATGTGCCATGTGACAATCTTCTAGGCCCTGGAGCTATCACAGTGAACAAGACAGATGAGATTCTAGTTTTCACGGAGTTTACATTCCATTTTATGTTGGAGCGACAGAAGCAGGGGTGTGTGTGTGTGTGTGTGTGTGTGTGTGTGTGTGTGTGTGTAGCATCTTGAAGGATAATTAGAACTAGATGGATGAGCAAAATTTAGATCACATTTGGGAGACTAGAATTGAATCTCTAAATGAAAGACAAAATCCTTCTTCCAAAAACTTCCTTTGCTGAGTTATCACAAAGCCATGATAATTAAGTTCCTAAAAACATTTCCCAGAGTGACATTGTGTCCCCTCTTCTACTTGGTTGCATTGCTTTTCCTGCAGGCTCCACAGGAAGGAAGTTCCTCATGCAGCCAAGCTTGCTTAGAGAACCTGAAAGATCTTCCCTGATACAGTTGCTAAGGGTGAGATTCAAGAAAAGGGCAGGAGAGCTGAACTCAAGTAAAGCCCTGAAAAGGCCTGACCTAGAAAGGGGAGGGGCAGGATGACTTCCCGAAACCCCCACTATAGTCTATTAATTCATTCAACAGACGCTCTTCTAGGTGCAGGGGATGCATCAGCAATGCCTGCTTTCATGAAGCTCATATTCTAGCAGGTGATGACAGAAAATAAATAATAAAGCATAATAAATCAACTGGATGGTATGGTAGAAGGAGATAAATGCTTTAGAAAGAAAATATAGAACAAAATAAGAGAGATCAGCAGTATTGGCAAGAGAACCAGTCACACTTTTAATAGGGAGATCAGACAGTTGAGTAAACACCGAAAGAGCTGAGGGAGATGAACAACCTAGACAGAGGTAACAGTCAGTGCAAAGACCCTGAAGTGGGAGTGTGCCTGGGTGTTCTAAGAACAGCAAAGAGGCCAGTGTGTCTGGGGCTGTCAGAGGGAACACAGGATAAAGTAGGGGGAGTTGGAGTGGATAAGTAACAGGATCCAAGTCAGATAGGGTCTTGTAAGCCTTTGTCCAAATTTGTAATCCACCACCTGGAATAGGAATTGCCATAAGTTCCACTTTCATTTCTGCATCCCCAACCCCTGGCATATTACCTGTCCCCAGTAAATACTTGTCAAGTGGATCATTGCAGGTGAAATGCACTTATGATGTCCTAGTGTATGCATCAGTGCTGAGTCATCACTGCCAACCAACAAGGGATGCCCTTTCCCCTCCCCAACACTTCCATGTCCCCCTCCAGCCCTGCAAGCATCCCTGATGCAATATAAGACTTAGTATTGTCACAGCTCGTGTCCCCACCCACTCTGAAGGGGAACACCCCAGGTCTCCAGAAACCATTTTATATTAGACTCTTGTAGAAAAGGGCTGAGAATGCAGGTCATGTGACCAAAGAAACAGGCCAGCGTTCTTAATTATCGTAAGTTAACTTATCTTCAGGCCCTGCACTTGCACCTTTTATGGCTCTGCATCAGCGTCCCCCTTCCTCCCTCCCTCTTCCAGAGAACGTTCAAAGAGCACTAAAGGTTTCCCCAGGAAGGAATTCCTGTGCAGAGTCAGAGCATGTATAAGGCACACTAATAAGCAAGGGAGATGAGGTGTACTTATTCTATTTTCACTTGAGACAGCACAAGTCAGCATACCAAATTTGTCCTAGGGCCTAGCCCTGTCAGTCAACAATTGAAAGAAGAAAGGAATTATCATGGCCCACCCCACTTCTACTTTACCTCACAACCTGACAAGACCTTGCTTCTTGCCCCACAAAAGTCAGGGCTCTACATTTCTGGGAGAGACCAGGGGTCAGATCAGGTCAGCATATTCTTACAGGACATTTCCTTCCAGAAAAAAACTAAAGTGGCACCTCTGGGCGCCAGGGCTGTCACACCTGGAAATTAGATATGATAAAACTAGGCACCTTTTAATAAAGTTTTGAAATGCTTTTAAAATTTTCAGGTCCCACCAACGTTTTTATTTGACTCTAAGAGCAGCATTAATCTCTTCTCTCCCTACACGTTCTAAAAGCGCTCTTGCATTCTCTCTCAGTCACTGCTTCCTGGGGCAGGTGCCACCTCACAAGACTAAGAAGGCAGGCCCCTGCCAGGGCTGCTGCCTGTGCAGACAAAGGAGAACAACGGGAATGAGTATAAAGGTGCTCTAGAACGGTAAAAGCTTTAGACAAATGTTACTCAGAGGTCAGTGCAGGTCTCTAGGCTCTTTAAAATACACATCTGTTTGGCTCAAACCCCCATATTATGTCCGAGGGAAAAATCTAATGCCTCCCTTGAGATTTCTGCAAATTGCAAGGGAGCTTATACTATCCTCTCACCTCTGGCCCCAATTTTCTGCCCTTGCAGAATTCTTATTCTCTGTTCTCCATAATTCTGCACCTTCTTCACCCAACCTTATCCTCTCACCTAAAAGCAATCATTTTTACAAGCGTTGCACGTTAGCAGAATTTTTATTGATGGTTTGTAGGTCATGAGGGTTGGGTTACATTTTCTCACCACACAGCAAACAACCTAACATCTGATACTAGATGTCCCATTTCTTGAACATTCTCCGGGGATTTCTCACTGGCCGTGCCTTAATGTGCAACACCACAGCTCCTCTCTCCCTCTCTCCCCTGAGAATTCTTGCTACTTCTGACTGAGAGCATGGTAGCTCTCTCCCCTGCTTTGCATGTTTGAAGCCCATCTAGGTGTGCAATGGAACCAAAATCCTTTGGCTCCTTTAGAAGCATCAGCTTGCAAAGACAGCTGCTTTCAATGTTGATCCTTTTTCTTCATTTTGCCAATATAATGACGACTTTAATTCTAATTCATTAGAAAACAGAGGAGTCTTTCATTTCATTTATAAGCCCACTCTCTGATTTGTAGCATTCTCTGCCCTACTATCCATTAGGCACTGAGCCTCTAATTACATTCATGGCTAATAAAATGAACTTTCTACCTCAATTTACCTGCCAAACAGCATCAGCAAGCTGCATCTTGTAAGTAATCCAAGACATTACTATGTTATAACTGCTGCAAATGCTTCTGCCACCAAGTGGTCTTAACCTGGGGTCATGGAAACCCTAAGGAAGATAGGCACAACTTCAGGATGTCTGTGACTCTCCTAAAACTGTAGGCATTTAAATGCATTTTTTTAAGGACAGGGCTTGTAATTTTAATAAGATATTTACAAGTATCTCCAACCTAATAAGATATTTATAGGCATCTCCAACCCCCTCTCCACCCTAAAAAGGCTTTATCCACTATCGATAGCCAGTGAGCAGGACCATGTCGAGCTCTGCATGAACATTACAGCCTAAGGTGGTAACGTAGCCTTAAACCAGGTTGTTATTTAATTGGCGATCTGGGAAAAAAGAAGTCATTATGAAAAGATCTAAATTTTCAAAAATATCTGCTATGGAAGTTGTGAAAAATCAACAGGAGTTAAAAGCAGGGAAAATAAAAATATTAAAAAAAATTTTAAGACAGAGCTTTTAAGAAATGTAATTCAATAAGCTAATGCCCAAGAGCTAATGCCTTTTCTCAGACATCAACAGAGTAATTCTGGAATGCAGAGACTTACTCCTGTATTTCACATTCTGAAGACTCTGGTTTTATAACTTAAAAATATTAACCATAAAAACAAAGATTAACCAGATACAAAGGTTTATTGTATCCATTGGAGATGGGCTTAGCTCATGTAAAACAATCGACACAAAGGTAAGGATAGATGGAAGCCTAGAGCCAATTAGAACTAAATGGGAAGGACATTTAAGTCTGAAAATTGGAGATAAGGGCTGGCAATTATCCTGTCATCTAGCCAAACACACAACTGCTACTATTCTGGGTGAGTTGATGTATTTTTAATTATCATATCATGCATTTGAATCTAGTTTTTAAAAATTGACTGTTAAAAAATATTAAGCTCTTTTCCCAGTCAATCGGGGGGAGAAATATTCCTCTCTGTCCACATGGTTTCTCTACACAGAGACACAGTGGTGCAGTGCCATTAAAACTGTATCATAAATTACAGAAAAAGAACTCTCACCATCTCCTGATCTGTGTTTACCTAATATTAACTCTTGGTTCAATGTGGAAATGGTTAGTTTTGCCTCATTTACCCTATTAATAGTCTTACACCAGATTACAAGAAAATAGATGAGAAAGAAGGCCCTTAAAATAATGTGAGTAGCTTAAAAGTCTTAACCAAACTTGCCCAGTGGGATACAGCACTACCTTTATGTTCTGGGCAAGAGGGTCCCTGTCCCAGGCCTACGTGTTAGAGGGTCTCCCATTTCTCATATTATACACACATACACTTATTGAAGATAATATGAACACCTCTGTCACTTGGGGTCTGGTGCTTGGCTCTGATGCAGAGCAACCCACAACCCCAAACATTCAGTCTTGTTTCTAGGACTCTTTGGGCCTCAGGGAAACATTTCCCATCTCTTGCCCATATCCTTGAAACAGAAGGCAGCTACATCTGAATGCCATGAAGGTTTGTGGGGTTTGTCCTGCAGTGAACCATGGGGACAGTTTGAGCAGCAGGAGCATGTAGATGTAAGAGAAAAGACAGATTAACTTGTCAAATTCTTCCTTTCAGCTTAAATGCAATACTTCTTGCATGCCGAATAATTGTTTCCTAATAGTGCCATATGTCTATTTTCTTCCTTCTCTTTGTATTCTAATTTGAGGTTCCAGAAATATTCACAAATTAACACAGTATTTGCAACAGATGCAGGTAGCAGCTGAGGTGTATTTTGCAATATTAAACAAATCATATTGCCCTTAAATTTGTATGTAGGAGTGACCTATATGCTACCAATATTTTTATTGTCAACTAAACAGATTTTGAATACTAAAACTATAAATTGCTTTATTTCTATAAAAGCACTTAAAATGTATAATTAAATTGTTTAAAGTTAAGTTAAAATTCAGCTTTATACAAAATTTGTATTTAAAGTATTTGCATTCAATACTTCTACTTCCAGGAAGATGGAATAGACATACATAGACATATCTATTTCTCCCATTAAGTACAACTAAAAACCTTGGATATTATGTATAAAATGAAGATAAGAAGATACTGAAAAGTACAGTGAGGAAAGCAGACTGGCTAAAGACTCCAAAGCCCAAGGAATAACAGAGCAGTGAGTTCTCTGGATTTTCTTTTTGCCTCATATATCTCAGATTTGGAGCTAAACAAAGCAACAATCCAGAAACATCAAAAGGCACAGACCAAAAAAAATCCCACAAAAGGAGCAGCGTAGCATGACAGGAAAATTCTACACAATAACCATTCCTCTCTCACCAAACACCACAGAAAACAAACAAATAAACAAACAAAAGCCTGTGGCCCACTCCTACCCATGACAGCAAAGTCCAAGTAGGAGCCATTTCTCTACCTTTGAGAGACTGTAATGAGGTGTCTAACACATCTGCTGGAGTGATGTCGGAGAACGTCACTTAGGGAGCTGAGACTTCCATCTCTACTGGCCAGTAACAAGCTTCCCAACCCATCTCTCACCATGGTGTCTGTGGTGACAACATTGGAAGCCTGAACTTCTACCCCCTCATCCAGCAGTTACCAGGAAGCTCTTTTCCTCTCCTCTGGGGTGGTGCTGGTGGAGGCCACATAAAGAGTCCAAACTTTCATGACTACCCAGCAGTAAAAAAAGCACCTTTACTGCAGAGTCAATGGAGATGACATGCGGAGACAGAACTCCAATTCTCACCTCACAGTAATGAGAAGCAGCCCCCTCAGGTGTCAGTTGTCAACAGAGGACAAAGTAAAGAACATGGTTTTTACCTTCACTTTGCAATAATAAGGTGGTGACCCCCACCCCTGTCCCCTGCCACAGTAGTACCAAAAAGGCCAACAAAACCAGAAAGTTTAAATGAAATAAAGTCTCAGACCATGATATGAAAATATTCAGGTTTCTATTGAAAATCATTCCTCATACCAAGAGCCAGGAATATCTCATACTGACTGAAGAAAGACAATCAATAAATGCCAATGCTGAGATGAAAGAGATATTAGAATGGTCCTACAAAGATTTTAGAGCAGCTACCCAAATTGAAAAGGAAGAAATTAAATTATCCTTGTTTGCAGACGATAAGATCTTATATTTGGAAAAACCTAGACTCCACAAGAAAACTATTATAACTGATAAACAAATTCAGTTTACAAAACCAGGATACAAAATCAACATATACAAATCAGTAGCATTTCTATATGCCAACAGTGAACAATGTGAAAAATAAATTTAAAAAGTAATCCCATTTATAATATCCACACATAAAATTAAATACCTAGGGATTAACCAAACAAGCGAAAGATCTCTATAACGAAAACTATAAAACACTGATGAAAGAAATTGAACAAGACACCAAAAAGAGAAAGATATTCCATGTTCATGAATTGGAAGAATTGATATTGTTAAAATGTTCATACTACCCAAAGCAATCTACAGATTCAATGCAATCCCTATCAAAATACCAATGACAGTCTACACAGAAATAGAAAAAACAATCTGAAAATTTATATGGAACCAGAAAAGACCCAGAATAGCCAAAATTATACCAAGAAAAAAAAAAAAACTTGTAGAAACCGCATTACCTGACTTAAAATTATGGTACAGAACTATAGTAACCAAAACAGTATGGCACTGGCATAAAAATCAACACATAGACCAATGGAACAGAATAGAGAACCCAGAAACAAATCCACACACCCACAATGAACTAATTTTCAACAAAGGAGCCAAGAATATACGCTGGGGAAAAGACAGTCTCTTCAATAAATGGTGCTGGGAAAACTGGATATCCATATGCAGAAGTTGAAACTAGACCCCTATCTCTCACCATATACAAAAATCAAATCAAAATGGATTAAAGACTTAAGTTGATGACCTCAAACTATGAAACTACTACGAGAAAACATTGAGGAAAATCTCCAGGATGTTGATCTGGGCAAAAATCTCTTGAGCAATACTCCATAAACATAGGCAACTAAAGCAAAAATAAACAAATGGGATTGCACCAAGTTAAAAAGCTTCTGCTCAGAAAAGGATACAATCAACAAAGTAAAGAGACAACCCACAGAATTGGAGAAAATATTTGTAAACTACACATCTGACAAGGGACTAATAACCAGAATACATAAGGAGCTCAAACGACCCTGTAGGAAAAAAAATCTAATAATTAGATTTACAAATGGGGAAAAGATTTGAATAGACATATATCAAAAGAAGACATACAGATGGCAGACAGGCATATAAAAAGGTGCTCAACATCATTGATCATCAGAGAACTGGAAATTAAAAACTACAATGAGATATCATCTCACCCCAGTTAAAATGACTTATATCCAAAAGACAGGCAACAACAAATGCCAGTGAGGATGTGGAGAAAAGGGAACTCTTGTACGTGGTTGGTGGGAATGTAAGTTAGTACAACCACTATGGATAAAGGTTTGGAGGTTCCTCAATAAACTAAAAATTGAGCTACCATTTGATCCAGCAATCTCACTACTGGGTATATACTCAAAAGAAAGGAAATCAGTATATACAAGAGATATCTCCACTCATGTTTGTTGTAGCATTGTTCACAATACCTAAGATTCAGAAGCAACCTAAATGACCATCAACATAATTTGTATGTATTTTCAAATTTTAATATAGAATTGTAAATGCTTTAGAAGAAAACTTTTCAATAATATACCTAAAATATAATGTAAACTCTGTCCTGTAACCTGTACATTGATCTTGGTACCTAACAGTTGCTTCTGTGTCTTTCTTCCTCTTCAAATCTGCAAATGACTTAGGGGTTATTATTCATCTGTGTATTATCCATCTTTGCATTGCCAGTACTTTAAATATTGCCTGGCACGTATTAGGTAGTTAATAAATATTTGTGGAATGGCTGAATATCCAGCTTAAATGATTCTTCCAGTCTGTTGATTTCCTTGGTCTCCCCTTTTCTCATCCTTCCTCCTATATAACTTCTTACTCTCCTGAAGTCCCTTAGACTTTGTTCACAGAACTAATATGGAATTAATATAACATCTTGCAGTCAGCTCTGTGCATACTTGCCTAAGAGTTCCTCAAAGGTGAGTAGTGTGCATTTTTCAGGCACTTTCTAGACACATCAAAGGGCTCAAAATTGATTGACAAATGAATTAACAAATGAATGAATGACCATGCAATACCTTATATATTATACAGTATTGATAATTTTTTTGCTTTATTCCAGGAACTTTTATATATGCACACACATACAAAGAGAGACACAGTAAGACAAATAAAAACCACATAACCCACAAGGAAGAGCCGTGTCTAAGCAAGAGCACAAACAAAAAAGAATGAATATACAGTTGGAATCATTGCACAGCTTTTGAGTTTGGGGTTAGTTCCTGCAGATTATTCTTTGGGACTGATGGAAGGAGGGAGGGTGTGAAATCTTCACATCATTTCTAGCTGCTTAGAGAGAAATCCCAGTATGAGTCCTATTTTTCACATACCAGGAAAAAAAGAGACACAAACATATGTTAAAATCACCAAATGACACATTTTAGTTTTATTCACAGTCTCAGTCTTGACAAATTTACAATCTACTTTCAGCTGTAATCATTCCAAACATTTGCCTTTAATAAAATTTGGCTAGTTTAATGTAATAAGAAAATAATACATGGGAAAGAGTGTGAGCTTTGCTTCAGATGGGCCTGAATTCAAGCCCCGGGTGATCCTTTCTAGTTAGTTATAGGAATCTGCCATCTCTGAATCTGTTTTCTTAGCTGTAAAATGTAATATTAGAGCATCAACCTGTGGGATGGGTGTGAGAATTAAATAAGATAATGTATGTAAATTGTGAAGCATAATGCCTGGCACATAGTAGGCCAATAAATTATAACTGTCCCTTTCCCTGTCAAAGGCACCAATCTCTGGATTATGAATTCCAAAACACCTTCACATGAAATATTTTTCTCATTTAAACCATATTAGAAACCAAAGTTATAACACCAGGAAAATACTTAAGAAAAGTATAATATGCTTTAAAAATGTTATCTTAGATACCCCATAGGGCTCTCAGTAAATACTTGTTGACTGACAAATGTGTAGTCGGAGCATAAAATCACATAGATAGAAAGAGATAACAACATAAAGAAATTTGGAATCTGCACAGGATAATGATTATACTTCAACAAGTATTTGATTTTTTTAAAGCAAAAGTAAAGGAAATGGAAAATCATTTTTTTAAAAATCAGGTTTTCTTTTATAGCCACAAGTTTATATAAACACCTATAGGCACAGTACCGAAAATACTGGCACCTTATTGGAAAAAAACTGCTGCATTGGAAGCAAAAGTGTTCCAAATATAGAGGGACATGTGTATTCATGACATGTGACCACCTCTTTCCAAACGATCCTGGAAGCACCATCCTATGCACCCATGACTAAAGAGTCTGCTAGAACATTTCCTAGAACATCATTGCCCTGAAGACAGGGTTTACCTAACAAATAGTTGTTAAGATTCCAGGTACCATGCTAGGCTCTGGAACACCATGATGGACAGATCATGATCCCTGTCCTCAGAGAGATAGTCCTACAAACAAATAATTGACAACAGAGTGTGATTAGCTGTTCTGAAGGCATGTATGACGACACATGGCGGCACAAAGAAAAGAGTGGCCTGTTTTACCTGAAGGATTAAGAAATATTTCTCAAACATAGTAACAATTGAGCTGGACCTTCTTAAAAGATAAGAAGCTTGCCATGCCAATAGAAGGAAAGGGCAGTTCATGCAGGGAGAATCTCTTGGAAAAGGCTGAAATTATGGGGTAAAATCGGGGAACTGTGGATAGCTCCATAAAAATTGGGACATTTATAAGGCATACATTATGTATGTGTATATAGTGTCTAACATGTATAGTATAAACATATCTCAATATACTTGTGCACTCAACAGCAAATAATTATTCCCATTTTGTTGATGCATGCAACATACCCTTTCCCTCCCTATTCTGTGATTCACCTAATCACTCATCAGATTCACCTTATAATGTCAATTTTAACACCTGAAATGTAACCATTTATAGATCATTAAATGGTCCTCAGTCATCGATACCTTGCTTTTCATAGGTTCTTAAATTCTTATGGGACAGATCACCCACAATTATGATGACCATGGGAAGGGATGGGAAGGAAGGGAGCTGAAAGATAAAGGGATACAACTTCCCAGTTTGTGCATCTCCATGGCCCAAGAAAGCAACCCAACATCCTAAAAGAATACAGATTTTGGAATTGTTAGTAATATGATAGAGCTATGAGTAGTACATAAATCAGCTATGTACAAAGTGAAACCTAAGACATAGGTTGTTTATTCCACAAAACAAAAATGGAAAAATTTCCTCTAAGATTAAAAATAAAGACAGTATATGACAATTTGTGGGGAGAGCCAAAACACCCTAGGGTTTTGTGCTACTATGGATTATCTGGCTTATGCTGCAGGAACAGCCAATGTGTTACACATGGGCCTCCACTGTGGAAGACATCACTAGATGATCTCAGTTGTTTCCCCACTGAACCTGAGAGA
The DNA here is from genome assembly GCF_000001405.40 of Homo sapiens. Lineage (NCBI taxonomy): Eukaryota > Metazoa > Chordata > Mammalia > Primates > Hominidae > Homo > Homo sapiens. Next base: position 175,209,840 of record NC_000001.11, on the reverse strand, counting down.
AGGGGATAAGCAAGATCAAAGAAGAGTGAAACTATTCATTGTGCTCTTAAAAATAGTGCTTTTTAGGTGTCAACCTAGGCCCTGTGGTTGTGTTTAAATTACCACTTCAAAATATCATCTACTCAATTTTATGTCCCACACCTACCACAAAGTGGCTGTGTGACCTTTCCCAAGGTCACATAATTTATCTGGGCTTCTAATCCCTCTTCTGCAAAAGGAAGAAATGAACCAGATAACCTTGAAAGTCAGCTCCCTTTTTGACAGTTTGCCATTCTTTCCTCTTTTCCTTTATATCTAGTTATCTCAAGCCTCCGTCTGTATTAAGAATCAATTGTCTTGGGCAACAGAAACCCAACTCTATGTGAGTGGATTTTTGGCCCAAACTGTATAGTTCAGCTGAAGTGCCCCATGAGCCTAGATGGTCCGTGCCTTTGCCCCCGACCTTGGGCAAACGTGTGCTGGATGTACAGCTGCCAAAATACTGACTGCTGCCCCAAAGTGGTAACTTGAAAATCAATACCTCACTTGTACTCTGTGGTTTCATTTCCTGCCCGGAAATGCAGCTCAGTGTTGCAGATGGGGCCTTAGATGATAAAAACTTCTAAGATAGGTTCTGCATTCAGCATGGTTTCCTTTGCTGGGAGATATTGGTAAACGTTCACAGAGCCTCTTTTTTTCATGGGGTCAGGCAGAAAGTACAATTTCAGTGACTCTCACCTTGGATTCCCTACTTCTGGATGAATGAAATGAATGTGAAACACACCCTGGAATGTGAAGAGCACCCTGGTGTTGTGGTGTTGGCTGGGGATCCCTCAACAGTGGTTTCAGGATCTGGATGGGGAAAAGAGCCCTTTAAGTGTTCCAGCCAGCAGGCAACAGGTGCAAGGAGCACAGCTGCACTGAGTGCCCCTCCAGGAGGACCACAGGGTTGCCCTGGGCAGAGAACTTCCCAGCTCAGCAGCACCGGGGCATGGCCTTCCAGGGCAGTGAACTCTGCAAGTTTGTAAGAACATATACAGCAGTGTTTAAAAGCATGAATTATAAAGCCAGAGACCTGAATGCAAGTCCTGCCACTTACAACCTCTAAGATTTGAGCTTTCCAAGCCTCAGTTTCCTCATCCACTAATAGTAGAATCTAATCACAAGAATCATTGTGAGGATTAAATAAGACAATGAACATAAACCAGCAAGGTATAGTCTCCAGCACACAGTGCTATGCTGAGCCTTACTGGACCCTGAGACAAAAGGAAAAATCCATAATAATGATCAAATCTTTCTTTAAGATTTTGATATTTAGTTCAGCATGAAATTTTTGCATTAATTTTTATTTTTTAAAATATTGCATTAAAATGTTACTTACCTTGATTACTGAGGGGGTTTTTTACACTCCTTAAATTTTGCACACTTGCCTAAGCAAGTAAGGTAGTAAATGTCAGTTGTTACCATTCTACGATCACCACACAATAATTACATGACACAGTTTAGCATTTAATTATCTAATGTCTTGTGTTAGCTATTGTTCCAAATTCTTAGGTCTTGTTTTCCCAACTAATTTGTACACTGATTAATGGCAGAAATTATGACACATGTCTTTTATCCCTAAAACTGCTGAGCACGTAAGAGGCTCAAGTGAGTACTTATCCAGTGATTGCTTATAGCACATGGTGGACAATTTAAGACTCTACTGTTCTCTAATTGCTTCATGTGTTTGAAGGTTTTGGATTATGATCCTTGAGGGCGGGAATGACATCTGATCTGGCATTTTTCCTGTGCCATGTTTGACACAAAGCTGGGGGCACAGAATCAAAGAACTGGCAGGGACCTTTTTGTTCATCTAATCCCACCAACTCATTTTACAGATAAATCATCTAATGCTTAAAGAGGTTGCATCATGTGGCCAAACCAATCAGTGAATGAGCTGGAATGAGAAATTAGCTCTCCCAGGATCTTTCTCTTTCAGTATTTTGTTAATTTTCTTGATTTCTCTATACTCTTGAGTACCAAGCACAGGGTTCTGCATGTAGAAAAAGTTTTTTTAATGACGTAGATTATTGATTTCTGGAACTTAAGTAATCTTTGCATAAAAGGGGTATAGGGAGTCATTGCTTGGAAAAGTGTATGTATATTTACCAACTATCCATATATCCTGGTTCAGTGACAAGGTGGTTAAGAGAATACTGGGTTTGGAGTTGTTAGAGGGCTCTATGTTCAAGTCCTGGCTTCCCTATTTCCTATTTATCTGACCTTGGATGAAATTAAGTTTTTAATTTAATTTTCCTCATCCAAAGCATGAACATAATAATGGTACCTACCACACAGAGTTATGAAAAAGTGTGCAAAATAAAAACGTGTAAATAATATAGTAGACCACCTAACACATAGTAAAATCTCAACAAACATTAGCAAGTATCACTATTCTAAAAGTAAGCCCTAAGAGTTAGGTGGACTACAAGGCAGATGGATAGATTTATACGTATGGTTCTACAATATGTCCACATTTTGGCATTATTATGTACGGTTCTATAATATGCTCACACCTTTTGATAATGGTTGGGAGTGGAGAGTTAAATTATCAGTCAAGCAAGCACTTTCGAATTATGCTATATCTATTTCTTGAAGTCTCATAAATAACTCTTATTAGAGTTATTCTGTGGGATCTCAGTTCCTCATAACTGGGGACCTCCAGCCACCTAGCTCCTGAAATTTTTCAGATTTCCAAAAGCACCAAGAGTCCAGGTCAGTAGAATATAAAGAGGGACCTGCCATAGACTCAAGAATATCTAACAATAATTTCATTTTTAAATCCCTCTCAAGAGAATATAAACTATGTTAGCAAGAATGCCTACTGAATAAGCAGAAGCCCAGACAAATATAATAAGACATTTCATGACCTGGAATATTGCCAGTGCAAAGCCAGGGCTATGAACAATGGATTGGGTAACTCAGAGAAACCAATTGCACAAATGAGATCACCCAACACCTCACCTGCTTTAATTCTTTTTTGGCCTCAGCACAAAGCAAGAGTCCTAGCCTAAACTTATATGACTCCACAGGAAGATGTAAGGAGGAAGTCTGTGTGAAAAGTATCCTGTTGTTTAAGACTTGGAACTTGAGGAGAAGAAATAGACCTGGATATACCAAATTTCCAAAGACCACAATATTTTGCACCTTTGCAGCATCTTGATTCCAAAGTCTTCAAATCACTTCAATCTTGTCTGGTGTTAACATGTCAATGAAGCAGCTAAGAGCCCATTGGGGTCACAAAACTTTAAAAAGCACTTAATATTCAAAGCTCTTTGGTAAAGAAAACAAGAGAATATTATAAATAAAACCCGTTTTTCATCCTGAGTCAAACCCTCCAGTGGCAATCTGAATGTTCTCTTAAAATGCAAACTGTCCCAAAAGCAATGTGGTATCCTAAATTGGATCCTAAAACATTGAAAAAGGATATAAATGGATAAATTGATTAAATCTAAAAAACAACCACGTTTAGATCATAGTTTAGTTAAGTGTTATACCATGCTAATTTCTTAGTTTTGACAAAAGCACCATTGGCTACATTGGATGGTAATATTAGGGGAAGCTGAATGAAAGGTAGACAGGATCTCTGCACCCATCTTTGCAACTTTTCTATAAATCTACAATTATTCCAAAGTTTAATTGTTTATTTTTAAAATCACACAAAAATAGTAAGTTGAGGTTTCTTTGCTGAAGAACTTTTATTTGATGAGTGGGAGGGATGGGAATTATAATTCTTTCTCCATAGAGAAAAGTGTATTAAAAGGACAACTAGTTCCAGCTTTTTACCAGATGTTAAAAAAAAGATGGTGGCCAACTTCTTTTCCCATCCAGATACTATGTTGAGAATGTAAACAGAATTGAGAATTGGGCTCCCCAGTCTGTAAAATGGGGATAGTAATACCTCTCACCAGCGCTACTGTAGAGAATCAAGGAGAGAGTGAACACAGAGCACTCCACACATCTGGAGCTAGGTAAGAGGCCTTTCCCTTTGCTCCTTCTCAGGCCAACCCCACAGGTCCTCCTGCCAGCCTCTCAAAGGAGTTCTATAACTCAAAAATAAAATTATATACCCCCCAGTCATCTGAACAGACCCCTCCTCTCAGCCAAGGGTATTCCAAAGTTAATCTGAAAAACTAGTTCAGGCCTTAATGGGAAGGAGGAGCTGGACATACCTCATTATACCCTCCTCCCTTTTGAAATTACTGATAGAACGAACTCTTTAATTCCAATAAGAAACATTTATAATTTATTCTCTCTGAAGCCTGCTACCTGGAGGCTTCATCTGCATGATAAAACTTCGGTCTCCACAACCCCGTATCATAACCCAGATATCCCTTTCTATTGATAATAACTTTCTTTTTTTGTTTTTGAGAAGGAGTTTCGCTCTTGTTGCCCAGGCTGGAGTGCAGTGGTGCAATCTCGGCTCACTACAACCTCCATCTCCCAGGTTCAAGCGATTCTCCTGCTTCAGTCTCCTGAGTAGCTGGGCATGTACCACCATGCCTGGCTAATTTTTTGTATTTAGTAGAGATAAGGTTTCACCATGTTGGTCAGGCTGGTCTCGAACTCCTGACCTCAGGTGATCCACCCTCCTCAGTCTCCCAAAGTGCTGGGATTACAGGCTTGAACTACCGTGCTTGGGCAATAATAACTCTTTCAACCAATTGCCAATCAGAAAATCTCTGAATCTGCCTATGACCTGGAAGCCTACTTTCCCCACCCCCATTTCCAGTTGTCCCATCTTTCCAGATCAAACCAAATGTACATCTTATGTGTATTAAGTGATGTCTTATGTCTCCATAAAATGTATAAAACCAAGTTGTGGCCCAACCACCTTGGATGCATGTTCTCAGGATCTCCTGAGGGCTGTGTCACAGACCATTGGTAAATCATATTTGGCTTGGGATAAATCTCTTCAAATGTTTTACAGAGTTTGACTCTTTTCATTGACAGCTCTCATAGGTAGGCCCTCTGGGCGCAGCAACTGCTCCTCTGTCTCATCAGGCAGTGTCCCCTGTGTTCCTGACCTCCTGAGGAGCTGCTGGATGGCTTAGCCCCTTGACAGTGAGTAGTGGCCTCTCAACTCCACTTCTAGGGAGCAGCTTGCACTCTGCTGGCTCCTGCCAAGCCTACTGGCAGCAGCCCTGTCCTTGCACCACTTTTTAAAGAACAGCCCACCCACCATTCTGTTGAGAAAGGGAGACAGAAAAACCTACCACATACTTGCTCATTTACTTTTCAGTTGAAAGTGAGAAGGAAAGCAATGAGCCATGAGCTGAGGCTAGGGCCCAGCCCCTGCTCACTGAGTGTTACTTTCTCTACAATACTACACAGTGGCTCATTTCCAGAACAACACTTGCTCCCCTTGGCTCGGCACAACGTTAAGTGCCTCCACATTGACTCACTGTCCTTTGCTTCAAGGAAACTCTTAAATTAATTAGGCCTTGTCATTCTGTGACAGTGTAGAGCTCATCTGCTCTTCTTGGCTTTGTCTGGTCTTGTGGATAGAGAATGTTTAGTGAAAGTGCCAAGTTTCTTTGTCCTACCTCCATACGGTGTGAATTTTCTTGAATAATCTCTATTCCAAATATTCTTCCTTATTGTTACTAGAAACAATCCAAATGTCCCCAAAATTAAAAATATTTCAGCATGTAAAGTATGGTCTCCCAGACAGTCTCATCTACCTAATGGTGGCCACGTATTCTATACTAGCCCACAGGCATTTTCAAAAATGCTCAAGATATCCATTGGGTCCGTGGGTTCTGTCGAGAACGTTTGTCATGCTTTTGGCCACTTGGCATCTGAACCCCCTTCCTATGTCTGGGGAGTCCCTCTCCCTGTTAGACAGAGCTGATCTCCCTCTATGGAGGCTAGCAATCACAGATATTTGTTTCACCACCTTCTCTTGCAGCTGGAGGGCTGACCATGAGCTAGGCACCACCAATCAAATGCACATAATCAAGACTTTAAATTGGAAACTAGTGATACATCAAAGCAGAAGTCACTCGCAATGGGAACAACTCCATCCAGCTTGCTGATGCATCAGTGGCAGCAGATTCAAGGGTGGTTTCCAGCATCTACTGTCAGTGTGGCATGAGGACAAGCTTCAGTATCTGCACCCAGCAGGAGCAGCACTGGATTTTCACCAGGCCAGTTCTCCAGCACAATTTGCATATTGTTCCTGGCTTCGTAGCCCCTGAGCCTGGCCCCTGGACCTTTCTGGAAATTCTGTGAGCCAGGGCCAGCTTCATAGCTATGCAACCTGTGCCATCACACAGGACCCCAGGTTCAGCACGGCCCTGTGCTTGGTTTAATGCTCTGCTGTTGCCATCTTGCAATTCTTACAGTTCTTTTAACAAGAGGCCTCACCTTTCCATTTTGCTTGGATCTTGAAAATTATGTAACCAATCCTGCTACGAGCTAGCTAATATGCTTTAGGTCAGGGAGTTCTTAACCTCTTATGCTCATGAGCCCTTGGTAGTCTGGTGAAACCTATAAAGCTTAGGAGGAATGTTTTTAAATGAAATGCACAAAATGAAATACATAGGAAACCAATTATATTAAAATATAGTTTAAAATTTAAAAAAACAAATATAGCATCATGTGTGTGCTTTTTGTGTTAATGCTTTAAAGAAATCTAATGGCAGATTTAACAACTTCTGTTACTGAAAAGTAGTAATGAGCATAAACAATATTGGGAATGTCTGCAACAAGTGAAATATGACTTGAAAATATCTGTGATTTACAAAGATGACAAAGTCACAGGTACCTGGTTTGTTGTATACATTCATAACTTAAGGAAATGTTAAATACAGTGAAAGACTATTGAGACAAAAAAAAGGGATCCATCCAAGTCACAGAGACCCTACATTTTAAGCAAGAAAAGCAAGAGCCCTGATTCAAATAAATTTCTTTTCCATTTATATCATCCAAAGCTGTTATTTTGTGACTTACAATCAAGAACCCTGTCGGATACAGGGCACCAGGCACCAGGACCAGCCTAGATATGGCCTGATTCTCCATGCAAACACAATAGTGATAGGGGGCTCCAGGTGACTTAAAGACATAGCCAACACAGCCCTGCCCTCAGCTGTTAGGATCTTAGAGGGGAAAGTAAGTGTCAATGATGGCACTCCAAGATGATGTCTGGAAAACATGTCATAGGCACTACATGTGTGGTATGAACCAAGTGATCTAGAAGGCTGAGCAAATGGAAGTCCCTTCTGGCTGGGAAAATCAACTATTAATAATGGCTGTACACAATGAGGTGGGAAATAAGACACACAGCAATATAACTGTTACTCCAAAGCCCACAGCAAGCTAACAGAATGTTGAATATTTCCCCTGCTGTCATCCAGGATCATTTATTAAAGCCTTGATCACCTCTCAGGTATTTCTCTTTTCTGGGGGGAGGCTTGCTTTTTTTGTTTTTTTGGGTTTTTTTTTTTTTAAGATACAGAGTCTCGCTCTGTTGCTCAGGCTGGAGTGCAGTGGCCCGATCTTGGCTCACTATAACTTCCTTCTCCTGGGCTCAAGCAATTCTCCTGCCTCAGCCTCTCGAGTAGCTGGGATTACAGGTGTGCACCACCACACCCAGCCAATTTTTGTATTTTTAGTAGAGATGGGGTTTTGCCATGTTGCCTGGCTGGTCTCAAATTCCTGACCTCAAATGATCCACCTGCCTTGGCCTCCCAAAGTGCTGGGATTATAGGCATGAGCCACTGTGCCCGACCACCTCTCAGGTGTTTCAACATGAGTTTGTTTCTAGCATATTTCATAGGAAATATCAAAATATGCTCCCCCAGGTACTATTTTCTTCTCCCCCTTCTACTCCTCCTTTTGGGAGAGAGGGAGTGAAGAGCCCTCTGGGGCAAAGGAAATATCTATCTTTTGGACACACTTGAGAAACTCGGGTTTAGTAAAACTAGACAATAATCCATCTATTGATATCTTGAACATCTCAAAGTTGTTTCATATCCATTATCACACTTGTGTTCTAGGCATATGTTGTTATCTCTATTTTATAGATGAGGAAACTGAGGTTCGAAGAAGTTGTGACTTGCTCAAGGTCACAAAGCCAGGTAACAAAACTGGACGAAAAACTGAGGCTTCTTGCCTGTTAGCTCAGTGCTGCTTCCTCTGGCTATGCCTCCCCTGTGAATACATCATAAGTAAAGGGAAGGTCGCATCTGAAAGGGAAGTATATCCAAGCAGATCCTCTAAAAACCAAGAAACACACACCCGGCTTTCTGGACAGCAGGTATCAGCTAGGAAAGGACAGGTTCAAAAAAGAAACAGATCACCAAATCCCCTGACCCCTAATGGCTCTATTAGATCCCTCAACATAGGATAGAACTCACTTGGCCGGAGACCAGTGCAGTCAATCCCCTTCCTGCCTGGGAGTTACACTCATAACAACAGCAACAGCAGGAAAAGGGCTTCATGAACATAAAATAAATAAACTTTCTATTTTTAGCAGAGCGTGCAGCTGGGAGAGCTTCATTCTTTGCTCTTTAGCTGCAGCATTCTAAGGGAGGCAAGGGTTGAGGGGTTGGGGGATGAGGAAAAGTAGGGGCAGTCACGCTGGGAGCCACATTTTCCATTGCCAAACTAATTACATGCAGGCCACAGAAACCAATGTCCAGCCTGGAAGTCTCTGGAGTCTGCAGGTCTGGAAAAACTGGACAGCGTCAACCAGGAAGGCAGCCCCGTGATTGGGCTATTTTCTGGCCATATATAGGAATAAATAACCTTTTGCCCACATGGTTTTTAGAACCACTGAAAACTGTGTTGCCTAATGACTCTGTTGGAGTGGTGGAAAATAAGCTTGTAGATTTTTTCCCCTCTTCACTTAGGCTGTAGTTGGAACCTGTGTGATTCTCACAGGAACTCAGATCCAGCATCTTTCAGACTTACATTCTGTGTCCAGAATTCCTGATGAGCCTGCAGCAATTTTTCCCTGCCCAGCCCTTGTCAACAGCTGGCAACATCAGGAGCCCGAGAAAGAACACTGTAATGCTGGAAGTGGGGAATAATAGCAGCTGCAGTGTGTTCTTTCTGTTGGTCTGGAACAGGATTGGATGTTTCGAGAAGGGAGTTCCAAGGCAAAGGAGTAGCAGAGAGGTTCTTTCCTAGAACTGGCACAGTGGCTTTAGGAAAAGTGTGCACCTGATCTGGTTTCAGAAGGGCCTCTTAGCCTTGCCCTTGCCATACTCTGAGCCCATGTCACCTTTTATTATGTACTTTCCCCTCTCATGATTTTTTTTCATGCATAATTCCAGTTATACTTTCTGTCTTTCATGAGGACACAGAACTGCAGACCCCAGAGCCATACTGAGGAAGGAAAGAACCCAATGCTTTGGGCACTCACAAGGAGGTAAGTGCACAAGGAAGAGCATCATGCTCATCCCTGCTCAGAGAAAGCTTCTAAAGCTCCCAGATCTGGCCTTGTGGCCGAGGGTCTTCATTCACTAACAAATGTTGACCAACAACTTACCATTTGCCAGACACTTCCTGCTCACAAGAGCTCACAGTGCAGTGTGGGAGACAGAGAAACAGGTAATTTCATTACTGCGGGGCAGGCTTCATGCTGGGTCAGCATGGAGTCCTGTGAGAATACAAAGGAGAGGCTTCTACCTCCGTCTTGGGGAGTCAAGGAGGTGGTGACTGAGCTGGGACCCAGGCAGGTAGAGATTGGGTAGAGGTAAGAGTTTCTCCTTAAATGTTTCCCATGTAAAGGCAGCTCCCAAATAATAACACAGCAGTGCTAAAATCCATATGAGCTTAACCCAAGCCCCTCAAAGTTAGTTGATTTCTTGTGCCCAATAACATTTACTATGTTACCCAATAATATGCACTAAGCAAAGCAATTGCTGTCAAAACATAAGAAATAGGAGAGAACTCATAATTTATTTGAATGTGAAATTTCCACAGCTAACAATGTAAGCCCTGGAATCTTGGGATTGAAAGAGGTCATATGGACTACTAAATCCTCTCTCCAGGTATGGCAGTCCCCTCCACAGCACCCCTCCAGGTGGTCATCCAGTCTCTGTGTGAATTGCTTCAGTGATGGAGAAACTCATCATTGATCAAGGCAACTAGTGAGTTAGCTAGTTAGTTTTAAAGGCAGGAGCTAGAGTATATGGTGGCCTTTTACTAGGTTGGAGTTTCTGACTTCAGTCTCCCAGTCTCTCCCCACTCTAATAAATCCTGCAAAAGTCCACCAGATTAACTGTCTTTCAGATTGGTCAGCCCACTGTTCAAAATCTGCAGTGGCCACAATTACCTACATACAAACTCTATTTCTAAAAGACAAAAATAGCCCATACCAAAATGTTACATTTTGGTTACCAGAATTATGGATATTTTGTTTTTCTCCATTGTTTTGAGTCTTTCCCTAGTTTTCTGCATTGACAAGAAAGAGGTGGGTGGAGGGGAGAGAGATAGAGAGAGAGAGAGAAAGAATCATCAAATAATTAACATTACTTACCAAAAAAGTCCTACCATGTTTATCCCTTCTCCACACCTTTGTTCAGACTGTGGACAACTAGAAACCATTCTGTCTTTCCCTATCTTCAAATGCTTCTGCACCTCCCACATTCTGGTCAACCCACCTCCATCAGGAAGGTTTCCATGAGTGCTCCAGCCCTCACTGCCCTCAAATCCAAATTACAAAATTTAGCACTTCATTATAAGTAGTTTCTACTACTGCTAATCATTTCAATGGTCAGTTCCGCATTAGAGTGTAAATTCCTCGGGAGCTTCTATATGCTATCATATCATATCATAGTGCCTACCCAGCACAGTGCCGAGGTTATGGCAGGTTCTTCATAAAAATTTTTCAGTGGATGGATGGATGGATGGATGGATGGATGGATGGATGGATGGATGGAAGAAATTCTATTGCTGTATTTATTAGTTCAGTTGGTTAGGGCACAGTTCTAATGCAGTTTCATAGGTCATCTGATACTATGCTTCTCAAACTGTGGTGCATACATCCGCAAAGGTGTATGAAAATGTGTGTCAAGTGTATGTGAAGCCACAAGATATTAAATAATGTCTTCCTAAAGCAACAATTTCCTATCTTTTAGAGATACTTCAGTGCAGAAATTTGAAGCACTTTTATAGCCATTTTATAGCTTTCCCAAGTGCAAGAATTCCCTCCAAGGCTGATATCCATATTCTGCATGAGTTCATCAGTCTGGGCTTTGATTCCAGTTACTTCCTGATGACCACTTCAGTATGCTACCAAGAGATATTCCTGGAATGTGTCTCTCCAGATACATTCTTGCATTCTGCAAGTAGAGATTTTTGGACTACAAGCCAGACCCCCTGGTTTTAGTCCAGTCATGCAACTACCATGGGCAGCAGCCTCTTCAGTCCCCAGCTCCTCATTGAGCTTGCTCCCTTAACAAAGGTTGGATCAAAGTAAATAATCTACATGAAACATCACTGAAAACTTACAAAGCTCCAGGTTTTATTATTGTCATCATAATAATATGTCATTATTATTGTTATCATCCCAGAATCAGTAATTTAATTCTGCCCCACGGATATCCCACACCTGTCCAGCTGATTAAGGTGAGTAGCAATCGGGCTCTGAATTCAGAAAATTCTGGGTTGAAACTTTAGTTTCACTAGACCAGAGTCTCATTCATTTTTGCAAATCTAATATTTTGCATGACGCTGGGAACATATCTGTGCTGAATAAAAGTATTTCTCACTACTATTTATTGAAATCTCTGTCTGCCACTTACTGATCTTTAACAAATTTTTAAATTTTCCAAATCTTAGTTTCCACACCTATTAGATTGGTATTATAACAGTACCTCACAGTGTTGTTAGAAATTTAAAGGCAATATGTATAAGCAGTTTAGCACAGTGCCTGGCACAGAGAAAGTCAATAGTAATTAAAACACAGTGAGTGAGTGTACTTTTGCAACTTGATAAATGAAGGCTATCCCATTGTTCTGTGATGTTTTTGTCAGCCCTTCCTTTTACCTGTTATGAATGAGCCAGCCTTGGGAGAGGAAGTTTGTTTGTGGCAACATTGATGTTCTGAGTCACTGAACTAGTTAAGGAAGTAAATTTCAAAGCCATATTACTTTGTGGGCCCTCAGGGCAAGAGGAATGAACAATTTCAGCCTTGACAGAAACATCTGCCAGAATGAATGCACTGGGCAGGGCAAGCTGGGGTTTCCCAGGAATCTCTCTGACAAAGTGACAAGAAGTGTTCTACCCAGACCATGTAAATGCTACTTCATGAAACCCACACGATGGGCTCGCTCAATAAATTGATATGTAAACCCATCCCCAAGGGAAGAACAGATGACAAGGGAAACCACAAAGAGAGGCAAAATGAGAACTCTGTGGGGCTCTCTCCCCACACCGAGACCCCTGCCACAAAATGGAATTCAGAGGCCTGTTTTTTACATCTGAACAAAGCCAATGCTGAATCCCAGCAAAGGGTCTGAAGAATAGCCCTGGCCAGTTTATGACTGCCAGTGATAGTGCTGTAAAAATAGCTTTCAAGACACAACTCAGGGTGGGGGGCTGTGAGCCAGAAACAGAAAATGGAAACTGAGCCCTTTTGTGCCCCAGAAGTATAAACAAAGGGCTTTCTAAGCCACCAGCCCACCTTGACCTCCATACTGGAAGAGGTGGGGCATGATGTACTATCTCTAGAACTTACAGGAGTACTCAAGAAAGCACAAAGTGGGCTGGGCGCGGTGGCTCAAGCCTGTAATCCCAGCACTTTGGGAGGCCGAGGCGGGCGGATCACGAGGTCAGGAGATCGAGACCATCCTGGCTAGTACGCTGAAATCCAGTCTCTATTAAATATACAAAAAAGTTAGCTAGGTGTGGTGGCGGGCACCTGTAGTCCCAGCTGTTCAGGAGGCTGAGGCATGAGAATGGCATGAACCCGGGAGGCGGAGCTTGCAGTGAGCCGAGATCGCACCACTGCACTCCAGCCTGGGCGACAGAGCAAGACTCCATCTAAAAAAAAAAAAAAGGCACAAAGTGCATGGAGCAGAGGGGCATGTGTGTGGTGGGAGACAGGTAGATTATTAGAGGAGACATCCAAGAGCTTCCTAAACCTCCTCCAGGGCCAAGATTTGGAGCTATAGCTGTAAAAGCAACATTTTGCCAGGCATCCTGGATGTAGCAATGAAGACATTTTGGATGCCGCATTAAAAAAAAAGCTCCCAAGGAAAGTATATTGTTAACTCCTGTTTTTTGTTTTTTGTTTTTTTAAAAAGCTTTCATAATTAGAGTAACTTATGTCAGAATTAGATAATTTAGGAGGAAGACCTGAACAGAAATCTAATTGCAAGAGCTAAATATGGTAACCAGTATGGAAGCAGACACTCAAATCTGTTCAGAAGTCGAAAGTCAAAATAAAGAAGCAATGCATTTTAAATGGGCTGTAAGTCTCAGGTAAAAAGAACATGGTTTTGCTGCCTTCATAAAGCAAAGGCCACAGAGGCTGAAGAATTAGGGAGGTAGTGTTGGTGCTGCCAGTCAGCTCCAATCCAAGCCCTATGGAGGCCAGGACTCTTTGACCACAAAGACCCCCAGGTACACACTGTGTAAGGCCTCATTGGGCCACCCTGAACTCCCCACCACATGGAGTATATCTCTGCTTCCTGCAGCTCTCTTTATGCCTCTGCCATTCACTCTTCTGGAATCCATTTATGTTGCCAGTTTGTACCACCTCTGGGAGATAATTCATTCCATAAATTTATTACCTGCTGCATGAAGTAGTATTTCCGCTGACTTGTCCTGAACTTGCCCCACTCGTGGTTCCAAAGCACTGCTATATTTCAGGATCTGATGAACAAGTCTGTGCTCATCATATCCACACCATTTATAGTCTGATCATTTCCTCCTAACAGCCTTCTCCTTGTCAGCAGCCCTGTGACTTCTACTCAGTTCCTCAGAACATCCATGTTGCTATTTGGGGACTTTCCCTATCCCCGTTTTAACCTTCTAGACCCTCTCACAGTGTTGCAGGCAAGAATACACCACAGTTATTGGTAAGAGTAAAATGATGTTCTCAATTTAAAATTTCCCACACCTGAAAAATGTGTCCAATTTTGTGCAGCACTGTCCTGGATGCAACCACATTATAAAAGACACAGCTTCTAGACTCTGGGTTTGCAAACTCATGGGAAACTGTCTCCAGGCAGCACGGGTGGATCAGTACTGGCCAATACTGCAAGTTAACCTGTCTGAAATAGGGCATTGCCAAGAAAGAAATCCAAGTGTAGTCAGTCTTAGCTTCAAAGCAGACTAAGTTCAATACTTAGCACTCCACTGATTTTTACAGTATCTGAGAGGGAGGCAACCCCTGTTTTCTGCAACATACTGATGTGAAACCAGAGATCAGCAGGTGCTAAAGCTAGTGAGGAGTGGTCAAAAAGGGGTTCCAATTTCCAGTCTCAGTGCACAAATCTGCTTTATTTTGGCTTCTTTTTTTAAAAAAAAAAAAAGTTAATATTTTGTTCTACTCCATTTAGTGCCCACTAAGCTCTTGACCAACTTCAAATATCCTTACTGAAAACAAGAAAAATAATAAGGATTAAGCAAAACGTAGTAGCCCTGTTGCTGCCTGGGGCTGTTCATGAGTTCATAGGAGTTAGGATTTTACTGCCAAGGAATAAAATAGTAGGTGGGTGTTCCAACCTGCTTTTTCATAAGGAACACATCATTCATCCAGGGTGAAAACATCCTTGCCAGATGCCCACTTCTTTTCTTCTGCATAATTGCATCTTCTAGTAGTGTCAATACAGCAACAGACTTTGCAGCCTTGGCAGTCTAGTGTGAGTAAATCCACCATCCAGCCCACCTATAAGTCCCTGATTTCTCTGCCACAGAATTTTCTGGTTTTCAGCATTAGACTTTTCTCCTTATGAATTGAGATAGCTAGAGATACCATCTTATGGATGGCCCTGGTTTCCTTTCTACGATCAGACAACCATGTCCATGAAGCCCTGAGCTCAATTCGATTGCCCCTGTTTTTCTCATTTAGTTTCTTCCTCTTTTCTCTTAAAAGCAACCCTACATACCCATCACCCTGGCCAGAACCAATCTGTAATGTTGCTCCAGACTTTCAGGAAAGTATTTTCTATGGCCTCCCCGCAATAGGCGTCATTCAAGACCTGTACATGATCCCTGCTCAAGTGTGGAATTCCTTCACAGAAGGCAAGTTCCTCCTCTACTAGATGATATGGTGGTAAAAGGATGCACTGGGTCAGGGGGAGCGGCGGTTGGAAACACTTGGATTCAAACCTGGCTCTACCATTTATTAGCTATGTGACCTTGAGGAACTTCCTTAGCTTCCTCTCAACCACAATTTCCTCACCTGTACAATGAGGATAATACTACCTCTCATAAATGTGTTGTGAAAGGTTGAATGATACACTGTGTGTAAACCTCCAGGCAGGAGATCCCCATTCCCAAATTTTCAGGCCAGCATTCAAGGCCTTACTATCATCCATCCCAGGCCTGTCTTCCTCATGGCCCTGTTAGACTCTATACTCTGGCCTTAGGCTCCAGGAGTTTTAGAGGAACCTACATAGGTACATAGGTACATTGTACATAGGTAGACAACTGCAGGCTCAAAGTGTCATTACAGATTTGAGCTTCTCCCGGCTTGTGAATCTAGTCTTCCTCTGTAAAAAATAAATAAATAAATAAATAAATAACTTATTTTCCTCTTTTTCTAGCCATTTTTGGCGTTTCAGGCTGGATGGTGGGTTTTCTCTTTGGCCTTTCAACTCAGAGCCACGTGGTTTCTCCTGAATAAACAGAAAGGAATCTCTTGAATCTCAGTTGTGACAGTTGGTTGCAGCAGTCATTTTAATGCCCACTTGGAGAAGCCAAAGGACACCCATACTCAGGCACAGTCGATGGAGGGCAAGTCCTGGTTCAGCACCTGGCACCTGGTACCTGTGTACCTGGCAAATACAGTCGAGGGAACAGCATTTCAGGCCCTTGTCAGGGAGGACCTCCCAGGATGACACTGAGGAGGCCCCTGAAATGATCCACAGCCAGGTCCTGGCATCCCCCTCTTTTCCCACCCACAGTATCCCTGGAGGCACTGAACAAGCTCTGAATCATCAGAGCTTTGTGTCTGGAGTCCCCTATTCAAAGGGGCGCAGGTCTTTTCATTTCCTAGCATCCCATGTGCTCGGAACTAGAGCCAAGAGATCTGAATAGAAAGTAGATGGAGAGCAGCTGAGGATGAGAGGGAAGAACCCCTGAGAACTTTTTGAAGTCAGCTTTCCCCTCCGTCATTTGCTTGTGACAGACAGCTCCTGGGGCGCAGTTTTCCTTAGCGCCTCCAGGCAGCAGAGACAAAGACTCTTCTGAGATGTCACCTGCACCCCTTGGAGCAACCGGCGTTGGCTAGAGGGGACTGTCATGCTCATTTGTCCCGATAAGACATCGGAGCCTTCACCCAACCTGCCGCATGGTATCCCTCTCCAACGCCTCCCACCCCTTCCAGGAAGGCCCTCTATTTAGGCAGCTGTTTTCCCTGAAGCCGGGTTTGCCCGGAGTTCTGTGTCCCATTCCTGGAACACTGGTGCGTCTGTGAGAGACACCGGGGCTGGCTCCGCAGCCGCTGTGTCCTGAAGGAGGCGTGTTCCGGGACTGAGGGGGCAAGGACACGTAATGGCGGGGGGCGGGGAGTGGGGAGCCACCGGCGGGAAGACGGGGAGGGAGGGCGCGTCTGGGGCGTGTGCGCCCAAGGCCAGAGGCACCCGAGGTGGGCTGGCCCAGGGTGGAAAGCCTGGGCCGAGCCCCTGGAGCGGGCGGAACGGCGAGCCAGATTCAGGAAGTTGTGCCTGTGACATCAGGGGCAGGACAGAGTTGGAGCGAAACCTCAACTATGCCAGGCGTCGGCCCGTAGGAAGGCAGGGAACACAGAGGGCGCTGCCCTCGGCGGCAGCGGCAGGTACGCGCGGGGGTGGAGCGGGGCGGGGCGGGGCGGGGCGGGCGGCTCCCACGACCTTGGCCGGCGCCGGGGCCCTACACGCCAGACCTGGCTCGGGGTGGGAGTGCAGAGGCAACCAAAAAGGAACCCACACCTCCCTCCAGGGCCCGGGGCGCTGTCAGACGGGGCAGCAACCAGGAGATTCCCTGGGCCTGCAGGAAGCCCTTCCGCGGACCGAAAGGTGAGTTTCAGGACTTTCTGTTATGTTTTTTAAAAATACATTTTTAAGCGCCCTCTGTTTGGAAGAAGACGCCCAGTCACTCCTGTCTTTAGAAGGATGAGACCTGCCCCAGAGATACAAGGAATTATTCCTAAGTAGCCTCTTGCGCCTTCACAACTTTAGTTCTGGTGTGTTTCCCTCCTTCGCGAGGACTCTCAGGAGTCTTCCTCTCTGCGCCTGGGCTGAGTCCACATGAACTCCTCGGAGGTCGGCGGTGGAGTTACCTTACTCCAGCTGCCGGTAGGAGCGCTTTGAAGGGGACACATGGAAATTCTGTTTTTTACTGAGAAAGCTAAGGCCTGAGACCCTCCGGAAAGCATCGCGGGCTTAGGTGTTTCTAAACCATTCTAGGTGAAGCCAGATTTTCTCTGGAGCTAAGGAACTAGCCAAAACGAAAATATGGCGTGGAGCCAGGGGCGGAGAGGAAACCTGTTTGCTATTCTGAGAGTTTCCAGGGAGCTTGCTGTGACACAGATTACTTCCTAACTTCTTTGACTCTCAGTGGTCCCACCCCCAGACCCCCCATCCCACCCATGAAGGTAGAGTGGGGGACATAATAGGACCTGTTTCCCTAACATTCTGAAGAGCTTTACGGGATTCATCATATGATAATAGAGTTAAGTAAACTATAGATGATAGCTAGTGGGAAGACCAGTCCTGCCTAACCGAAAGGGAAACTGAAGCACAGACAAGCACTCACCCTAATTTAACAGAACACCGGCAGCCAGCATGCCATGCTACTTAGCGGGATTGTGCCACCGATTGCGTTATACGAGGAAGGGAAGGAAAAGACCACTGGAGCATCTTGGAAGCTCCTCCCTTCTAAAGCAGTTGCATTTCATTTGCTCAGCTACAGCTCATAAGGACCTGAAGCTAATTTTAAGGAACCCTCATTCTGAAGTTCTGTTAGATAATGGGAGAGCCTTGAGTTACAAAGAGCAGGACTTAAACATAGCATTGATGCAACCTGTTCCTAACCCTTTTGCAAATGGTTTGCAAGTTCTATCTAAAGACTTCTGCAAGCGTCTTACCAGCCTTTAAACTGGTTCAGTTGCATCAACCACTTAGTCTGATGTGCCTGCCCTTCACCCAGTGCTGGGCTGGAGAGGCAGCTGTACAGGAAAATCTGACCAAGTCTTTCCTTTTGTCTGAAATTCTGCCTCTCTGTCCCCATCCCAGATACAATTTTAGGAAAGAGATGCGTTGTAAAACAAAAGTTTCTTTGGCCTCCATGCATTGTCAATATTTGGCCTGTGAAATGAGTATGACTTCTGTCCTCTTCCCTAAAGACTAAACCCAAGAGAATAATAAACACTCAACAAACTAAGTTATTGATTTCACCAAAGAGGGAGATGCATCCATTCCATACATTCATTCAACATTTGCCAAACCTACCGTGTGCAGGCCAGTATACCAGGGCCTTGGAGTCCAAAGATAATGAGATGGTTTCTGTTTTTGAGGAGCTTCAGTCTGGTAAGTGAGACAGATACAGAAATAAACTGCAGTTCAGGATAATATACATTGTAATAGCAGTAGCTACAGGGCACTGACTAATCCAGGGGAGAGGGCAGGAGATCCTTCCCCAGAATTATCTGTGAAGTCCACACCACAGAAGTGATGGATGAGCAGGGTCTTGGAAATGACTAGGAGTTCCTAGGGAAAGTGTGTTTTGAACAAAGGAAAGAGGGTATGCAAAGTCAATGGCAGGTAGGGAATAGCGTGTAATAGGAATTACACTGCTAGACTGAGAAGGGTGAACTCCCTCCTATAGGAAGCCATTTTTGAGTTTTTAAGCAGAGGAAGGATCCGGTCAGATTTGTGTTTGGAAAAAGAATTATTGGCCAGATGGGGGCTGGCTTAGAGAGATGGGAAGCAGAGATAATTAAGACCTCAGCTAAGACAATGGCAGTGGGAACTGAGGAAAAGGAATGGATTTTAGGAAGTAGAATCAGAAGTACTTGGTGACCAAGTGAATGTGGTAAAGGAGGAATGAGTGAATAGAGAGTGATTATAAGGTGTTGAGTGGGATAGGCAGGGGAAGGTACCTTGTAGAGCCATTAATAAAAATCATGTAAGCTAGAGAAGGAGTGGGCTTGGGAAGCAGATTGTGGAGAAGGCAGTGATGAACACTTTAGGCATATTAAAGTTGAATATGCCCAGGAAATGTCCAGATGGAGATAAGCAGTTGGGTATACAGGTCTGGAACATAGGTGGAGGTGGAAGGCAGCTAAAGAGGCCTGTGGTAGCACCACATTGGTGCTGAAGAGTCTTGTATTTGTCAATAGTGGCCTATAGATATTTTCATATCATATGTTGACTTCCAGATGACTTTCTCCGAACGCTCAAGGCTTTCTCAGGATACCTTGGAGGATAATTCCTAAAATAAAGAAGAGAATTCTGGGTTCATGGCACATAGATAGTAAAGATGCATTTAATTATCACTCCTCCATGTGAAAAATTAATACTTAGTTCAGTTGTAAGATCTGTGAAGACCTTTCCAGAACTCACACTCCAAGTCTTTAGTTACCTACCCCTGTGTGGGAGAGTCCTGACTTCATAAAAACAAGAAGGATGACCTACTCTGACTAATTTCAGACCCCTACAGAGTAGTTATTTAGGTCTGGCTGCCAGTGCTCGGCTCAGGATCTTGTGTGACCTGCATGGAAGAAAAAACCTTGAGCTTGGAGCTAGAGATACATGGGTTCAGTTCCTGGCTTAACTGCTTATTAGCTGACCTTGAACAAGTTCTTGAAAGCTTCATTTCCCTTATATTTAAAATGGGGATAATTATTACTCACCAGGGCAATGGTTAGAATCAGAATCAAATTGAAAAGGAAAGTACATTTAATGTGCTACATAAATTGTAAGACTCTATAAAAATGTAAGGGGTTTTATTGTTATTTCTAATCTTGCCTCTTGAAACTACCAAAATTAGACGGACTGTGTAGGTGTAAGCTCTGGGCAGCATCTTCAGCCCAGACTTGCAGCTTTCCTATTGTATGACATATTTTAAGGCAGTAATGATAAGTCTCCTTCCATGATATCAATCACATGCATCTACTCTGGCCTCTTTTGTCCTCCTTAGCTAAAATGGTCAGAGCCCAAAGAAGTCAATGCTCTGCTATTGCTTGTGCAGGTTGTGTACTGCACAAGGACTCCTGGGAGTCTTTGGAGCTGAAAGCACCAATATTCCACCTGCTAGGCCTTAGACCCACCCCACTTGCAGCTGAGTCCACATGGAGGGGATGCTTTTTTCTAATTCTCACCAAGGTGCTGGTTTAACCCATTTAATCCAATGGCCCTGAATCTGAGCATTAGTCAATGACTTGGGTATATTTGTGATTTTTCCCTGTCCCAACCAGGGAATCCTGACTTATTCCAACCCCATGAAGTTGGAATGTTATGCCAACGTCAAAAACCTTCAAGTAAACAGAGTTCTAATAGAGGCTAAGCTGTTGATGAAAAAGAGGAAGTAACCACAGATTCAGAGACTTCAAATGGAAAAACACTTCCGAGAAGAGCCAGCCCCACCCCTTCACTTCACAGATGAGCAAACTACAGTTCAGGGAGGGGAAGTGTGGGCCCAGTCACAGAGCTGGTTAATGGAGGGACCAGAATCCAAGTTCCATCTGCCTCTGCCCAGGAATACCCAATACTATCCAGGGTCTCTATCACCTTTTGTATCTCACACACAAGGACACAGCTAGGCATTCAAATGCCTGTGGAAAGGTGAAATGAAAATTGTACCTCAAGTTCCAATCCTCCCCAAGTGGCCTCCAGGACAAACTAGGGGCAGACCCTCAAGGGATGCAGGTAGTTCTCAACTTTTAAGGCAACCTCCATACCACCCTCGTCTCTTCTGTTTCCTCAGTTTCAATCCTTAAAGTTTTCTCAGGAGTTCCCAAAGACCCCTCAAGAAGAGAAACAACATTGGGTGCCTTAATTAACTAAAATCCTTTTAGTGTTTCCTCAAACTTGTCAGGAAGAGTGTTTCACCTCAGAGATAAGAATGAGCTAGAGACCAGTGGATTAGTTGAAATTACATATCCAATATCGATATGTAACTTACCATTCAGTGAGAAGGGTTCCAGGTGAATAATGGGCTTTCAGGAGACTCGTCACAGACACAGTAAGGGAGATAAAGACAGTAGCATGATAGACTTTTTCCCTCCCTGGACAGCAAAAGGAAAATCGAGTGCAAATTCTTTGAAAGACAATCCCCAGGGCCAGAGCCCAGGCCAGGTTTCTAGCTTTTCCGCCACATCAGTCTGAGCCATCTGAACAGAGCATCATCTGGGGACATGAGTGGACATTTAATGGAGACCAGGAAAGGGCAGCTAAGTTCCAAAACGAACCTCACACAAACACAAAATTTCTTTCTCAGAGGCAACTCCCAAGGGACATGGCGGCATCCAAACCCAATCCCCACCCCTGGGAAGAGACTTGCTCCCACGATTGTGAGCAAGCCGCTCCATGGAGTTTGTCACTAAGAAATAAAACAAAACCTAACCATTGCTGTAGTTCTTGGTCAAAATTGAAGAGATGATTGTATTTAGAAGCCACTGCAGACATGCCCTTGCTCTTGACTATAGCTTTCTCCCGATGGGATGTTTTTCAGTTACATTTTATTCTCCTCAAATACAACCCTAATTTCAAGCTGGATAGTCTTCAGAAAAGCCCATCAGCATTTTTTTTTTAGTTTCCCAGGCAAGTCATAAAAAGAAAATTGGCAGAAGAGAGGAAAATAACATACAAATAATAACAATAAGGATAGTCGCATGTGATAGTATGTTTAGTCTTCACATTGTCCTGACAGGGAAAAGAGCTGTGGGCCACAGGTTCAGAGGTGGTGTAGGGGCAGGGAAAGAGGGTCAAGGGCAGGGGAAGGGAAAAAGGCCGTGGGAACAGGGAAGACCCATGAGCTTAGTGTTATGGGAACAGAATAGTATAGTGGATATGCTGTGTATTAACTTAAATGACATGTGACAGTGGCCACCATAAATAAGAGAAAAGAATGCTGCACTCTGAGTCAAGAGCTTCTTGTTCCTCCCCAACTCAAGTAAGATATTAAATGTGCATCCATCTGCTCATGGTTTCTAACCTGTGATTCCTCTGCAGCCCCATGGGCCAAAGTGCCAGCTTTCAAAAGCCCCTCTGCATGTGATTATCATGTACCAAAGCCCTGGCTGTAGCCTGCAAGTTCCAGACAGCCACTCATGCACACTGGCCTGAAACCACCCAGAAACTAATGCTGGGGTCAAAGTGACCTTCCGAGTGATTTGGAACCCACAGTAAACAAACGTCCATCCAAACTTTCTTGGCTCCCACAGATTTTCAGTGTGCATGCTAGGCTCTCAGTAACCGCTTGTTGAATGGTGGTGCTAAGAATTTAAGGCATACAATCCTGCCCACCCCTACCAGAAACATATGTAGTTTCTTCAACATTATGTTAGGGAGATGTGTCAATAACAAAAGAGAATAAGTTACTCTTAAGGCCAGTCCTGCAGACTTAGCTTATCTATGAAACCCCTTTCTTGTAAATGACTGATGGCTTCCACCCTCCTTTCTCTCTCCCTACCTTCCACTCCTGACCTGAAACTTCCCTCCTGCCCAAGGCCCACAATCTGCTGAGTAGCAGTTGCCAGCACAGCATAACAGTGGCCTAGATAAAAGCTTCCCATCTCATTACATGGGTGACCCACATCATTCCATAATGAAACTCCACTGGGAAAGGGGAACACACTTGCATACCACCCCACCAGATGCAGCCTGCTCAGAGCTTTCCTAGTTTCCAAATTAGAAACTCAGATCTTGCCCTGCAAGACACTTGGACCAAAGCCTTCACAAGTACAGGAAGAAAGCAGTACTTTACTGGGTGCCTTGCCGATTTCCAAAGACTGTGCTTTTCTTGGTTTTGCATAAGGACATCATTGACCTCTTTGAGGAAAGAGCTGGGTTTTGACTATTTTCAGTGGGTGGATAGCACAGCTTCCCAAAGCTGGCCATGGAAAGAACACCTCATTTCCAGACAGAGGCACTGCAGTCCTCCACACTGTCTGGAACAAGGGAGGAGACACAGTCACAGAGCATGTGCCACAGAGGAAGAAGTTCGGATGCTCCTGACTGACATTTTCCAGGAATAAGATTTTGGTGGTTTATAAAATATTATTCCTTCAAGGTAGGGCCTGAGGGTAAAAGGGGAAAAGTACTTAAACTACTGGGCATGTGGTCATTCAACACTTGGCATTGGAATTAATGAATAAATACACAGTAAAGAGATCACAGACAACATTTTATATTTCTCAAACAATTAATAAGGGAAACTCTGCCATTCTTTTCCATGTGACATCTATTAGTTTTCAAGAAATTTTGTTATTTCCTCTTGCATTTTTTTAATTGAGGTGAAATTTATGTTACATAAAATTAACCATTTTAAAGTGAATAGCTTAGTGGCATTTAGTACATTCAGAATATTGTGCAATCACCCCTCCATCTAGTTTCAAAACATTTTCATCACCCCAAAATAAAAACCCATAACCATTAAGCAATTTCTTCTTCTTGTTCCCTCTTCCCGGTCCCCAGCAACCACCAATCTGCATCCTACCTCTATGGAGTTGCTTATTCTAGATATTTCATATTAATGGAATTATACAATATGTGACCTTTTGCTACTGGCCTTTTCCACTTAATGTGTTTTCAGGGTTGATGTATGTTGTAGCATGTATTGGTACTTCATTCCTTTTTATGGCTGAATCATATTCCATTGTGTGCATATACCATAAGAGTTTATCTGTTTATTCGTTGACCGACATCTGTGTTGTTTCCACCTTGTGGCTATTGTGAATAGTGTGCTGTGAACAAGGATTTGTTTGAATACCTGTTTTCAGTTCTTTTGGGCATAAACCTAGGAATGGAATTGCTGGATCATATGGTAATTCTACCTTTACCTTTTTTGAGGAGTTGCCAAACTGCTTTCCTTTCCCCTCATTTTTATCAACATACTTATAAAGTCATTTTCCTTTCTTGAAGATAATACACATATTAAGTGGCATACCTTTTCCTGTCTGGTCTCTTATTTGATGCATTTGATCTTATGCTTTTATAAAAGATATTAAATACTACCTCTCGTTGCCCTAGAGATTCGGGATTATTTGGATGCTTGAGATAGAAAATATTTGGGGGTAAACTAAAGCCCCTTCTTGGTATAACTGAGTAGGAAGCAACAGCTAACAACAGCAACATTTATGGTGCTCTATCTGTGCTGGGGATAACATTAAGCACTTTACCTATTTTCCCTTACCTAACCCTCATGTCAACTGAACAAAATAGGTACTACTACAGGTTGAGTATTTCTTATCCAAAATACTTGGGATTAGACATGTTTTGGATTTCAGATTTTTTTTTTCAGATTTTAGAATATTTTTATTATACTGGAATTACCAGTTCAGCATCCCTAATTTAAAATCCAATGTGCATTTCAGTGTCCTATCAGCACTCAAAAACTTTTAGATTTTGGAGCATTTGGGTTTTGGATTTTCAGATTAGGGATATTCAACCTGTAACATCCCTATTTTATAGAAGAAGAAATTGAGGTCTCCACGAAGAGCTAAGTGCTCTTCACCAGCTCCTGCAAAGGAAATCTGCAGCTGCCACCACTGATGAATAAGAAGCCATTCTGTTTCTCAGGGGATTGCAGTCATTTTGGCAGACAGATAGGTCAAGAGGCAGTTATAACACAGTGTTATAAAAGCTATGATAGGTGTCATGACAGGGACACAGAGATAGAGCACTTATCCTGGCCCTAGGCTGTAGACTTTTCAAAGGAGATGAAATCTAAGTCTCTTATTTTCTTGATAACCCTGTGGGGCCCTTGGTAATGTTTGACCCTCCCCAGGCACTCTTTGACTTCACTATTCCATCATTGCATTTCCAGTGCACAGTGTCTGGCACACAGTTGCCACTTATTAAACATAGGTTCATAAACATGTGTGCTTCTGTAGAAGGAATGCCCAGCCCTGTCACACTGACATGGAACTCCTATGCCTGGGTCCTATGTTTCAACTCATAGACTTTCTCAAAACAGTTGTGCCCTGGGATGGGGAAAGGAGATGAGAAAAGGCCTCCAATGGCTTTGGCTGTCCTCTGTCTCTGAACAGACACTGTGTATGTGAGAAGAAGACAAGGGAAGAGGGAGAAGAAGGGTAGGGAGTGGGGCAGGAGGCCTTCCAGTGGCACCGTGTGAGGTCGGCCAATGCCCAGGGAGGAGACCCTGTAATGTGACGTGAGACCCCAGAGAAGAAATGAACTGGGAAATCTCTTTCCTAAACTCTGATTTCTCATTTCAGTTAAGGTTTGTTATTGCTTCAAAGACTCCTAGCGTATGGCTATACAGTATCTTTGCCAATTCATCTCAGTTGGCAGGTACAAGAAGCAGTAGCTTCATGGAAGGTCTAGACTCTCTCCAGTTGGTAATTCTCACTCCTGTCTCCCAGGCACTGTCAGGGTGTATCACTTACTTTCGGTCAGTCATCTGCAACTCCTCTTTGCATAAAGAGAATTTTGAGGACTCCTAGGAGGCCTGGCGGCTTTGCTTTACATGGCAGAAGCTGCCCGGACATGACTCTGGCTGCTTCCATTTTTTTCCATACACAGTTCTCAAGCTCTTCTATGTGTACCTGACACTACACTAGAGGCTTTGGGGAATTTTCCAAAAACAAAACAATATGCAGGCACAGATTCCACCCTCAAGGACCTACCACCTACCACCCAGGAGCCTGCAAGCACCTAGCTGCAAGCCCCGCCCCTCTCATTGAGAGCTGTGAGAAAAGCCCATTCCTGGGATTAGTCTGTGCTGGGATCTCTGCTCGCTAGTGCGGCCATCTCTTCACCCACTGCTCAGGCTGTGGCTGTGCCATTCTGGAATCCCTGAGTCCTGCTTCACCCTTGTTCGGCTGGCTCCCCAGATGTCCGACCAACTTACCTGAGCCATAAGCTGCTGCTTTGAGCTGCAACCCCAATTGTGAAAGCTCAGCCCATTGCAAGGCCTTCCTGCTCTGCCCAGGCCCGGGTCCTGGTCCCCTCACCCTGCTGGAGACCTACCCTGCTATCCCAACCCATCACCTGGCTCTGCAGGGGCCTACAAGAAGCTTGCATAAGTATGAGAGCTTGGGGTGCCAGAAGTGAATGTGGGCTTCCTGGCCCATGGACATAGCATAGCCCTCACAGAGATACTCTTCACTCTGGTTCTTTCTCATCTCCCCAGATCATAACCAGTCAATTACTTAATCAAAAAGCATTTATTGTACATCTAATATGTGCCAGCACTGAACCAGACCCTGGGGATACCCAGAGGAGAAAGCTCTGTAATAGCTTAATGTCAAGTGGGAAAGCAGACAGGAGCAGCCTCTGTACTATCAGTGAGCAAGCATTGTCAGGGAGGTGAGGTGGTAGAGAAGGAAAGAAATTTTCAACTATGATATCTCCGCGCTACAGATGATTCCAGAAAATGGCCCCTGGGCTAACAAATCCTCCTTTTCCCACCTATTTAGAGGGCGCTTTGCGTCAGTTTTACAGGCCTGAGCATTCCTCACTTGCTCTGAAATAATGGAACAGTGGCGTCTTTCCATCATGCACACAGGATTCATCACTGTCTTCCCTTTTGCATACTCGAGCTCCTCAGCATTGGGCCCCAGCAGAGGTCACAAGCTCAGATGCCTACAGGGTGCCTGACAGGTGAAGCCAACATGCACTGAAGATGTGCTCTGTGCCAGGCACTGTTTCACCCACATCACACAGAGTATTTAACTCATCTGGTTCCCACAATAATCCTACGACAGAGGTTCTATTCTTATCCCCCTTTTATAGTTGAGGAAACTAAGGCACAGAGAGGGAAGGGGACTTTCCATATTCAGAAGCCAGTGTGTGGTGGGACCAGGCTTTGACCCAGGCTGGTCCATCTGAGAGGGTCACACAAGCTGGGTGAGAGCGTAGACTGAAAGCTGCAGATCAAACACAATCCACTCTCTGGTGGCAGCTGCCTCCTGGGCTTCCACTGTGCAGCCTCTGACCACGGACCGATCTAGGCTTGACTCTTAGGATAGAATGTCATTTGGTTTCCACAAACTTTGTGCTAAATGTTGGCAGGCTGATTGTGGGTGAGGGGGCAGGGAAAGAGGGATCCCTTTGAACGTGAGCCAGGTGGAACTGGCTTTGGTTACCCAGGGCCTTGTGACACCCAGTTTGAAGTCAGAATTATCATCAAATGTAAGGATATGCTGCACAAAGAGATAAAATGTAGTTGGGGTGAGGGTGAGGGACAGGGAGGAGGCAGAAAATTCACTATACACTCAAGTTCCCTTAACACAGTAATCTGCCTTCATAGTCAAATGTGAAAACAATTTGAAATTGTAGCCCCCAATGTCCTTAAGCCCAATATGTCATCAGTCACTCCTGCCTATGGCCCTATCCCCGGACACTCAAGTCATAACATGTTATGATGTATGGAGGGAGAGAACATCAGGAGCAGCCTCCTCCTACGGCCAGAACCTTGAAAAATCCCCATCAGGGGCTGGAGTGGTCCCTGGAATGCCATGGCAATTAAAGCAGTGGCTGCAAGAAGGCCCTGGGAGAGGGGGTCGGGTGGAGCAAGCTGTTTTAGTGTTGAAGCCTTAACATCGGGAGGTTGGAGGCCTCTAGAGCTGAGTTGGAGCACGGGCCACTTTGACTGGATTCTTTCTCTGAGCCAGCTGGGTTTCTTGAGCAGCCTGGAATCACCTTTCTTTCCCGTCCCTGCTGCCTTTAAACATTCTATGCACCTTGCAGGTGCCAACTCAAATCACACCCTCATCGAAGTCTGCCCTGGATTCCTCACTGGAATTAACGTCTCCCTCCTTGCTACTTCCATAAGCATTTGTTTGAATTTCCCTTGGGACACTGAACTAATCATGCCTTATGGTACTTCGCCTGTGCTTGTCCAGTTCCCCAACAACAAAAAAGTAAATTCCTTGACTTTATTCCTAAAGTGTCTATCAAAAGAAGAAAAGTTCAATTTTGATTTCCTTACCCAGATAGCTGGCAAGTTTTCTACTTCTCACTAGGCAGCATTATCTGGGAAAGCGTTAGAAGAGAGAGAAGTTCTTCATGCACATAGTAGGTACTCAACAAATGTGAGTTGAATTGAATAATTTGCTGCTGTACAGCAGAGAATGGAAATGGAAGTTCCTGGCTTCCTTGGCCACAATGGTGTCAACAACCCAGAATCAGTGAAGGAAGAAAAAGCCAGCAAAGGAAGTTCCTCCCTCCAGAAAAAAGCAGGGAGGTCTTTTTACAGTAATAGCAGTGAGGTAGTGAGCCAGCCCCCCGCCCCCCACAAATACACACATACTCTACTCAGTTGACTTTGCAGGCAGAAGTTACCAAATAAAATCATATCAATTGAAGAGCACAAAGAGGCCAAGCACAGTGTCTCATGCCTGTACTCTCAGCACTTTGGGAAGCTGAGGCAGGAGGATAACTTCAGGCCAGGAGTTCAAGACCAGCCTGGGCAACATAGGAAGACCCTGTCTCTACTAAAGTAATAATAATAATAAATTAGGCAGATGTGGTGGTGCATGCCTGTAGTCCCAGCTATTTGGGAAGCTGAGGCAGGAGGATTGCCTGCGCCCAAGAAATCAAGGTTACAGTGATTGTGCCACTGCACACTAGCCTGGGTGACAGAGTGAGACCCTGTATATTTTTTAAAAATTAAAAATCAAGAACACCAAGAAGTCAGAAACACAGCCAATCAGGGCTTTCCAACAAGGGTAGTCTCACTTCCAAGTGATGTAATCTTGATATTCAACATGGCACCCCATGAAAACAAAGCTTGATGTCCATTTGAGACTGGTGTTCCTTGGAAGTCGAGCCTCAGCTGCTCTCATCTCTGTTTCTTAGTCCTGACAGCCTCACTGGAGATTAAAAAGTAGCCAGTCTCCAAAAGAGATCTACTCAGGAGCACCCAAGAATACCTGGTATTTGAGCATACTGCCCAAGCTGAAAGAGCTCTCCAAACCCAAAATATTGACATTTCAACTGGCAGACTTTATTTTCCTGGATATCTCTTTCCAGCTGACCAACATGATCTGTGTGAACCTAAAGTAGTGTGGCAGAGCAGAAGGAAAACTGGCTATTTAGAGATAGAGGAATTGGCACATGATCTTTTATTAGGTATGAGACCTTAGATGAGTCATTTAATTTCAGTGAGCCTCAGAGCTTCTTCATCTATAAACATGTTCATTTGTTAATTCAGCACATATTTCCCAAGGGCAAAATATGTCCCAGATGCAGAGGATGCCATGATGGGAATAGATTCCATCTAGAAAGGAAGAACAATGATTAAACAATTACCCTACTGCAGATTATGGGTTGTGGTGACAATGTAGGTATGGTGAAGGGCACAGAGCAGGGGCTCTGACCTGTAATGAGGTCAAGGAAGGTTTCCCCAGGGCAACAATGTTGAATAGAGGCCAGGAGATGGGGTAGGGAGCAGTGGATGGGGGTGGGGTGAGAGAGAGCTACAGTTGTATAAGGATCCAAAGCTGGAGGGGAACCCCATACCTCACAGAGTTTGAGAAATGGGAGGCTTTGTAAACTGCGAAGGGGATTGGTTGCCACTGCTTGCTGCCCTCATTGTTGCATTTTAGGAGTAACTTTAGCGCAGAAAGCATCTCACTGGGGAAGTGGAAAACTAGAGCCCTGTGTGCCATTGGCCACTAACCAGCTTTACAATTTTGAACAAATTTGGAACAAACTTTTACTATGAAAAGATTATTCATCTGTGAAATAGGGCAAGAAATCCCTCCCCTCTACAAATTACAGTAGATTGAAGGAAGAAATGTTTTCAGAAGCCTTTAAAAAACTAAACTGAGTTGTAAGTGTAGGATATTCATTGGACTTTCACCAATCATAAATAAACCCAAGCCCATCTGGGTGCCAGTTCGAAGGAGGGAGAACTGATTGCATCCTGTTTTTATCCCTCACCCCCTATTCCCAAGGGATCAAGAGATAAATAGCCATTTCTTTCTGATTGGTTTGGTGATATTTCATTTCAGTTTATAATTAGATTTTTGTCTAAGGGAGAACGGATGCTATTAATAAAAGTTTTTTTAATTGTGGTATCTGTGATTGCTCTGCCTGACCGGTTGGGGCAGATTACCAGTGAGCCCATGGGTGGGAGCTTAATCCTGCGTAATCCCGAGCTCTGGTAGGGTGTACTTTCCATCACAAGCAAGATCAGGTAAAAGAATGTGGCCACTGAAAGAGTGAGGCTGTCAGGTCTCCTCTGCTCACAACTTTCAGGGCCTCCTTGAGGCTGTTACACCAACCCCATGTTAGGCTTTCAAAGCCCCCTGTGATCTCACTAATCTTTCCTGTGCCACCTCAGTTCCCACTCTTCCTTAGAAGCCTTCTTCGCTGCCATACCCATCTCGAACTCTGTACCTGTTGGCCTCTGTACCTCTGCTCTGGCTTTTCCAACCTATGTAGCTCACCCCAACTTGCCCTTTTCCCCACCAGAATGTCCAGCCCTCCATGTAATCACACACAGCCCAGGAGCTGGCACAGCCTCTATCTCCTCCATGATATCCCCCCCCCCGCCCCGTCCCCCACTCTGATAAAACATAACCAGCATTGATCTCTCTCCTTTCTAATAGTACCTGCATTTTGTCACTTTCTGGTTTTCAGTTTAGCATTTAATTACTATTATTTTTGAAAATTCAACTTTGCAGGACATTTTCAGTTTACAAAGAACTCTCATATATATTAGTATTTGACTTTCACAACCACACTGAATGGTGAGGGCAGTTGATGTTATCATCATTGTCTTCCCGTCTTAGAGACCAGGATCCTGAGGCTCATGAAGCTCTGTGACTTGCCCTGCCACTTGGCTAAGCAGAGCAGGACTTCAGTGCTCTAAGGTTCGTGAAGAAACTCTTTTAGGATAAGAACCAGTTGGTACACTTCTTTTTCCCCTCCAGCACTATGTCGGTTACATAGTAAATACTTAACTAATGCTTCTTGACATGAAATCCACATGCAACTACAGGAAAAATCCTTCAAATGGCATATTTTATTGATGCAAACAATTGTTATTAGTGCTATTGGCCTCTTCATGTATAAAGAACAATATGTTTGCAGCATTATTTTTATTATAGGGACTCAGTAAACAACTAAGGGAGACTCACACACATTTTATACAAAGCTCTTCCCAGCCCCAGAGGCCAAGAAAAGGCAGCCACAAATGTAGGTACCATTCCTTCTGCTCACACTGAAGGTGCTGCCCCCCTGCCTCCTGGCAGTGGATGGAATGTGCTTGTCAGAACTTGCTCAGCAGAGTGGACATGGCCCGCTAGCCCTTGGAAACCTGGGGTCATTTGTACACATGGAGGATTCAAGTTACCCAGCAGCAGCCTCAGCTCCACTACACAAGTAGGTGAAGGGGCTGGCCTGGTTGTAGAGGGGATTTAGGAGTGGTCTCCATCCAGCCATTCTGGGTTGGAGGCAGGAAGACCTCCCAACATTGGAGCAAATTTCCCAAGAATTTCAGGCCACTTTGACTACCAGGCAGAATTGAGGAGTGACTTTTGTTTTTTGCCACATCCCTGCAACTGCTGGGAATAATACCAATTATGACTCTAAATATTTGTACAGTTCCTAACAGCCCAGACACACATTACATTCACTATGTGCTTTTACCTAAGGACCCTGTGAGCAGGTACTCACTTCCAGTTGTTGGTTTAATTTAGAAAGTGTATGCATGTGATCAGTCATTCAGAATGGTACCAAAGGAATGAGAGAAAAGCCAGTCTCCCTTCCTGCACTGCCCCCAATTTCCCTCCAAAGGGGCAGTACATGCTATCATTTTCTTGTGTATTCTTCTAGATTGTTCCCCATTTTGGAGATGAAGAAACTGAGACTCAAAGCAGCTGAGTGACCTTCCCAAGGACACACACTGAGTGAGTTGTAACTTCTTCTCATTCCTCAATCTATTAGCTTCCTCTGCACTCAAACTACCCTTTAGCCAAGAATTTGGCTCCTAGGGCAAGTTATGAGAATGTAAATAAGTAAAATCAGGTAAAAGTCAAAGCCAGAACAGGGGGCCTAGGCCCCACAGATTCTTGAGAAGAATCTGCCTACCCCTATTAGGCACTTCAAGGACATCTACTTTCTTCTCTGGCTGCTCTAGGCCAACTGCCATCCCTATGGCATCTTCTGCCTTCTAACTGTCATGGGCAGGGTCTAACATTCAGAATGTCTTGCTCTATCAAAGCATTCCCACCTAATGTGTTATTTCTTCAAGACCCTGATACTTTGAGGGTTGGTCTGATAAAAAATGTATCTGGGCTGCTAATGGGAGATAAAGCCTAAAGTCTGGTGGTCGGCCTGCAGACAGCTCAGCCCTGAGGCCACATCATGGAGAGCCCAGAGACAAGGGCTGAGTTCCCTGGCCTCTCCCACCATCCCCCCTACCTCCCAGTGGCCTTAAGTGCTTTCCAGAGGGTCTCCCACAAAGCCTTGAGGTCTCCAGGCATGGATGGAGCAGAGGTGGTGGATGGGAAAGAATGAGGGGATGAGGCTAAGGGAACCCTGTGTCGAGGGGGGTGAATATGGGATACCCCCCTGCAATCCCCAGCTTAAGCAGTTTCTTCCATACATACTCCCGATTCAGGAATTTGCAATACTTGCCATCTCTTTTGGGAAGGGCATTTCAAGGATGGGGAGGAAAATGTTTGGGCATGCTGAGGGCATCAGGGAAGAGATGACGGCTATTCCTAGGGACAAGAATATCTGCATGGAGGCAACTAAAACTGCACATGATGAGGCTAAGCATATGTCATCTATATCAAAGAAAGAAGGTGCTGAAGCAAAAAAAAAAAAAAAAAAAAAAAAAAAAAAAGCATGCTACTTAACCTGACACTGGATGTGTACTCAATAAGTATTTTAGCTCACTCATATATGTTCTCTGCATTCATCAACCATTATTTATCAAAACCATAAAAAAACACTCCCTGCAACATTAGGAATGCAGATTTAAGCCCATGCAGAAAGGAAGTAAAGGTTTATCCTCAGACATATGAACTCCTCTGCACAGACTGCCCTCTGGGGTGGAAGCTGCCATCCAAAGCCTGGCAAATCTGAAGTCCACCACACTGAACATTCCACAGAGGTGAGTTATTATTGGAATGAGAATATTTATGCTCACTCCCTCTATGATTTGATCTTTGCATTTTAAGACTTAATATTGCAGTAAGGTAGCTTTTGGCTTTTAATTGCCCCGAAATTTTGTTAACATTAAATGAAAGGACAAAATGGAAAGGAAAATAGAACCATATCTGTATCACTTTTGAGTTGCATAATTTACATTTTTGCCACTTCATTAGTTTTCAGCTATTCCAGCCTGTAAATGTCTCCCCCACCACCACTAACAAAAAGAAATATGTCAGTCATTCTGTTATTGCCCCAAAGTTTGCAGAACTCTTAAGTTCCTGTCTCTAGTATTAAAGAGAATTATGCAAGTTTTATTTTTTTATTTTTATTTTTTATTATACTTTAAGTTCTAGGGTACATGTGCACAACGTGCAGGTTTGTTACATATGTATACATGTGCCATGTTGATGTGCTGCACCCATTAACTCGTCATTACATTAAGTATATCTCCTAATGCTATCCCTTCCCCCTCCCCTGACCCCACGATGGGCCCCAGTGTGTGATGTTCCCCTTCCTGTGTCCAAGTGTTCTCATTGTTCAATTCCCACCTATGAGTGAGAACATGAGGTGTTTGGTTTTTTGTCCTTGCAATAGTCTGCTGAGAATGATGGTTTCCAGCTTCATCCATGTCCCTGTAAAGGACATGAACTCATCCTTTTTTATGGCTGCATAGTATTCCATGGTATATATGTGCCACATTTTCTTAATCTAGTCTATCATTGATGGACATTTGGGTTAGTTCCAAGTCTTTGCTATTGTGAATAGTGCCACAATGAACATACATGTGCATGTGTCTTTATAGCAGCATGATTTATAATCCTTTCGGTATATACCCAGTAATGGGATGGCTGGGTCAAATGGTATTTCTAGTTCTAGATCCCTGAGGAATCGCCACACTGACTTCCACAATGGTTGAACTAGTTTACAGTCCCACCAACAGTGTAAAAGTGTTCCTATTTCTCCACATCCTCTCCAGCACCTGTTGTTTCCTGACTTTTTAATGATTGCCATTCTAACTGGTGTGAGATGGTATCTCATTGTGGTTTTGATTTGCATTTCTCTGATGGCCAGTGATGATGAGCATTTTTTCATGTGTCTGTTGGCTGCATAGAATTATGCAACTTTTAATTACTACCTGTGTGGGAGACCCTGAATGACACAAGTGTTTGGTCGTTCTCATGCTTTTTCAAAAAACATTTTTTCCCTCCAAGAGGATATGACATTTGAACACTTAAGCATCAGTTATTGGAGTCGGCCAGAAGCAGAGGTTTCCCTTTATTTGTGGAACAGAAAAGGCAACGCCCCACTCAACCGCTCCTAACTCACAGATGACCTCAGAGCCTCGGCTTCTGGCTCTCCAAAAACAAAACTTCACCTAAACACTTTACCACACCCACAAACATTGGCTCCAAAATCCTTTACCAAACTATTTTGAAAAGTGAAAATGAGAACTATATAACCAAGATAGTTCACTGTAACCATGGCTACAGGTTTTATTAGCACTAATACCAGGATGTGGTCAGATCATGTATGTATGTGTATATATATATATATATGTATATACAGATGACGAATAGAAGTGTAAGTGGTATTAGAGTTCCCCTATGAATTCTCCACTTTGGAAATGTAGCTCCTAATAACCACAGACTAGGGGAAAGGCGGGGGATAGGAGGGTGGAGGACTGCATCAGTAAGAGAAGCTCAGTGTTCTACTTTGAGCTTTAATTCAGCCTTTTAATATAATCCCCTAAAATACCACTACTTTGCATTGAGATTGCAATTTTCCCTGCTCAGTGTTCTTCCACATGTCTTGTCTGTTCTTCACAGTAATCTTGAGAGATATCCAGGATGAGTAATAACCTCATTTCTCAGATGAGGAAAGGGCTCAGAAAGCTTAACTGATTTTGCCCAAGGTCAAAGGCCTGGAGGACAACTGAACTGGGACTAGGAGAGGGTCCTCTGACTCCTTGCTTAATTGCACCCTTGGGCCAGCTGTTTGTATTGTGCCCAGGGGCATTTTGATATGCATTAATTCCTCTTGCAAACATCCCTCATCCTTATCATTTGTCTGATTAACCACAGATCAGGATCAGTCCATCAAACTGGAGGTTAAAGCTGCTATGTGAGGCTTGCCTTTTGTCCTCATTTATATTTTTTAAGCCCCCTGCATGGCTCTTCTCTACATAGATGACAGCACAGAGAACATGTACCATAGTTCCTACTCCTGAGTGAGTTTATAATCCAGGGGAGGTGAGCTTAAAATGCTTCCAGGGACCAGGTGGGTGAACAGGACTGGGTGAAGCAGGCAGGATGGGGACTGGGGTGTGGGGTCGGGGAATGGGGAGAACACAGGCCCTTTTAAAGCTCCAGCAGATTGTGGCCATGTGGGAGGTTAGTGTGGCCAAATCTTAGGACTAGCTGAAGATTGAGAATTTGATACGAAACCAAAGGAAGCAGAAAAATAATACAAAGTAAAAGTGCCTGTGGGTTGGACATAGCTCCCAGACTGCCAGTGAGTTTCATGCCTTGGGGCCCCAGCATATATGGAGTTATACATGTTATCAGTGATGCTGTATTGCACTTCTCTTCAACGTGTTTGGTCCTATTAAAACATGAGCTCCTTGAGGTCACAGAAGGCATCGTAATCAAGAGTGCACCCACAGGGTGTGACGCACGTGGCAGGCTTTTACATGTTGATAGATGAATAGTTGGATGAACACCCCATCATCTTAGAAGATCCAGAAATTAAAGTCCTCAGCATTCTGAGAATGGTGGTTACAGTAGGATCTCTGGACTCAGAGAGGACTAGAGTCAAACGTCTTTCTGCGCTTGAGTAGCTCCATGTCTTTGGGCGAATCACTTAAATCTCTCATAGCCTCAGTTTCCTCATCTGTAGGATGGGCATAGAAAAAAAGCCTATCTCTTGAGTTGTTGAATGAGACCATGTCTGTAAACCCTTGATTCCACACACAGAGTTGCACACTTAGTAAGAACTCAGCAAATGATGGCTTTTTGATTCAACAGATCATTCCTTGTTCCTGTGAAAGGTGATAAGACTTTTGCCAACCCTCTGTTTTGAGATTTTGGCCTCCTGAAGTATCTAAATCAAAAGAGGACTGTCAAAAGAAAACAAATGAGCATTCTAGCTGAAGTGAAGAGGAGAAAATTGATAGTGATGGACAACACAAGGCTCCCCTAAGAAATGCGATCCTGGAGGTCAGGAGGGCCGAGAGAGGGAGAAGCACCTGGGAGTGAATGGAAATAAAGTTAGCAGGAAGGCAGGGGAGAGGCTAAGGTGGCTGCCCTGATTCACTAGGGGCTGGTTAACTCACTTTCTACACCAATTCAGTGAAAAGCTGATCAAACTCTAATTAGAGCAAAATAATTATTTCACAAATGGATGTTTTCACCTTTCACACAATGTGAATAGTATAATAATAAATATAGTGCTTTACAGTTGGCAAGGCAATTTTAAGGCACCCACTGTGTGAAATATACTTACACAACATGCTTCACACACATTATCTCATTTACTCTGCCCAGCGATGCATTAATTCATTCATCCATTCAGCAAGTACTTACTGCCAGTCCACTTTCTACCAGGCCCTGTGCCAGATACTGAGAGTAAAATGATGTAACGCAGTGAATAAAACACCTAGCCCTCTGAGAAAGATGGCAATATCTTTGTTTACAGAAGAATAAATGGAAAAAGCACTTAAGTGAATGTTCCCCAAACCCCACACCATGTTAGTGGTGGAGACAGGTTTTTTTGTTTGTTTTTTATTTTAGAGACAAAGTCTCACCCTGTCACCTGGACTGGAGTGCAGTGGTGCAGTCACTGTAACCTCAAACTCCCGGGCTCAAGCAATCCTCCTGCCTCAGCCTCCTGAGTAGCTGGAACTACAGGCATGTGCTACCACACTTGGCTAATTTTTTTAATTTTTATTTTTGTAGAGATAGGATCTTGCTATGTTGCCCAGGCTGGCAAAATTCTTGGCTACAAGTTTTCTGGCATATAAGAAGAAAAATTAGGAAATTTCCTTGACCTTGAGGAGGTAAATATGAGGAAGTTGACTTGCTAACAGACTGGAGAAATTGTATTCACTCACATTTAGTACAGCTGGAATTTTCAGGGAATCAGACATAATTTCTCATGATTAATCCTGAGGGTAACATGAGGAGAACTAACTATTCTTAGAGTGTATAGTCTGGACCCTCTGGAGAAAAGATAATTAGGGATGAAAAGAGAGAAAAGGAAGGAAAGAAGAAAGGGAAAAGAGTAAAGAAGAATAAAGGAACTGGAGATTCCAGACCTTCCATAATAGAAAATCAAAGAAAGTCCACATGAAGGCTTTTTAAAATTCTTTTCATTGTTCTTAAATCATTCTCTAATTATTTCCCTGGTATCATCCTTGAGACAAGAGAGGATGTCTTTTACCTCCCCCATATTTCCTAGCACGTCTTAATTAATACTTGATTGACTGAAAGATTGACTCATTTGAACCCACAGTGAAATGGAGCTTTTTAATTTTCTTTTCTGCTGAACCTGAAATAGAGCATATAGTAATTAGGAAAGAATCCCTTGTTATCAGAAAGTCCCAGCTACAATGGGCTCTTTGTAACTGAGCAAAAGGAAGGTAGGTGATTATTTAGGAGCTGATAAAACACTCACCCCTGCCCCCACTTTCTATTGCTCTCAGTGATAGGCGGTTTTCTTGATCATTATTTCTCCCTCCAGTGAGTTTTCGTGGCTGGAAGATCTGGCTGGAGAGTGCAGTCTGCGGGTGGATAATTATCATTAAAGTCCAGCCACAGTGTGACTGATGGTCACTTTTCTATGCCCTTTGGTTCTTCTACTCTTTCTCCCCAGTGACCTGGTTTGCCTGACAGATGATTATTCAAGATCTCATTTTTTTAGAACCCTTGAATTAACTTCACTCATTCATTCATTCATTCAGCTACATGCCAGACTCTGGGCATCCAAACAGAATAGGACAGGCAGGGCCCTGCTCTCATGGAGCTTATGTTCTAATGGAGGAAGACAGGCAGTAAAGGTGGAAACCAGCGTGACAGCAGCATTGTAAGTGACTGAGAAATTTCAAAGTGAGGAGTATCACCAAGCCAGTAGGGCAGGATGGTGAGATAGGGGTTGGCTGGGGGTTGGGCGACATTAGATAACCATACTCCATTAGAAAAAGGCCTCCTGATAAGGTAACACGGGAGGAAATTTGTATGAAAATGTATTTGAGCTGACGCAAATGTTGTGAAGCAATCACGCCAAGATCTGAGGAAAACCATACCAGGCAAAGGGACAAATAGGGTCCTGAGCGAGTGGACGGTCCAGTAGTAGGCGCGGCTAGGCCACAGTGAATGGGAGAGAAGAGAGTACCAGACAAGGTCCAGAAGGAGGCAGGGGCCAGACGATGGCAGGGCCTGGGGATGTAAGAAAGAGTTTAGATGTCATACTTCTAGTTTAGATGTCATACTTCTAGTGACGGGAAGCCATGAGGCGTGAGCAGGGCCTGGGGGTGATATGATCTGGCTCTGGTGGGGAGAACAGGCCGGAGGGAGGGAGGAGCAGAACCAGAGAGATTGGTTAGGAAGCTGCTGCAGTAACCCAGGTGAGAGACAGCAAAGGCCTGGCCATGGAAATGGTGGGAAGTGGATGGAGTCAGGACATAGTCAGAGAGAGAGCAGGTAGGACCAGCTGATGAGGTAGGGGTGGGGAGGTAAAGCCCAGGAGAGAAGCTTAGTCCGAGTGTTGAAGGAATTCATTTATTTGTCCCATATTTATTAGCACCTATTATGTGATAAACAGCTAGGGCGGTGGGGGTGGTGGAGGAAGGTGAGGCTGGGGTAATAGGAGAGTTGGATTACCAGCCAGTCCTCCTTGCTAAGGAGGTGTGATCATACAGGTGGTGAGCAGCCAAGCGAGGGTTGCGCAGGGAGTGCGCGTTACATTCAGATTTTAGAAAGACGAATTGAAAGAAGGAAAAACTAGAGGCCATTTGAAGGCCTGGACAAATGAGGTAACAATGGGGATAAAGGGGAAGGCACCTTTCTGTGCCTTTCCATACCCACAGGGCCCAAGTGCCCCTAGCTCAAGCCCTGCTTTACTTACGATGCTCACCACGGTCCAGCCACACTTGGCTGCCCTCTCTCATGGATGTGCCATGCGCTTTCCCACTTCAGAGCCCTCACCCTTAATGTTGCTGCTACCGGAGGTCCTGCCCTTAGCGCTGTGCACGCTTGGTCCTTAGCACCCCGAGATCTCAGTTCAGAGTCACCTTTTCAGAGGCCACTCCAATTATTTCCTTTATTGCACTAACATGTATACTTTCTACCTGGAGAAGAGAGATAATAAGTGCACAAACAAAATGTCTGTCTTATGCATGACTATACCCATGGTGCCAGGACCGGAACTGACACATCCTAGGAGCTCATTAAATACATTGAGGGAGGGAAAAAAGGGAAAGTAGGAAAAGACAAAAGGGCAGTTTGTCGTCGGGGTGAGGAAGGAAGGAGGCTTCTATGTCCTACTCCACACAATCTTGGGAGAGCCCTGCAGAGAGGGGAAGGAAGTGTATCTAAACCCTTATGATTCAGCTCCTGAGTGGTGCTTATCCATATTTTCATTCTGAAATGGTCGCTTTGAAAGAGAATGATGAATGAACTAATTTAGTCTACCACAGGAAAACTAGAGAAAAGAGAAAATGCCTTGTAAAGGAGACCTACATAATCAAAGTCATGACTCCAGAACCATCTCACATTTGAAAAAGACAAACAAAACCATCATTAGCTAAGGAGTCAAGGGCTGTTTACTTTGGCCAGCCTATTTGTTTGGGATCAAACAATCAGGACTAACTTTTATTGCTAGGCAAGGCTCTGAGGCACTCTACTTCTACTGACTCATTTCATTCTCACATCCTGTTATTATCCATGCCATTCTACAAATGAGAAAACAGAGCGCCAGAGAGAGAGGTTAACCTGCCCAATGTGATACAGCTAGTGAGTGGGAGAGCCAGAATTCAGACCCAGGATATCTGGTTCCCGAACCACTGCTCAAAAGCACTAAGGTAAACCCCTCTTTGGCCAAAGCTGCCCTATAGGAGAGTTGTTGAACACATTGCACATTTGTTATAAGCAAATCATTCTAGGGATTATATATGCAATGGTAATTAATAATCATTACCAACATTAGCTTTTTTGTCACTTGTATTAGGCAGGATAGGCTAACTGCTGTAGCAGAAAATCCCCAAATCTCAGTGGCTTCACCCAACAAAAGTTTATTCTAACTCATTTCATTTTTCACTGTGGTCAGCAGGGGTGCTCTGCTCCACACAGTCATTCAGGAACACCTCCCATCTCTGCCATCCCCAGGGCTCTTGGAGTCCTCCCCTGGATGCTCTGCATCTGGCCAGCCAATGAGCAAGCAGAGAGAGAACAGGGAGGGCCCGGGAGAAGATTTCAGGAGCCACGTTTCCTTGGCTGGAACTCAGTCACATAGCCCCACAGAGACGTAAGGGGCTGAGAAGTATGGTCTCACTCGTGCTCAGAAAGAGAATATGGTGGGCATCTTGCAAAGCACTGTGGAAGAGTTTGTGGAAGAGACCTGGCAGGAGGGTAACCTGGGCCTCAGAAGACATTGGTTCTGGCCCTGGCTCTATTAGTCACCAGCTGGGTGATCTCCCGCAAGATGCAGTCTCTTTGGTCCCAGATTTCCCATCAATAAAGTAAGGTAATCAACCAGATGGCCCATTTCAGGAGTCTTCTAATCCAGAATGTTTACATGATAAAGCATCATTTTATTAAATAACCATGGTGCCTTAATCATTTTTCTATTGATGCTCTATTTGTGCTTTTGTTCAAAATTGCAACCATAATTATAACATCAATTCTGGGGGAAAATACTATCTATTTTCCTTTAATACTGAATATCTAGTTATGCATCATATATACTCTGGGGGGAAAAGAGAGCTTCCGACTTTGTATTAGGACTAGTTATTTGAAGCAATTCATTAAATTGGGGAAAATGTAGATACCTATTTCAGAATGCCTAGAGCTGGGTCTAAGTAATAAATGTAATGTTCTACAAGCAGATCATTTACTGTGATCAGACCATTTTTGTACAAAACAGTACTTACCTCTATTAGAGGGCACCTGAGCATGCCAGGTTAGCAAGGTGAGAACCATCAAGAAAATATATATCCAGAATAGCCAAGTTAATAACTACTGACTGAGGTTCCACTCTGTGCCCTCGCTGCCAGAGAGCCTTGGTTTCTGAAGTGTGTGATATTATCGTAACCACAGGGATTTTGTAAGGCAGTGTGGTTTGAGAGCTGGGGCAAGGTTTGGACAGGCAGGGTGGAGAGGCCTGGGGTTGAATAAGGTGTTTTAACCCCCCAAGAGAGATGGTGAGGAGTCAGGTAGAGACTGATGATTTTCCTGTTTTGGAAAGGAAAAAAAAAAAGAATATACATATACATTCCAGACTGAGAGCCCTCATAGGAGACTAGGGTTAGAAGAAGGAAAGTTGGGCACACCCAGGGACACCTCCTCTCATGTCCCTCTGCCTGAGAGTTCTCCCACCCATATCTGCTGGAAAACACCTGAGCCACGCCATCATCCCGCCCTTTCCGACCACCATCACCCTTGGCCCAGCTGCCACTTTCTGGACAACTGTGATCATTTCCTCCCCCTACACCCTCTCCCATCTGTCCTCTCACACGTCAGAGAGAGTGTTCTTTATGAAATCCACATCAATTATGTCCCCTCCTTGCTTAAAACCCCGTGGCTCTCACAGCAAACTCTAGCCCTCCACGTGGCTTACAAGGTCCTGTGGTGTGGG
The DNA here is from genome assembly GCF_000001405.40 of Homo sapiens. NCBI lineage: Eukaryota > Metazoa > Chordata > Mammalia > Primates > Hominidae > Homo > Homo sapiens. The sequence continues at coordinate 175,167,511 of NC_000001.11, read as the reverse complement.
GCTGCCATTCATGGGCCCTGCCATCCACCCTCACCCCACCACTGCTGCTGTCAGCTACCCTGTCCCTTCAGGTCCTTTTCAGGGACAGCAATGGGTCTAATTTGTTCATCTAATAAAAAGCACAATACAGGTATTGTTTGCCTATGTTTCCAGACTTTGGGGGGACACTTTACAGTGTATTAACAATTGAACTCATTCTTTAAATGTAGAGAACTTCACCTGAAAAGGTCTTGGAGGGTTGAAGAAAAGCCTATCAAGCATATTACTTGGAAATGCTTTAAAATAAGTTTATTTTGTGTTTCAAAACTTTTCAGACACCCTAGCCATGTGTTTGCTGTTTTTGTCATTCAGATCTTCTCTCAGTCATCCCTCATCAGAGCCTTCCTAACCTCCCTGTTTCCCCTTTCATAGCATCGTGGGGTCTTGTTCGTGGCACTCACCATAATTACACTTTCACACCTGCCTATATGGTTCTTTGATGAATGTTTGGTTTGGTTCCCACACTAGACTTGGAGCACAGAAAGGACAGGGATCTGGTTTGCTTGTCCTGGGTACAAAGTTCCCAGCAGGAGTAGGTTCTCTGTAATTAGTCACTGCACGATGCCTGCTCAGACACCAGTCATGATGGTCGTTTCTTTTCATTGCCTTCCCTCAACCTTCTCCAGGCAGGACCGCTGGCTGCTTCTGCCATGCTGCTCCCATGTCCCCCAACACAGAACTTGACCACAGAACTCATCACACTATACTTCTATTTTTATTTCTCCCCCTTGCTAGACTGGGCGGTGATCAGGATCTGAATGCACAGGGCGGGTGTTCAGCGATTGTTTACTACGTTGAACGTGACCTCCAGGAAAGCAGTTCTGGCCGAGATCCCCTGACAACGCAAAGCAAGAAGTAACGTGGAAGGAGGCTCCCCAAGCTGGCTGGCCATTTTGCTGCTGTGTGTGGAGGTAAACTTCATCCCCCGTCTCCTCACCCATGATTCTTCCCCTCATTTAGCACATGGCTCCTGTGCTCATAAATGAAGGTCGGCTGCTCAGCTTGCTTATTCAATTATTCCCAAACCTGACAATTGTCCAGAAACACTCTGGCTGCTTGCTACAAACATAAATTCCTGGGCCCATCCTAGACCCGACTGAATCAGAGTCTCCAGGAGCAGGCTGCAGGAATCTGTATTTTTAACTCCTTAAATGACTCTTCGTAGCCAACAGTCCATCCTGCTGTCACCTGGGATCCTGGGCAGAGGAGCTAAAGCAAGCACAGTGATCAGCGCACCCAAGGTAGAAAGCTCAATGGAGCTGTTTGAGCAAAGGCCCAAGGGGAGGTCTTTGCTCCCAACTGTCAGTTATAAAATGGCCCCCCACACAAATCCAGGAGTCAGCAGTCGCAGAAGAGGGGTCTCTTAAGGTTCTCATAGAGAACTGAACCTCCCACCTCCCCCTACAAGAAGGGTGGTGATTTGTACCATTTGGAGGTCACTCTGGAGTTGGTCTCAGGGATTCTAATTGGGTGCCATTGTGATCCTTATTATTAACCTTTCCAGAAAGTATTTACTGTCTCACAGACACTGTTCTAGAGCTTTACATTTATTATTTTGTCTAAAAAACAAGAACAATGAGAGGCTGATGCAGAATAGAACGCCCTGCTCCCTTCTTGGAGAGCACCGGAAGGAACAGCAGTGTCAGGGCCAGCCCTGGACACAGCCTGCAGTAGCTTTTGGCTCTCAGAGATTGAAGCAGACCTCCCTGTGGAATGACCCACCCCTGTAACACTTCCAAGGGTCCCAAAGCCTGGGAGGGAGGCTGGGGCCTGTAGATGGCTAGCTGCTCTCCTCCACCTCACCTATGAACTCAGCAATCCTCCAGGCACCTTCAGATGTTCCCCAAGCGACCGCTCTCCATCTGATTTCTGGATGCCAGAGTCTAGAGCAACAGCCACAGACCTACAGACCAACCATATTAGGGAGATTATTTCTGAAGACCTTTTCATTTCAATGCGGTGGGGACCCATGGTTCTTTGGCAATAGGGATTGGCTTGGAGGTGAGGAAGGAGGAAGAAAAGCCCAGCACTGGAATTAGTCCATTGTTATTTCAAGATAACTCACTATTTTATGGATTATATTTGTGTAAGTATTTTACAGTTACAGAATGCATTAAATATATTGAATCATTTTGATCCCCACAATGTCATTATGAGGGAAGATCATTAGCTTCATTTTGTAGCTGAGGTCTGGTTAACTTGCCAAGGTCATGCAGGTTGACCCAAGGCTCAAAACCAGGCCTTCTGGCTCTGGGATCACTGTTTCCCATCGTCACCTCATACATGGGTGGATAGAAGTTTGCGACAGAAAGAGTGAATGAATGATTCTGTCTCCCTAGCTAGATACTACAGAGGATATGGAGGTAAATAATATTTGGTTTCAAAAAAATTGAAAGAAAGTTTTCCCCTCTTCTCTGTCCTCTCGTCCACCCCCACAGCCACAATCAGACAGATGAGGTTGGTTGGCACCTATTGTTGGTCTTACAAAAATAGATGAATTACTTTTCAAGCATTGTCAGTGCTATTCAAAAGCTAACAAAAGGCTAGAGTGTACTTCCAGGGGCCGAAGTGTGTCTTCTTTTGCATTCCATGGAAGTTCTCACTTTTAATTCATGCCACTAAGGAGATATTTGATTGTTTTCTGGAAATGCTAATAATGCAAGACTCATAAATACTAATGAAACACTATAGATTAGCAGAGCTCAGCAAGTAACCTGGGGGGTGCCTAGAAAAGAATTCTTAGATTAAAAAATATAAAGAATACCTTTTAATCGAATTTTCCCCAGACTGGCTTCCCAAATGTTAATGAATACTCTTTGGCTGTATGGGGAGCAGCCTCAAATAAGTCCCTTTAGGAATCCAGAAGAGAATTATTGACTTAGCTTTAGCTTGAAAAGAAATCTATTTATTCAAAGGCCATTTTAGGTGCCAAGGGATGGATGAGTTTAAGACAAAGGTTGGGAGGGGTGGGAGGGCCCTAGATGTTGAGATAAACATATAATTCAAATGCATGCTTCTACTTCAGCCAACTAAGCAATCTAGTTTGGAATTTGCTTATTGTACTTGGCTTTTATGACTTGATCTATCAATAGTAATAACTCCCCTGGAATGGACGAGGCTTCCCGATGTCAGAAACCATATCTTTGTCATTCACTATTGAATTCTCAACACCCAACAGTGCATGAAACATATTAGGTGCTCAGTGAATGTTTGATAAACGGATAAGGAGATTTAAAGAACTTTCTTAACACATTTTCCAGAGTTCTTCAGATCTTGTTATCTTTTCCTGAAAGGCAGCTCTGATCACAACATTCTCCTGTTGTAAAGCCTCCAAATAAACGCAAACCCTATGACGGCCCCTCTACCATGGCCATGCCTACCTCCTAGTGTCCCTTCTCATCCTCTCTTCTCCCACCCTGAGCTCCAGGCTCACCAGAAGACCCCCTGTTCTCCTGCTCATGTTCTAGAAGTTTCTCTGCCTGGAATGTTTGAACATCCTTTTCACCTATATTTCTCTGTCAAAATACTACGCATCTTCAAGGTCGTCCCCCAGGTGGCTCCACCTTCATGAAAACTGACCTGATCTCCATGAGCTCGCCCTCCTTCCTTGCTGGCTGAACCCAGAGGGGCCCCTGTTACCCATCTGCTCCCTGTAGGAACAGCATAACCCCTGGCACAAAATAGTTGGTGAACATTTGTGGTGGTGGTGTTATCTAACGTGAATCAGGAAAGCTGTGAGTAGAATCAAATTAAAGAAAAGCACCCAAAGCCTTTCCACAACAGAGCAGAAAGATCCCAACAGACAGGGGCACAGACCCACTCAAGACTGAGGTAAAAGCAAAGGTCATTGCAGAGGGAGAAGGAAAATCCAGAAGAGAGATGAGTGGCCTGAGATACAGCATCACCGGGGCTTAGAAGCATGCCAAAGGCTGCTTTTCTCTACAGAGAGCCTGGCAGCTTGATGGTGTGTGGGCAGATCCATGGCATGGGCTGTTCCCAGGCCTCAGAGGGGCTTGAGCAGAGCCTTGGATGAGAGGACATGACTCCTCAGGATACTTTTCTTTGTTGCATGTTGAGTTTAAGTTCAGGCAGCCATATGCTTTCTATAAACCTGCACTTGGGCAGAACTTTGTTTTTATTTTATGTATCTTCATGCATTTGGGAAGGATCTAACAATGAGAAATAAATCTCTTTGCAGTCTTTCCTACAATAGACTGGGATAAGCATTTAAGTTAATCTGGGGAATAGCCAAATATTGTAAGATTCTGTAAATCCTGGGCTGCTTGCCAAAAATGGGTTAATTCCACACAAAGGAATAGGAGGCCACAGAGCAACGCCTGTGAACAGATCACTCCTTGCGGATCTGGAGCCAAACTCTCCAGAATGAGTGAGACCGGCTCTGGCACTCACTCACCGTGTGGCCTGAGCCTCCATCTCTTCAGCTGCAGGATGGGGGAACCACAGTACCTACTTCATAAGGGTGTCATGAAGATGAATGAGTTAATAGAGTGCCTAGAAAAGTGCCTGGTATATAATTACTGCTTACTAAAAGTTGGCTACAATTATTATTGTCATCCTATAACATTTCTTTGGGCTCCATGGACCAAAAGGCTCAGTAGTAGGTGCCAATTTGTACGCTTGCAAAATCTATGTAAATAATGCCATGAGAGGGTGGGATTACATGCCAGCAGACTAGGACTGAGGACAGCTGGGGCTTAGATAGGCACATGGGCACTGGGATCATGAGACATTGATAGAGCATGCTATCCAAGGAATTAGACTTCTGAGGACAATTGCTGGGGCATCATGTAGAAAACATCACCCAGGAGGGCTGCACATGTATGCAATGAAGCCTGAGCTGATCTTGAATTCCAGGCCCAGGTCCCCAGTGTTCCCATCCGTAGACACAGCTCACTCAAAAGATTAAATGCAGATGAAAATGATTAGAAAAGTATGAAGTGAAATGCAAGTATAAAGTGACATCATTGTCATCCTTAGTTCCTCTGCTTGCCTGGCAGCCTGCGGAGAGTGCTGAACCCATTGTCCAGAGGTCTGGGTGGGTCTGGGTGGGCCTGTGTGGCCTGGGTGGGTCTCTATGGCCTCAGACATGTCACCTCACTGCTCTGGACCCCAGATTCTTTATCCTTAAGTGAGAGAGTTCATTGGGATGATCTCTGGAGTGTCCATCCTGAAAATCAACCACTCCTTAATATTTGGGTCCTGGAGAATGTCTTACACCAACAGGCCTCTTAAATTTCCTTGAATCATGCCTGTCCTTGAAGTCTTGTTTGTACACAAGAACCTGTAATTCCAGAATGGAAGGCAGCCTCTAAGACCTTATACTTGAGAGCTGAGCTTTAAGATATATGTGGAGGGGTGACCAGGGAAGAGGGGCAGCTCTGTACAAGCAACCAGGAGAATGGCCCCAGCTGTATGCTGAGTTCAGAACAGGAACAGGGAGGCACCCAGGAACCTCACTCTGGTTTCCAAGCACCATCACTAAGCAGCCTGCAAGGACTCCTCTCCCATAGAGAAGAAAGAGAGCAGGAGACTTTGGAGTATTTGGTCAAGGAATAGAAAACATAGAGAAGGGTAATGAGGAAGAGGAAGGTAGAAGGTAGAAAGTGGAAAGCCAGCAAATGGTCACCCCTGGTTCTCTCAGCCTTGGGAGGAGAGGACTTCTCAGGCACAGGAATGTGATATAAGGAGGGGAGGAGACATGGAGCAGGGAAGAGATCATGAGGGGACAGCACGGAAAGCAGGCATGGGGCAGGATGAGGACTGATGACCTCTTAGCCCAGAGGAGACCCAGGTTCCCTACTACAGACAGCAAGAAGTAGACATCTCACTTTGTGCTTAAGCTTCAATAAGCTTTGAAAATGGCAAGTTATGTTAATAAAAGGTTACATACAGACCTGTCCTGTGGGGAGTGTGTGTTCAACATCTGTCAGGTGAGCTACAGTGGAAAAAAGATTGAGAACTGCTGTTGCAGAAGGGTCCAGGGAAGCAACCCCTTATCAGAACACTGAACACACACATTGATTCATTTATCCAACAACTACTGAGAACTTCCTACGTGCCAGACCTGATATACTATTCATTTTTATATCCTAAGCCCAATATAATGTGTGTACATAGCAAGAATTAGTTGATGCTTATTGATTACATGCATGCATTTATCTTGTTTATTGAGTCAATACAAGTTTACTGAACCCTGGAAATCTTCAATTCCTTCCCCTTTCCTAAGCCTAAAATCTATGACACTATTAAAATTGTAGACCAGTCCCCCTGCATTTCTCTTCAGTTGTCTGTTTTAATCTCTTCAGGTGCTGCCAGTGGCATGCCCAAACCCAAAGCTGGAAGAGGAATAAATTACAAGTGGTCAAGGTTGCATCCTTTTGAGCCCAGGACCTGCTTGTAAGCCGAGAGGGTTCTCTGGCCCTAATCTAGCCAAGCACCATGGAGAGAATCAGTGCCTTCTTCAGCTCTATCTGGGACACCATCTTGACCAAACACCAAGAAGGCATCTACAACACCATCTGCCTGGGAGTCCTCCTGGGCCTGCCACTCTTGGTGATCATCACACTCCTCTTCATCTGTTGCCATTGCTGCTGGAGCCCACCAGGCAAGAGGGGCCAGCAGCCAGAGAAGAACAAGAAGAAGAAGAAGAAGAAGAAGAAGAAGGATGAAGAAGACCTCTGGATCTCTGCTCAACCCAAGCTTCTCCAGATGGAGAAGAGACCATCACTGCCTGTTTAGTTAGGCAGGAAGCAGAGGTGTTTCCTTTCTGGGGCTAAGCCTCCTTCTGACCACACACAGACATTTCAGGAACCCCTGAAATAATGCACTATGTCCATGTCCACAGAGTAACTACTCAACCAAGGAACAAACCTCAGACTAAGTGTCCCAGTGGAGGGCAGTCCCAGGGACCACGTGGACAATTCTTGGATACTGTCTTGGCAGCTATGTGTCCAATAGCAATGCTCCTTACTGCAGACCCAGGCATGCCTCCCACCTGTCTCTGGCATACCCCACATGCAAAGCACAAAGAACATTTATCCATACATCTCAATATGGTTCCCAAGTGTGTGCACATGCACGTAACACACACACACACAAATTCAGGTAGCAGGTACGTGGGCAAGTATATTCTGCTCATCAAATGGTCATTGGCTATGTACTTTGTGCAGGGAAGTACATTATCTACAGTCACAAAAATGTCTCATGGGAAAGCCTTGCCAGATTCAGACACATATATACAATTTCCTAACCAGCAAGGCCCCCATACACCATCTATTCCATAAACCACTCAGGTTACAGATGCATGCTTTCCTATTTCTAACTCTACACATAAACTTTTACTGGAAGTACTCATAATTGGACATTCCAGCAACCTGCTACAGTCCCCACCCTTGTGTGTCTTGATACAGACACACCAAGTTTCTGTGCCTCTGACCCCTCACCTGTGCCAAGATGTTTAAAGTGTGATGGTTCAAAATTCATTGAAAGCTCTTTTCTTGTAACTCATGACAAAGTCCGTCCTCATTGCCACTGAGAGGTGTTTAATGTGATCCAAGACCTCTCTGTGAAACATTACCCCCGCAAACCACTCAGCAAAGTGCCTTTCTCCAAGCAAGAACAAAGAGCTCTTGGTGGTGACTGCTAGAAAATTATGGAAGCCCACTCATTTATGTCAGTGGACTGCAACTGTGTACCTGTGCAATGTTTACAGATGGAAAGGGTGAGGAGATGCTACACCTGAGCTAGGTATCTCCTATATAACCAAAGTTTCCAGCAGGGAAGGAACTAGACAATCATCAGTGCAGTCTCACAGAAGGCAACACTGGAAGTGATGTCATAAGGTTGTGATGTGTGCACGGTATGGCACAGGTGGGATGCAGAGGTAACAGAGTTTAAATGAAAGTAGGATGAAGCTATAAAGAGGTTTATTTATATTTATATTGAAGCTCAGGCAAGTGCCTTGCACACAGTAGGTACTTATAACTAACTGTGGTTACTGTTGGATATGTGATGTTGTTAAGGGTAAGCTTGTAATACCTCACCAGTTCTCCCCGAGTGATCTTCTCTTCTAAGTGAGCCCACTAATTGCTGCAATGGATGAAATTGGGTGTTTAATGCTGGAGAGCACATGTAGGTGACACATGTGCCTTGAGGTATGTGAGGACATGTAAATTAGATCCACAGTGAGCTGAGGAGGGCTTTCCCCGCCAGAGTGAGGTTGGGAAGCAGAGTTAATCCACTTATAGGATGAACTGCTTGGTATTTTTATTGTATTGTGACTGTATTACAAAGATGGACAATTCACTCCTTGGGAGCAAGTTATGCTCTAGAAGTTTATTTACAAATATGCTGGGCAGCTCTCTTGAAATATTTTCCCAAGGAAGCTATTCTACACAGTGGCAAAATTGCTATCTAATTAATAATGTAGCTAAACTATGATATTTATAGTAGCAAAAAACTAAATTCTATAAGATTGCATTAAAGGAAAGATATATTCTATTTGCTCACTTGGGCTGCTTGGTACTCACCTGCCCTCCAGGTGTACTTTAGGCCTGTGGAGGGTGGGCATTTAGTGGTGACCCTTGCACCAGGGTTTTCTAACAGATGACCCTGTGAATCATAATTTAAACCTGCATATATTTTATAGCCAGTCACATTTGCCCTCTCACCCTATATGGCCATAAACTGCCTAAGCACTCAGGCCTCCCACTCATCAACCCCTTTGACCAGAGAAAGAAGCACTCTGGTTCTCTATCCCCTTGTCACATAGAGAGTTTGTCATGGGGCCTCTGGCTGTGCCCTTCACATAACAGAATGACTTGCCATCTGCCTGCACCAAACCCAGGGATGTGGAAGACATCTCCCCACAACTGCCACTGCTCACCAGGACAAGCTGCCCTTCCTGTCTCCACCTCTCAGTCCCCCTAGAATGGATGGCTGGGGAGAGGTGGAGGCTGACAGCTGAGACGTAGTGTCAGATATGATCTAGGAGGGCGGATCACCGGGATCCGGGACCATACAAGTAACATGGTTTCCATGGCAACTGCTTGCTCCTTTGAATTAAGACAGCAGTCAGTTGTCATTGCCATGACAAGGCCTCTATCTCCAGGCACAATGTCCCTGCTGTCTCCTAATCCAATGGACTTGCTCTCACCCCAGGGATGAAACACCCAGAAACTCACTTCTCAGTCACTTCCACAGCCGATGACTCAGAAGAGCCAAACCCAGAATGGGGCCTCTCTTTTCCCCATCACAGACTCCCCTGACAACCTTTCCTGGCGTAACTAGAGGAGTCCCAGTGCAGGATAGGCCCTAAACGTTTTGTTAAATAAACAGGTGCATGAAAGGAGCCTAAGGCCATTGTTGATATCCACTCTCTTCTTTCCACTTCCTTCTCATCTTTTTCTCCATGTTTTATGCTTCTCTGATTCCCTCTTCTGCCTGCACCAGACCAGCCCCAGCCCTTTATTCCTCTCCATTTTCACTCCTTCCAGCCTCTGTCCCTGAACTGCCACTGGCAACCCATGGGACCTCAGGACCAGAGACTGCTTGACTCATCTGGGGAGGGTAAGTTCACGGGGGACAAAAAAATGATTCCTAAAGAAGAGGCTTCCTAGACCAGCACAGGCTCGAGAAAGACATCCCCTAGGCCTGGACTTCTGAGCAGCTTTAGCCAGGCTCCGGACGGCAGCCAGAGGAGGCCTTTCCCCATTGCTCCTTTCCCCATTGCTCAATGGATTCCATGTTTCTTTTTCTTGGGGGGAGCAGGGAGGGAGAAAGGTAGAAAAATGGCAGCCACCTTTCCAAGAAAAATATAAAGGGTCCAAGCTGTATAGTATTTGTCAGTATTTTTTTCTGTAAAATTCAAACACACACAAAAGAAAAATTTATTTAAATAAAATACTTTGAAAATGAAAAGTCTTGATGTAGTCAGATGGTTACTCTCTTAACATTAGGTATTACCCCCACTCAGACATCACTCAGAAATGATCAATGCAGGGACTCTTTCTGTGACACAAATGTCCCAGCCCTCCCTGGTCACCGCCTTCGCCATGGTAGAGTCATAGGTCTGAGGATGAGGAATGTGGCTGTCTCACCCTTGCTTGCAAAACAGATGGCCTTGGAGACCAGACTCCCTCAAAGGTGCCAGCTACAGGAAAAATATACTGATGTTCCTTGGCAACACTTACAGAACTTTCCATCAATGAGGTCCATCAATGGCTTCTTAAAGGAAAAGGGGGGAAATAGCAAAAACCTAAGGAAGAATGGACCTTTGAGTTAAATCCAGTGTTTGTTGGGAAAGGAGGGATCAAAAACCTCTATAGTAGCCACTAGGGCAAAAACTGTGTGTATGTGTGTGTGTAAGTGTGTGTACACTGTTCAATATGGTTCAATATGGTACCAATAGCCACATGTGACTATTTAAATTCATTGCAATGAAATAAAATTAAAGGTATACTAGCTCAGCTATGTCTGCCATATTTCTTTTTTCTTTTTTTTTTTTTTTTTTTTTTGAGATGGAGTCTTGCTCTGTCATCCAGGCTGGAATACAGTGGTATGATCTTGGCTCACTGCAACTTACACCTCCCGAGTTCAAGTAATTCTCATGCTTCAGCCACCTGAGTAGCTGGGATGACAGGCATGTGCCACCATGCCCAGCTAATTTTTTTTATATTTTAGTAAAGATGGGGTTTCACCATACTGGCCAGGCTGGTCTTGAACTCCTGGCCTCAAGTGACCCGCCAGCTTCCCAAAGTGCTGGGATTATAGGCATGGGCAACTGCGCTTGGCCATGCCAGCCACGATTCAAGTGCTCAGTAGCTACACGTGGCTAGCGGCTGCCATCCTGGACAGCATAGGTCTATGATCTTGGGGGCAGGGTCAGACACCTGGGAAAAACAGCCATGCTGACTGGATTTCAAGGAGGGCTTAAGAAGGAAGGCCTAGAGCACAGGTGGACTCTTTGCCTTATCTCGCCCAAGGCAGGTTATGTCTGTAGTTCAGATGAGTTCATTCCTGGGCTCCCTTCCCCATCACCACACACTCATGACAACCAGAGAACAGAGACTCTTCATTCAGCTCCTTGTTCATCCACCCAGGACATTGCTAAACATTCTGGTGCAGAGGAGGAACTGATGCTCAGAAACCATCTGGGAGGGGAGCAGCTGCTGCACCCCTGAGGGGATGCCAGTGCTCAATGCCTGCAGCCGCACCTGCCCCGGCTCCATCCTGGCCTTGGGGTATAATATGGATTTGGACAATGAATGCCATCACGTCCTTAGCATTCTCAGTTTATCACAGCACTCTGCACTGGCCCCTTGCCCGTTGACCTTAGTAGTATTTCCCAATTCAAAGTCACAGGTTTACTGGACTGGAAAAAAATCCCTTCAACCCGCTTTCTGTCTTAGACTCAAAGGGTTGTTTTCAAACACCTGTGTGGGCAATGTCACACTATATTTCTTCAGGAATGGCTGTGACTGTGTACCTCCAGCCCTCTTTTGAGGCTGTTCATCCCATTAACATTTCTGACTGTTTACTATATGCCAAGCACGCTAGGTGCCAGTGATACTAAGTTGTCCTAGAGGGGCTCAGAACCTGGTAGGGGGGCACAGACAAGCAAACCATGACAAGACAGTGTGGCCATTGCTTCCTTAGAGGGAAGCTCCCAGGCTGGCTTCAGGACAGGCCGGGGGAGATCGCCTAGGAGGTGTCTAGAGACTTGCACAGGAAGAAACTGAGAAAGGAGGGCCCCAGCTGCACAGTCTACAAAGGCAAGTGCACCCTGGAGTAGTGATGCAGGCAGACAGGATGATGGGGACGATTCAGAAACCATCAGGGCTCTCTGGAAGCCATAAGTGCAGTGAGCTAGGACTCATGACTAGGGTTGTCCCAACCCTGATGCTAACTCCGACTCTCACTAGTTATGTAATTTGGACCCATGGCTTAATCTCTCTGTAAGACTTACCTGCTAAATAAAGCTAATGAGAGTAGCTACCTCATAGGGAGCATTAAATGATCGTGTGTACAAAGCATTTAGCACAGGACGTGGCTTATATTAAGTGCCCAATAAATGTTACTTATTATTATTAAGGGTTGAAGGAAAACCGTGAGAGAGCTGTGTCCTAGGAACCAAAGGAAAAGAAATTTCCAAGAAGAAAGTGATGGTCCATAGAGTCAAATGATGCAGGCAAATCGAATGAGATAGGGATTGAAAATAATTAGCATTTTCTATTCCCCATGGTGTGATGTGTTCCCTAATTTCACCACATACTGCACTATCTACAGGATTACCAATACTCCATGGATTAAGGTCTGCAGATTTGCAGATTAGGCAAGGCTGCCTAATTATCTGTCCCGCCTCTGCCCACAACGAAGTCGCCCCAGCTTGTCAGTGCCACCTGGTGGCCAGATCAGGAGAAAGCGTGAGTCAACATCTTTTTCACCTTAGAAGTGTTTCCTGGAGAACATCCATCTAGCTAGTTCACCTGTTCTCAAATTAAATGTGCAAAAGAGTCACCGGGTTTTATGTGAAATTCACAAATCTGTCAGGGTCCGGAATGCCGTGCTCATGTGACATATGGGGGATTTCCATAAATCATAGGTCTCAACTGTTGTTACAAACATATTTTGGTGAAGTGTTCTATATATAGCCTCACTACAGTAAAGCTTCCCTAACCACACAAGTCTTGCCCATTGCAGTAAGACTAGACCACATTGCAATTGTGTGTTGCTTCTATTCCCAGCACCCCACCCCTATTTTGACCCCCATTAGAATTAGCTTTATGAGATTAGAATTAGAACTGTCTTATTCACTAGTATATCTTCAACACCTAGCATGGAGCCTGGCACATACTATATGCTAAATAAATGTGTTGATTGGGGGAAATAAACACTGAGGTGTTTCTTAAAAATGCAAATTCCCTGTCTCTCCCTGCCCTTCTGGCTGATTATTAAGTCTAGGGTGATGCCAGACAACCTGCTCTAATAAACACCAGGTCAATGCAGGTGGTCCCTGAACCACACCTTGAGAAATACTATCAAAACAACAAAAGAACTGTGTACGGTCAAATAAGTTTGCAAACACTGCATAGTATAACTTTCCCACTTCACCCCCTTGGGATCTGCAACGCATTTATCACATTAAAGTTTCTAGCAGGTGCTGTAATAAAGAATTTGGTTTAACTCCCCTTAAAATTTTCCCAAATTTATTTAACCACAAGCCTCTTTTTCTTTTAGCACATCTGGAGGAACAAAGATTCAGGGGCCACCATTTGGGAAATGCTGCCATGGAGGGCTAGTACGCACTCCACACATCCTTTGCTCCTGACTTCCATGGAGGGCTGGTGCGCACTCCACGCATCCTCTGCTCCCGTCTTCCATGAAGGGCTAGTGCGCACTCCGGCGTCCTCTGCGCCTGTCTTCCATGGAGGGCTAGTGCGCACTGCGGCGTCCTCTGCTCCCGACTTCCAAGGAGGGCTAGTGCGCACTCCACGCGTCCTCTGCTCCCATCTTCTATGGAGGGCTAGTGCACACTCCTGGCATTCTCTCCTCCCATCTACCATGGAGGGCTAGTACACACTCCAGGCATTCTCTGCTCCTGTCTACCACGGAGGACTGGTGCGCACTCCACCGTCCTCTGCTCCCGTCTTCCATGGAGGGCTAGTGCGCACTTCGACGTCCTCTGCTCCTGTCTTCTATGGAGGGCTAGTGCGCCCTCCAGGCATTCTCTGCTCCTGACTTCCATGGACTGCTAGTGCGCACTCCGATGTCCTCTGCTCCCGTCTTCCACGGAGGGCTAGTGCGCACTCCGGCGTCCTCTGCTCCTGTCTTCTATGGAAGGATAGTGCGCATTCCAGGCATTCTCTGCTCCTGACTTCCATGGAGGACTAGTGCACGCTCCACGCGTCCCCTGCTCCCGTCTTCCATAGAGAGCTAGTGCGCACTCCACGCTTCCTCTGCTCCTGACTTCCACTACAGACTCAGTCAATGTCATCTCCAGAGGAAACTGTTTCTGCAGTGTATACAGATTCTCACTAACCTTTATGAACCTTTCTCTTTTACTCTTCCCTTTCTCTTTTACTCTTCCCTTTCTCTTTCTTCCATTTGCAACCCATAATAATCCTGTTGGTGGCTATTCATAGCAAATATGTTTTAGAGCTGCTAAAGAGACATCTCTATCAAAAGAAAAAAAAGAAAAAAAGAAAAAGTTTTAAATGAAAATATGAAGACTGAAGATCCAAGCCCACTATTTTACCATTCCAGAGTGCCTTCGTACATAAAAACCACTTTCATTATTTCACTTGATTCTCACTTTATAAATGAAGAAAATGAGGCCCAGAGAAGGTAAGCCAGTTTACCCAAAACTGGAATAGAAACCCAAGTCTTCAGACTCCTACCCCAGTGTTCCTTCTGCACACCAGGCATCGAGATCCAGGCCAATCTGATCTTGGCTCCTCAAAGACTGTTGAACTTGTAGACGCCCCTCCCTTGAGTTGGAAACTTACAGAACACAATCAAGGGTCTTCCCATAAGCCTTTAAAGTGCCCAAATGCCTCCTTTATATGTCCCACAGCAAGCCTCATCTGCCTCCTTCTCCTTCTCTAATTCAACCTAATTTTCTTCACTTACCAAAATAAAGAACTGTTTCCATTCCATTTTGTTTCTTTCTTTTATTTAAATTACAGTACCGCAATACTGTTGTTTCCTATTTTTCATTATACATACACTGCAACTCATCTATATTGTAGAGTAAACAGAGTTTTATGGGCTAACCTGAGAACCTACCTTCTTTATATAACATTATAATTGGAACTCAAATAATTTCACCCACAGAAACAGCCAACTGACAGAAGGAATTGGAGAAGTGAATTCATTTGCAAATTAGGAGCTGCCTGAAATCTCTCCCAGGGGTGCCCCCCTTCACCTTTCATCAGGCTGACAACCTCTATCCGCCTTTCCTCCCCAGCAGCCCAGTGCGCCGGGTCTGGGGATAGAGTCCAATCTCACCAAGCAATCTCCTCAAGGTTGTTCCCAGTTATTTTTTGCGCATTTGTCCAGCAAGAACGCTGCCTAAGAAACCACCAAGTGCAGGCCCAATGTTAAGCTGGGCCTCACCGACTGACTCTCCAGATAGCATCACCCAGGAAAAGAGAAAAGTGGGGACCTAGCCCCCAGAACTCCCCTTTATAGAAGAGAGAAGTGGCGCTGAAATGAGAGGCTCCCGACAGGACAACACTGCCATCTCCTGGCCAGGCTGAATATAGCAAACCTCTTGCACTAAGCTGCGGTCCCAACCGTATTGATCAGCTCCGTATTGACATGAACTCCCTCCTGATCCCCTCCACCACCCTAGCGAAGCGCTTGAGGTAATGACTTGGAATTTCTTTTTTTTTTTTTTTTTTTTTGAGACGGAGCTTCGCTCTTGTTGCCCAGGCTGGAGTGCAATGGCTCAATCTCGGCTCACTGCAACCTCTGCCTCCTGGGTTCAAGCATTCTCCTGCCTCAGCCTCCGGCGTAGCTGGGATTAGTGGAGGGCCTTTTCCATCAACTGGCTAAATTTCACCAAGAGTTTCTCGCTGTTATACTTGTTTTTCCTTCTGCCATGCCATCCCTTCATCTGCATGTCCCCTGTCCACATCTCCTCACACACCACACCTGGCCTTTTTCCTTCCTCAATCACAATTTCTGGAGGCATTTTCTATCTTTCTCCTCAGCTCCTTCAGCATTTCCTGGCTTTAATCATCTTTAAATCCCTGAGAATTCAAATTTTAAACGCAGAGCTTTTGATCTCATTTGACAAACATAAACTCTGGGACCCTATTCCCAGAGGAAGCCACTGTCAGGAACAACCAGCTCTAAGCTCTGACATGAAACGACCCATCTCTTGCCTGTACCACCCATCCTCCTCAAAGCCCACCATTCCTTCTTCCTGGATATCTCACTAATCTAGACCCTCCTCCCCTTCTCCACCATTTCTGCCACAGGCCAAGGAAGTTATGACCGCTTGCCTGAACTATCACAATAGCACTCAACTTGCCTGTGAGTCCCTATCCTTCCTCCAAAACTTCCCTCAACACCCCCAGCCCTGTTGTCTATCCTATCACCAGACTGATATTTCCGAAATATACATCTGACCTTGTCACTCTCAGGTTTAAAAACCTGTGTGTTCCCCACTTTCCACATGCTTTCATCTGAGCAGTGGCTCTCAAGCGTGGTCTATGTTGGAATCCTTGGGGGCACTTTAGGAAGCTCAGGTGCACAGAACTCACCTGATACCCACTGGAGCAGAGCCCGTTGAGGGGAGTGGAGCTTCTGTACCCATGGAGGCCCCCTGCCGCCGCCGACAGGTAGTGAGCGCTGAGAACCTCAGTACTGGCCTGGCAAAGGAAGAATCCCCACTCATCTCACCAGCCTGGCTCCCCACCAAGCTCTCCTCACCCCAGTAAGAAACCACTTTGCCCCCCTCAGACATGCCACACTCCACACTTTCTCTTCCTTGCTGCCAAGTCTCCTGTACCCGATGGGCCCCACCCCTCTTGGGCCTCTTTTTTCTCCCCCCAGAACTCATCCTTCCAGACTTAAAGCCGACATCACATCCCCGTGAAGCTCTCTCCCTTGGCACCCCTGGCAGGATGAGTCACCCTGACTCTGCCCACAGTGTTCAGTCCACCTCCCTGTGGACTCACTCTCCCCAGTTTGTTTCCATGGCTGCCTCTGCCACCACTCCAAGAGCTGCTGGAAGGCCACATTTGTGTTCTGTTTATCACTGTCTTGCTCATGTCCTGCATAAAAGGCAACACTTTGGAAACTTTACCAAGACTTCTGTCTTTGCATCTACCCTAGTGCCTGGCTTGCAGCCTGTGCCTTCTATGAGAGCTTTTGTTTGCTTTAGTTTGTTCTAAAGGGTAGAAATCGTCCCTGTAAGCTTCAAAACCTTGATGGCTCATAACCTGGTTCTAAGAAAATTGACTCTCTCTAAAAAGCAGGTCTATCCAGAAACCCATTCCACGGGCCCATATTCAGCTACCAGATTGGAAGTTGTGAGCACTGGTCACGTTAAAATGAGGTTAGGCATGGAAGTTTCAAGTTGGAATGTTTTCCTCAGTCAGACAGAGGCCCTTTGAAAATGAGTTTCTCTCAACTTCCTTCCTGGTCCCCAGTAGAACCTTTGAAGGGTCAGCTGAGGTTTTCTTCACCCGCTCCTTTGTGCACCATGGGTCCTACAGGCAAAATAATGTAAGAAATAGCTCCTGTTTCCCAAAAGTCCTCCTCTTGCCCAGTGGTGGAGAAACCCTGGGGTCAATGAACACAGGGGTGTGTGTTTTGTAATTTGCTACCATCACAGGCTCCTCCAGAGCAAAAAGACCACCGGCGGCTCCCCCACACCACAGCTACTCAGAGTGGACACCACTCCAGCAGCAGCCCTCGGCCCAGACCTACTTAACTAGAGCGTCTGGGGAAGGGACCCCGTGATCTCTGTGTTAACAAGCATGTTCAAAGTTGAGAAGCATTGCCAACAATCACCATCCTTGGCTCGAAGTCAATTTCTGGGATTTAATCCATTTTGCAAAGGAGGCACTTTTCTAAAAACCCTGGATCACTGTGATGAGCCCAAAGCTTCATAATTACGAAGCTGAGTACCCCACATGCAAACGGGGTCACGGAGCAGCAGAAGGGAATTCCAGCCAGGTGCGGCGGCTAGCACCCGTAGTCCCATCTACTTCCCGAGTCAAGGCTGGAGGATCATTTGAAGCCAGGAGTTCAAGACCAGCCTGAGCAATATAGCAAGAGCCTGCTATATATCTATAGATATAGACATAGATATAGATATAGATGATATACATATAGATACAGATATAGATATAGATGATATAGATATAGATAAAGATATAGATATAGATGTATAGTTGGGCATGGTGGCACTCGCCTGCAGTCCCAGCTACTCAGGAGGCTGAGACGGGAGGATTGCTGAGTCCAGGAATTCAAGGCTACAATGAGCTGTGGTCACACATTGCACTCGCCTTTTTTTATTCCCTATATTCTTCCTCACAACACCAGAAATTAAAAGGGAGAGATTTACACTGTTTTCCTCACACAGCCTGGGTGACAATAAGACTCCATTTCTATTAAATAAAACAATTAAAAAACTACAAAAATGTTTTTAAAAGAAGAGAATTTGAGGAGAAGACTTGGAACTGGGAAGTTGTGCAGACAGACCTTTAAGACAGATGAGACCAGCCTGGGTAAGATAGCAAGACTCCATCTCTACAAAAAAGTAAAAAATTAGCTGGGCACAGTAGCATGTGCCTGTAGTCCCAGCTACTCAGGAGGCTGAGGCGGAAGGATTGCTGGAGCCCAGGAGTTCAAGGCTGGAGTTCAAGTCTGCAGTGAGCCTTGATCATGTGAATATACAGCAGCCTGCAAGACAGAGAGAGACCCCATTCAAAAAAAAAAAAAAAGGCAGACAAAGAAATTAGCTCAGGCTCAGGCCCTGATAAAGTTAGATCAAGACTAGGAGAAATTTGGTCAATTTCTGTAAACATCTCCTCCTCAGAGAGGCTTCATAGTCCAACACCATGCAACACCTTCATCTTCTCATCCTACCTTTTCTTCCACGGCATTTCCCACTTCTTGTAACCACACATTTATTTGTTGCTTAATGTCAGCCTCCACCATGAGAATATTAGCACAAGGACAGGAATATGATGTTATGTCCTTGATTAACACCAATGCTTAGAATGGAACTTGGCACATAATAGGGCTTCATCTCTATTCGTTGAATGAGTGAATGTAAACGAATGAATGAATGACAGCACACAAGCTCCATCAATACAAGGATAGTGTCTATCTTGCTCACCTTTGTTTCCCCAGTGCCCAGCACACTGCTTGATACAAAGCAAACAACAAACTCTTGTTGAATCAATTAATAACATGCAAGCACATTTTTTCATCGTCAGCATCAACACTAAAACTGTATTTCACTGAGACCACTCATTATCAGAGCGAGCAGTTACCATGGCATTGCTCAATGTGTGTGTCTGGGGAAGGAAGGCACCAGAGGGGGATGCTGAAGACTTTAAAGGTTGACAGAAACGGTTTCAGGGGTATGGTTTGACATTCACCCAGAGGTTAAAACCTGGAGACATCTAGGCAATAGACTACACCCTCGTCCTGGAGGGGTACGGCAGCTTTTGGAGCATTCGCCTTACTTCCCATTCACTCACTTCTGCATTCTAAATACCATTATTTCCCATCATGCAAATCAGAGTCCACAGCCAACCAAATTCCATTACAATGCACGAATTGTACCTTCACTTGCATGTAGGTTAAATTTAGAATTCAAGTGCACTTACGTGGAGGAAAATAACACATGGCAATTTTTTTTTAAATCAAGTGGTTTATTATTTTTTTTCTTCAATAGGAATTTAAGTTACTTCATTGGTCACTGATTTTGCTACAGAAAACCCTCCAAAGTGATAGAAAATAAGCAAAAAGGATCTGATCTTGCTAACTGTCCGATCAAACAGTAAGACTCACGGTGCTGAGCACTCCCACAAAACCCAGGGCTCCAATAGTGCAGGGCGGGGAAAAGAGGGAGTCTGAGGCCTGGTGGGCATGAATGGGAGTTGCAGAAGAGTCTTTGGGAGGAACCAATTATCAAGACAGTCAAATTATTCAAAGTTGAAATGAGTGAGAATTTATTCACAACATATGCAGCTCTATGGACGCAATTATGCAAATGACTGAAAAGAGGGCACTTAAAAATAGCAGTAAGGCGGCAGCTTTGGTCTCCAGCATGCTGGATACAAGTCAGAACTTAGCTAAACATGAGTCCATCTTAGCCCCTTTTATCCCCTTTATTCTTCCTCATAACACCAGAAATTAAAAGGGGGAGGTTCACACTGTTTTCCTAAAAACCCAATGGGAAAGGAGGTGACAAACGTCCGGTTGTCTCAGCCCTAACCCCTGGGTCATCAGAACTCCTCCTCTGTGCTTCTTTCCAGAGAAAAGATTTGCATTAGCAGAACTTTAAATACATAGATGTAAATTTCCAGAGATTTCCAACTGGTGAAGTGCTGGGTGATTCCTTCTCTTGCCCTAATCCAGTATATATGTTGCTGAAGATAAGCTGAGAAACCTTGCCGTTCCAGTACTGTCTTTCCTACACATACTGTGCAACTACTATTTTGATTTTCAAGACCCTCATAAAGACGGGCAAAAATGCAGGTGAGAGGGAAGGAACCTCCATGGCTTGAAGCTTGGTGACATGATTTGTTCTGCGGGCTATCTGAGCACTCCCAGACCGCAGTGACCACTACCCACCCCGCCCCAAGCTGCCACAGCTGGTGGTGTCTCCTGCGAGGACTGCTCACACGGGCCATCAGAACGTTCGCAGCCTTCCTCTCAGCGTCCGCTTCTTTCTGCCCAGGACAGGCTCCCTGCTGTAGCCATGAGGGCGGATTTTCAACTCCACGTAAGGAATGGAGAATTCATGTCCTTTCCAAGGCTCCCAGTTCACCCCCTACCAAAAAAAAAAAAAAAGCCACATCAAGAAGAGGCTCTTAGGAGGAGGGCAGGGTGGGTTATGGTACAAAGGAATTAATTAATTAATTAATTACCAGTGAAACCACTCCCTCTCTGCTCAGGAGAGAGAAAGAGACGGGGTGATGAGAAGGGAGGGGAGGGCAGGATCCGGACACACGCGCCCTCTGCTGGGCAGCTGGGGTTAGACGGGCTGAGAGGACTTGGACGATTTGGAAGCTGGCGGTCTCTATGGTGGGAGCAAGGGGGTGTGAGCCCGGGAGCTGGGTGAGGCCAGAGCAGCCACAGAGACAACACAGGGGTCAACCGGGCCGGCAATGGGCAAATTATCTTTCCTTCACTCTTTTCCTTTCCAAAAAATTAAAGGCAAAAATAAACATATTAATTGGCCAGTTGTGTAAAATCATTTTCAATTTAGACTGTTTAGATATTAGCTCTGGGGTAACAAATAGCCTGCTGAAAACTAAATTTCATTTTATTTCTTTTGACTGGTGAGCGCAATAATATTTAATTCACTTAATAACCCTGCAACCTGGCCAATAAAAAGCCCAAGTGACCAATTTTATGTATTTTAATTTGTGAGGTAAATAATAAACAAGAAGCTAAATGCCTTGCAGACTGTGAAAAGCGCATTAAACAGATGAATGTCTTTTATTAGCAAATATGGGATGGTTCAGGGCATCCTGGCTGCTCGTTTCCAATATTTGATCTCCTATCCCTGGCTTCCCTGAGTCAGCCCACACGCTGCCACCATGATTCATGGGCCCACCCTCCCCAGCTTCCCTGGGGGCAAATTTCTTCTTCCCTTTGAAAAATCACATAAAGATTGGGAGTCCCGAAGACTGGTCAGGGCCAAAGTAATCAAAATGTACCTGGACTTCGGATGTGCTAATATTTACAGTAATATTGGTACAAGGTGAGTTCTGAAGAGGTGGCTTCCTGGAGGCTTAGGATCAGGGCTGCAGATGGGAAATTAGAAACCTAGGATGGGGACTCAGCGTTTGTGGAGGGGAGAGGATTAATGACGAGCAGAGACAAAGATGCAATTTTCAAGAAACTGTGAGGGAGCAGGTGGGAAGTGCCCCGCAGCTGTCAAAGAGTCAGGATGATGCACTGGGGCAGAGGAGGCTTGAGAAATAGCGGGTGGGACAGTTTCAGGGCAATGTGGGAAGAGGAGCCCTCCTGGACCCCTGGGCCCTGGGCGCACACTCCCAATGTGGAGAGACTGGTCTAGCTCAATGTTCTGGGAAGGTTTTGGGTGAAGTGGATCCAAGAGTAGGTCTGACCTAAGGCACAAAAGACTGTTTTCCTGGTGATCAAAGGACTTGAGACAGCTTTTTTTTTTTTTTTTTTTTTTTGAGACAGGGTCTTGCTCTGCCACCCAGGCTGGAGTGCAGTGGCTTGATCATGGCTCACTGCAGTCTCAACCTCCCAGGCTCAAGTGATCTTCCTGCCTCAGCTTCCCTAGAGGCAGGGACTACAAGTGCACGCCATAATGCCCAGCTAATTTTTGTATCTTTTGTAGAGACAGGGTTTCACGATGTTACCCAGGCTGGTCTCAAATTCCTGGGCACGAGCAATCAGCTCACCTCAGCCTCCCAGAGTGCTGGGATTACAGGCATGAACCACCATGCTCAGCCTAAAGAAATAGCTCTTGTTCAACTAGGAGAACAACTAGAAAGTAGGCAGTGTTTGTTATAAACTGAATGTTTGTGTCTCTTCAAAATTCATGTAGTAAAGCCCTAACCACCCCCCACCAACATGATGGTATGTAGAGGGGGCCTCTGGAAGGTAATTAGGTTTACATGAGACCATGAGGTGGAGCCCTCATGATGGGACATATGCCCCTATATGAAGAAGAGATCAGAGCTCCTTTCTGTCCGCCATGTGAGGACGCACAGCCACAAGCCAGCAAGGTCCACCACCAAGAACCAAATCTGCCAGCAGTCTGATCTTGGACTTCCCAGCCTCCAGAACTGTGAGAAATAAATGTCTGTTGTTTGAGCCACCTGGTCTGTGTTATTTTGTTACAGCAGCTAGAGCTGACAGTGTGTGAACTAGTAAAATGAGACAGCGTGCAGAGCACATCATCTGTCATTACATGGCAGTGGGCAGCCCAAGCTTTTCCCGCACCTTCCCCTAGGCAAGTGTGCAGCTCTGGGAATGCAAAACAAGCAGGGCCATGGCCATCAGGAAGGGAGGCCACGACCTCAAGGCCATGGAGCCTGGAGGAGAAGCTCTACTGCTTTGACTGGAAGCTTCAGAAGGAGAGGGGCTGCCAGACTGGCCTGGAGGGTGTCCATTTGGAAGCTGAATATGGACATACCCTGGGACAGAAAAGACATTCACCTGTCACCTACCTCACTGTGCTTGGTCTCCCCATATCTGCCATTAGGGTTGGCCAAGTGGCAGTTCTTATACCACCAGCCACCATGATGTGTCAGGGCACAGTTGCTGAGTGCGATATCATTGTCTCTGTCAAAAGTTGTAAACTTCCATCCATTGTGGTAAGTAAGAGCATCCCCTGCAGGAGAGAAGAGACGGAGGCGAGAGCCCAGGGTTAGCCACCGAGGAGATGATCAAAAGAGGACCCAGCAGGAAGATCTCTAGGCATGAAAATGCCAAAGATGCAGCCAGTCATGTCACAGGTAGTCACCGCTCTCTCAAAACAGCCCAAATGGGAACATGACACATGGGAACAAGCTGTCTTTCCTGGCCTGTACCCCAACTTCAGGCCTGTTTCTCCAACAGTTCTCATAGCATTTTCACTTGGAAGCTCCACAGTCAGATCAAATATCCAAACATAACAACTCTCCCCAAGTCCCTGACCACACCACACACAAGAGCACCACTCTCCACTCTACCCACTCTGCCTTGGGTCCACCCTTCTCCACACCACCCAGACCTGGAACCTGGAGCCATGTTTGGAAATCCCTTCATACCTCTTCTCAAGCCCTCCCTCTGCAGGTCACTCACATACACCCCTATGTCTCTGCTCCCATGACAGCCACCCTCGGCCTTCTCTCATCCTGGGTCTGTGTTAACAAAACAGCCTTCTCTCTGGCTTCTTGCCTGCCAGCCCCTCTGGAGTTTAGACGTCCATTTTCATCATCTCAGGCCTAACAGTCTACTTCATACCACGTGGAGGTGAATTCCTCTTCCATGCCTTGCAGGCCTGTAGGTTGGTTGTGCCCTATGCACAGTCTTGCATCCCACCATCTCCACCACACACCCTCCACTGTGGACCAGCCCACCTTCCAGGAGATTTCTCTCTGCCCTCATCTGTCCAAATCCCAACCATCCCTTCAAAGCCTAGCTCAAGGCCACTTCTAAAGAAGATTCTCTTTATTGGTCTTCCCATGCACCCTCCTAACACACACACACACACACACCTACACACAAACACTCCTGAACTTCCAGAGCCCTTCTGGAGACACATGTAAAATTCAGTCCTTCATTACATCCCATCTGGAAAACTGCTTTAATTATTTTGCTTATGTATCTCCTGTTTCCCTATCATATTTTTCATCCTTTTACAAGCTTTCTTTTTCTGCTCATAAAAGGCAATAAGGGCCCATATCAATCACAAGCTTCATCAAGCTCTGTTCCTGCAATAAAGATTCTTACATTTATATCTCAGCTCTAAGTTTAGCGATCTTCTTCGCATGTGCATTCTCATCTCACTCTCACAGCAACCCTGTGAAGTGAGCAGGGCAGCTCTTAGTCCCGTGGGGAAACAAATTCAAAAAGGTTAGACTCTAGGAACTTCTTAAGGTCCCACCGTCCACAAACAGCAGAGCTGGGACTCAAATCTCTGTCCTGAGATTCCAAGTCCAGGGTTCTTTCTGAGACACCAATCCACCTATGCCTTCCTTGTTTCAATGGGGGGCTTCTTGCACGCTAGCAAGAGAGAGCTATCTATCAATGGCTCTTCAAGTGGGGTTCCCAGACCAGCAGCATCCACATCCCCTGAGAACTTGTTAGAAATGCAAATGGGCCAGGCACGGTGGCTCACACCTGTAATCCCAGCACTTTGAGAGGCCGAGGCAGGCAGATCATGAGGTCAGGAGTTCAAGACCAGCCTGGCCAATATGGTGAAACGCCGTCTCTACTGAAAATACAAAAATTGGCCTGGCATGGTGGTGCACACCTGTAGTCCCAGCTACTCTGGAGGCTGAGGCAGAAGAATTGCTTGAATCCGGGAGGTGGAGGTTGCAGTGAGCCAAGATCGTGCCACTGCACTCCAGCCTGGGTGACAGAGTGAGTCTCCATCTCAAAAAAAAAAAGAAAAGAAAAAAGAAATGCAAATTATTTGGCCCCAGCCCAGACCTACAGAACCGGAAACTACAGGTTGGGCCCCGGCAACCTATGCCTTGACAAGCCCTTCCGATGATCTGACGCAGGCTACAGTGTGAGAACCTCTGGTCTACAACTTCACTTGTTTTTTAGGGAACATTTACTGAATACCTGCTGTGGAGCAGCACATGCTTGGCTCTGTGAACACAAAAATAAGAAGGTCCTTGCTCTCAAAAACGTTTTTGGAGTGGGTGGGGTGAATATGCAGAGTTGGTAGCATATGTTAAAAGGGAAGGTCCTAATTTGCCCCCTCCAAGTCTGCAATCTCACCAGCAGCTCGTTTATGCCTCACCCAGAAAAAGCAGGAGGATTCTGGGGCCACGGAGGCCACTTCCACGCAAACACAGCAGACAGGTCTGTCTCCAGTAGTTTTCTCCAATCCAAGAAAGGTATATTGTCATGCTAGTCATACACATTTCCGCCTCCCTCTAGACTTTGTACAGAAAGTTAACCACAGCTTGAAATAACGTGCAGTGTCTCCCTTAGTAACCTTCTTTAAATGAGCACAGCTTAGCTAATTTACATAGAAGGTTCCCAGGGCTGCTTTCTAAGAATCTGTGCAGAGGCTCTCTTAAAGACATGTTTGTGATGATCTAAACCTGGGCACTGGGATAAAGAAAGGTAAAGCAGGTTTTCACCCAAATGTGGGAGGTCTTTTTCTGCAGAAGGATTTTCTACCTTCTAGAAACTGAAGCCATCCTAATGTTCAGAGTGTAGAGAGTGAGAATGAGGACTGGAGGGGTTCATGGCAGGCCCATGAAAGGTCTGTGCCCAAACTCAGAGGGGATCAAGTTGGTCACCATCCATCTCATCAAAATGTCCCTCTGAGGCCCACTCTCCCCCTCTAGGATTCACCAGGTTGGGAAAGATGGCCCAGGCAGCTGAACCTTCAAAGATCAGGAGAAGCCATTAACATCGCATCCCCTGTCAGTCACACACAGACACAGTAGTGTGTGTCAGAACCTTGAATGTCTTTTATTTCAGGATTAGGAATGGATGATTACAAATGATTTGTGCCATTTCTAGCTCTCCCTTTCATCCAGGTACCCATTAATTTTTTTTTTCTTTTTCAGGTGCCAGCATTTAAAAATCCATCCCTGGTCCCAACCCACTAAATGCTTCCAGAGCTCCCCAGTCACATTTCCAAATGCCCCCAGGTTGGGATCCATCCCTGGTTGTGTCCCCACTGTGGCCCATGCAGGTGGGACTCGAAATCAGCTGTAAATCATTGGTTAGCCCTAGAATTCATTCTGCACCATTCTGAATGCCTAGCTCTTTATGTTTGCATTATGATCTCTAAATAGATGAATAACATCTTAATGGTGGAGCTCATAAGATAGCCTCCCTGCCCCCACTAGAAGACTCAGAATCAGAAACTAAATTTACACATCATTACCTTGCTGGAATTTGCTTCATGAAGGGAAAATGGACTTTCTGATATAACTTGAGTGGAAGTCAAAAGTTGAGGGCCCACCTGGACAGTCTGAGTGGGGAGCAAGCCTTAAGCCACACATTCCTGCCAGGCTGCATGCATGCCAGTTCTAATCAGAGCTAAAATGAAGATAGAGGCTGGGGAGAGCTGGTGCGTGCAGGGAGGTATCAAAATATTCACCTTCCATTTGAATGCCGTGTCCTCTAAACAGTGCCTCAGCATTCAAGACATGAGTAGCCAGGAGCTTTCTAAATTCTGAAACCCTCCTCATGGACAAATCAGTGTACATAAGGAACGCTAAAACTCCACTAACCCTACCATTGTAATTCAGAATTTAAAAGCGGGAATGATAGTACACATGGGAAGACTAGATCGCTGCCTAAATGCTGTGTGAAAGTCTCCTATTAAAAAATAATTCTATTAAAAAATACATCCTCTACTTGCTGGCACTGTTGGCCTGAACAACCTTAGAACAGGAATTATCCCCTCATTGCAGTTAACATGCAAACAGAGTACCTGGGAGGAGAATTAAATAATTCACCAAACATGTTGACTCCCTTTCAGTCTCTTTCCCATTGGCATCAGTTCATTTGCTGGATCACTTTAACACAGGCTTCAGAAAAGGCAAATGGTAATGGCCAAGGGAAAGGAAATGTGCAGCCCGGGAGGACAGGCCTGAGTGAGGTTCCTGACCAGGAGGCCAGGGAGGGCACTGGGTTTCAGGGAGAGATGTGGGGCACACGGGCCAAAGAAAAACACCCACTTCATATTGTGTCCAGGGAGGGTCCCACGCATGGAGCTTATGTAGACTTCTTTAACCTGAGAAGGAAAGGCTGAGGCTAACCGATGGCCATGATCAAGAGCAGACAACAGGGTACTGGAAACCAAAGAAATGATCAGATGGACTCCATGTGGACTGAAGAGGCCCAAGGGCTCTGGGACAGACTGGAATGTGTGTACTGTATTATACCAAAGGGTTGGAAGAACCTGGAATAAGCTGTCAGGAACATAGTCTGATCTCATTTAGAGATGGGGTGGGAGGATATGGACAGTGTGCTTAGTCACACAAAATAGCATCTTTAAATCCCCTCTTATTCAGTTAATATCCTCATAATCATATGAATGTCCATCTATGTTTCCCAACTGTATTATAACTGCCTTTTTCTATATCTGACTTTCATGTTTTATACAGTCATGCCCTGCATAAGAACATTTCAGTTAACAAGGGACTGCATATACGACAGTGGTCTCATAAGATCACAATAAACCTGAAAATTACCTAGTGACATCACAGCTGTCGTAAGGTTGCAGACCAATGCATCACTCATGTGTTTGTGGTGATTTGGTGTAAACAAACCTACCAGTTATACAAAAGTCTTGCACATACAATTACATACAGTAAATAATACTTGATAATGATAATAAATAATTATGTTACTGGTTTGTGTGAATAATACTATGCTTTTTATTGCTATTTTAGAGTGTATGAGTACTTTACAAAAAAAAATCCTGTAAAACAGCCTCAGGCAGGTCCTTTGGGACGTATTCAAGAAGAAGGCATTGTTATCACAGGAGATGACAGCTCCATGTGTGCTATTGCTCCTGAAGACCTTCCAGCGGGACAAGATGCGGAGGTGGAAGACAGTGATATTGATGATCCTGACCCTGTGCAGGCCTAGGCTAATGTGTGTATTTGTGTCTTAGTTTTTAACACAAAGGTTTAAAAAGTAAAAAATAAAAATAAAAAATGTTTAAATAGAAAAAAAAACTTACAGAATATGGATATAAAGAAAGAAAATATGTTTGTACAGCTGCACAATGTGCTTATGTTTTAAGCGAAGTGTTACTCCAAAGGAGTCAAAAAAATTGAAAAAGATGTTAAAGTTTATAAAGTAAAACAGTTACAATAAGATAAGGTTAATTTTTATTAACGAAGAAAGAACATTTTTAAATAAATTTAGTGTGGCCGAAGGGCAGTGTGCCTAAAGTCTACAGGAGTGCACAGTCCTGTCCTGGGCCTTCACATTCGCTCACCACTCACTGACTCACCCAGAGCAACTTCCAGTCCTGCAAGCTCCATTCATAGTAAGTACCCTTACAGATTGGCCATTTTTTATCTTTTATACCATATTCTCACTGTGCCTTTTCTATGTTTACATATATTTAGATCCATAAGTACTTACCATGGTGTTACAATTGCCTACAATATTTAGTAACATGCCATACAGGTTTGTAGCCTAGTAGCAATAGGCTACACCATATACCTTGGTCTATAGCAGGCTCTGCCATCTAGATTTGTGTAAGTGCATTCTATGATGTTTGCACAATGATGAAATGCTTAACAATGCAGTTCTCAGAATGTATCCCTGTCGTTAAGCAATGCATGACTATGTTATACTTCAAGTACATGTAGCACAGCCTGTCTTCAGCCCGTGGAGACCCAGGACTACTTAGGAAAGAAGTGACAGTATCCAAAGGCAGTGAGGATCTTCTAGCTGCAATGCTTTTTTTTCAAGGATTGTCTTTTCCCTGAAATAATTCTTTGCATACTTTTTCTCACCCAACTCCTACTCAGAATCCTGGAACAGTTTCCCCGTGTCTGTAGCCCAAATGCCTCATACTCTGGTAGGTGCCTACCCCTCCCTCTTTGTCCCCTCCCATGTCACCATGTCACCAAACTCACCTTTCATTCACCCCTATGGAACTTATTTGGGTCTCAGGGACTATAATGTAAGATACTAAACATCCCTAAGATTATGTATATAGAAAAGTCCTGCTAGCAATTTCATTTTTTAAACTCTCCTACTCTGTACCAGGCTCTGAGATAGGCACTGGGAAACAAGAACAAATGCAAAATTCATGTGACTATTTTTTAAATGAAATTATAAGATCTCAAAGAAGGTTTGCATTCATAGTTGGCCACCCAGATCATGGCCCCAGACACTCAGAAGTTCTGTTCACAGTCTTCTGCCATCAGGGGTCCTTGAGTACATGATCTTGAGAAGTCCAGCAAGGCTGTGAGATAAACTCCAGCATTCTTGCCTCTGCTCAGTCCCTACTCACCCTAAAGCCCCCAGGCCTGGAGAGCCCTCTATTTCCTCCCACTTGAGTTTGCCCCTTTTTGCAGATCCAGCTCCCTCCAGTTGCTTCGTACTCCATGTGCCCACCTTCTCCACACTCCTGTAACTGTTTATGTTTCTCACCCCTTATTTGACTCTCTGCAAAAGTTACCTTCTATTTGTATTCACCTATTTACATTTAAGTCTAAGGAGAGAGACCGCCATGTCTTATACAGTCGGTCAGTCTGGCTGGTAACACATTCCTGTGTAAATACACCAAAGTCAAAAACGCAAATGTCAAAACACAGGCAAATGTCAAAACACTTGTTATGGTTTAAAAACCATAAATACCGCTTTTAAAATATTGGTATTAAAACAATGACCACACCTCCCCCTCTTACATAATGTATTTAATTTACTGGTATCATTCCAGCATTTCAGTCATGTTGCTTAATTTTGCTCTTTTCCCTCACAACCAAACACACCAGCAACTGGCTTAGCTCCAATGAGCAGCTACTAGAGGCTAAAGGTTCCTTCACTTTCCACTGAACTGCTCATTTCTGTGTTGTCACAGTTGAATTAAATTAATGAGACCTATACTTCTTATTATTTGAATCAGCACTTTCCTTATTCTGTTTTTATAGCAAAGTGCCACCAAAAGCTCAAATAATCACACACACACACACACACACACACACACTACTGTGCAGACAAAGATGACAGCCACACTGCTAAAGCCGAATGAAAGACTGACAAGCATCAAGAAATTGTTCAGAATATGGGCTCATCAGCTAATGTACAACAGCCTGAATAAGAGGAGTACAAGGGGAGGGTTTTTATTGGGGTGGGGGGATGACATATAACATACAAAATTCCAATTTTATGGTGGTCAAGGATTGCTTCAACTATTTGTTCACTCCTGACCCCCTGCAGAGAGTAGGACCTCCACTGTCAATGAGAACAATTCACCTCCACAGAATAATATTCCATCCCCCAGATCAGTGGCACACGGCAAACCAATCCTTACACAACAGACAGCAAGAGACCTTCGCAGTAAGAAAACATTTTTTCTCACCTGCCGTGCCTCTGTATTTCCCAACTGTCAGCTTATACCGCTCCTTGCTGGAGGCCACTTGGAAGAAATCATATATAGCATAGGCAGATTCATTGGCAGTCTGTAAATCCACTCTCACCTCATACCGCGCTGGAGTGCCGGTGGTGAGGTTGTGTAGCTTGTCAAGTCCTAAAAATAAAAAACGGAATTCCAATAATCAATCAACCCATGTGTGCGAGTAAGCACTCAACATGTGTGTCTGAGGCTTTCAGAACCTAAAGTCACTTTAGTCTTTACCTTCTCTGCTAATAAGGGGCAGTCTCAGCACTTTCTCTTTTGGGGGCTCATAGTCACACTAAGGAGTGCGAAGACCACATTCTATGGAAGGGAGCAGTGAAGGGGGCAGGGTAACCCCAGAAGGAATCTGCCTCCATTGGCTCCATCCTTCTAAAACAGAAGCAGTTGTATTTATCATCCATTTATCTCACCAAGTAGGAGAGCAGGTCAACGACTCATCCTAAGATCCCCAAAGAGATTTTACACTGAGCAAACCACAAATATCATCTACTTTATTAGACACTGGGTATCTGAACTATGACTTTTTAATTCTTCATTTCCCAATTCATGCTTTTGGCTATTTCACTGTCTGTGAACATCTGCTCCAGAGGAGAGCAGAGGGAAAAGGGGGAAAAAATTGCTCATAATGCCTGGCATCACGAACAGAATTTTAGAGACTGCTAGAGTGACCTCCCAGTAATGGACCAGCATCCCAATCACTGAACTTTTTTTCTACTACTGTGGCTTCTAAGATCTTCAGGCTGCAGGCAGATCCTGCAGAGCTTAAATCAGCATAAAACCCCTGTGACCACCCTACCTTTCAACAAGTTCAGAGTGCAAGACAGCCTTCCCATCAACATGCCCACCAACACCCTGCTCGGCACAGTCCTCTGTCTCCCTGCCACTGGGGCCTCTCTGTGAAGGTGGTGAGCTTCCCTAAGCCTCCTAGCTAGCTTGTCCTGGGAGAAATCACCCCCCACAGCCCCAGCCTCCTGGATTCTGAGATCATACCAAGCCAGAACTCCTTCATGGGGTCCCCAAAGCCTTCCACATAGCTCCTCCATCGCTTGAAGAAATCCAGCTGCCCAGTGTTCCGCCTCTGGAAGACCTGAGAAGGAAGATGAATACTTCACTCTGACCCTCCAAACAGACATAGGTGCTGGGAGACAAGAGAAGACCAAGAGCTTGCTCATACACTGCCTTCCTCCAGCTAGCAAGCCTTTCATTCTAGAGAGGCTTTTTATTTATATGTCAGTAGATTCACTATATTAATAAGCATTCTTTATATGTACCGTAGTATGCCAGGTACTAAGACATGTAGAGCAAAAGCAGAGAAGGTTCCTGCCCTCAAGAAATTTCAATTCTTTCCATTAGTTGTGTGATTCAGTTGCTAGTGTGGGTTGTCTAGGGCAAGATATTCCAGACCTCTGCTAACTCTCACATGTAACTTTCAACACCCATTCAACTCAATTGGGGCACATCATGTTTATGGCATCTTTTTTCCCCTTTTCTGAAATAGTTTGAGGGTAGGAATTATTTTTTAATTCACCTGATTCTTAATATAGCGATTATTTAATACTTATGGAGAAAAAAGTTCACACAACAAATATTTACTGAGCATCTACTATGTACTAGGCAATATGCAAGATAGTGTGCAAAGTGAATAAATCAGAAATAGTCCCTGCCCTCCTGGAACTAATAGTTCAGTAAATAAAATTACTAAATTAAATAATTTTTAAATGCAGTTAAAACTGTGATAAGGGCTATGAGGGAAAGATGCAACAGAACTGTAAGAGCATAAAACAGGAGGACCTGACCAAGGAGCCAAGAAACCACCCCCAGGACATGGCTGAGCTGCAGGATGAGTAGGAGTGGTCAGGCAAGAGCACGGGGGTGAATGTTGGGGCTTCTGGGGGCTGAGGAAGGGATGGAAAGGGAGGCTGAGAAGATGGCAAGAGTCAGTCCTGGTGAGCCTTTAAAAGGGATTGTTGAAGACGTTGGTCCAGGTAAGAGCGCTGGAAATTATTGCAGAGTTTTAAGCAGGAAATGAGATCCAATCAGATTCGTCTCTAGCTTGTAGTGTATGGAATGGACTGGTCAGGGGCAAGAGTGGAAGTGAGATGACCAATTAGGAGACCACTGTAGAGTGCAGATGAAGGGGGACAGTAGCTTGGATGAGGAATGCCCTGAGAATAGATGGAAGTGCATAGAAGGTAAAGTTGACAGAGGTGGTGACAGAATGTGGAACTGAAAGAGGAGGAAGTCAAGGTAAGATAAGTTTCTTATAGTATGGGCTTGCAGATGACTCTTCTCTCAGCTATTCACTGAGATGGGGGATTCAGAGAGGACAGGTGGTAGTTTATTGTTATTTATTTATTTTTGTTGTTGTTGTTGTTTGTTTGTTTTTTGAGATGGAGTCTCACTCTGTTGCCCAGGCTGGAGTGCAGTGGTGTGATCTTGGCTTACTGCAACCTCCGCCTCCCGGGTTCAAGCGACTCTCCTGCCTCAGCCTCCCAAGTAGCTGGGATTACAGGCACACACCACCATGCCCGGCTAATTTTTGTATTTTCAGTAGAGACGGGGTTTCACCATATTGGCCAGACTGGTCTTGAACTCCTGACTTCGTGATCCACCCACCTCAGCCTCCCAAAGTGCAGGTGTGAGCCACTGCGCCTGGCCAAGTACAGGTTTTATGAATGGGTCATGAGCTCATTTGGGGATGTGGTTAAGTGTGAGTTATTTCTGAGGTGTGCTAGTGAATGAAAATACCACAGAGCAATTGGATGTAAGGGCTGGAGTTCTAAAGAGAGGTCTATGCTAGACTTATTAAGGTAGAGTGTGTCTCAGGCAATGCTAGGAGTTCACTGAGTCTCAGTTCACTTTCCTCTTCCCAGGAACACAGGAGGAGGATGTCCATTTACAGCTTCCCTTGCATTTAAGTTGGAGCCATGTGACTGTTTGCAGCCAAAAGGCTGTAGGTGGGAGCCTTTTGTGTGTGGGTGGGTTCTCCACACTCTCTCTTCTACTGCCATGCACCATGGGGCCATGGGAAAGGCCACACACTGAAACAGCAGAACTACAAGCTGGAAACAGCCTGAATCCCTGAGTCACACTTATATCTGGCTGCCAAACCTGCACAACACATTGCACATATAAGAAAAATACACTGTGTTTGTTCAGTCGCTGGAATTTGGAGCCCATTCTATCCTAATTAGTACAGAGAAGCATGGGACCCAGAGGAGGGTAAAATGAAGTCATGGGAAAAGCTGAGATCACGTAGGAAGAAAATGGGAACTGAAAAGATAAAGTGGCCTAGAATCAAGCCTTGAGGACATCCAATATGTATAATGAAGAAGGACGAATCCATTAAGGAGAGAGAAGGGGCAACAGAAGTGGAGAAAAAGAAACTAGAAAAATATGGAATCACAAAAGCCACAAAGAGAAAGGTGTGGTCAATAGTGTCAAGTACTGATGAGAGCTCAAGGAACAGGAGGCCAAAACCATCCCTAGAATTTAGTGGCACAGAAATCACTGGTGATTTTAGCAAGGGCTGTGTCAGTGTGAGATATGGACAGAAGCCAAACTGGAACGGGCCAAAGAATGAGTGAGAAGCAAGAAAATGGAGGCAGAGTTGGGTGCCATTCACCAAAGTGTGGACTGCCTTCTTTTCAAAAATTCCACTGTTTGGAGAAGGAAGGCAGTTCCAGTCACAGTAAATTGGATTCTTTTATAGGAAGTAAATCTGAAAAGTACCCACACACACCTGTATACACTATTGGAATTGATAATACATCTAATTCCACATGACCTTGAGAGCCAAGCTGAATGCCATCCTAGCTAACCTCAGGAATGATTCCCACTAACCAAAGGCTAGAATTGCATTTCTCTCTCTGCCTATTTTTCTTTGCATTCATTCAGATGCAGAAGCCCCAACACAAAATCTAATCTCCCTCCTTTCCACTAGACTTCACAGCATGTGCCTTGAAGTAAAACACATTATCTTGAATTTATAAGGTAAACCACCTGATATTTGTGCCTTCTTTATATTTTTCTCCGGGAAGAGAGAGTAGGTTACCCTGCAGCAATGCTGAAAGCTCCACATGGGAGTGCATATTTAACTCCTTCCAAAGCACCCATTCATGTCTGCTGGCCAAGGAGTGGGGCACCATGGATGCAGAAGGCTCCAGACTCCAAGTCAGACCACAGCCACTTCCTGGGCAGGGGATGGGTGGGGATTGCTGAGGCAGCCTCTTCTATTGCTGACCCTCAGCCAGCTCATGGTAAAACAGGAATGGAAGGGAAGAGAAGAGCCTACTTCATAAGACTTCTGGGAGGACTAAATGAGACACCACATAAAAATGTTCTATAAATAGGCAAGAGCTACTGAACAGAATGTAGGAAATATCACGGCAAACAGCTAACACCACATTAACATTGTTGTTCTCTTTCCCCTTTGCTCAAGTATCCATCTTTTAAAAATGCCCTATTTCCTTCTTGGCTTCCCTCACTTTTCTTCACTCATTTATTCACTTAGACGACAATCATTTCGTGAGTGCTGGCCCTGGAGCAAGTATTTATGATGCCATTTGACAGATGTGAAAGTCCAGAAAAGCGAGTATCCAGAGTCCTACAGCTAATCACTGATACAAAGACCACGCATAAATCTTATCTTTCTGTCAGAAAGTTTGAAAATACCAGCCCTACTGAATCTGTTTCCCAAATCGAATTTTCAAAGACTCTGAGAACTTGCTAATTTCCTAGCAAGGTGCCTGGTCCAACCCCTTCCTTGGGACTCTTGTTGTACCAAGGACAGTGGAATTTTAGGATACATGTAGCACCGATGTATGGCTCCACATACATCGTGTCAAATCACGTTCCCACCACAAGGTCAGGCTCAAATCCAACCCTGCCCCCCTAGAATGCATTACAAAGGTATTTGGTCTCTATCTCCTATCAGTGAACCCAGTGCCCAAGCTTGATAGGAGCTTTCCAGCGATGTGTGTGTGTGTGTGTGTGTGTGTGTGTGTGTGTGTGTAATAATACTTCATCTGGGCCAGGGAAGCTTCCAAAAATGATTCTGGTGCTCTTTGCATCACTGTTTTGAACCAGAACCAGTTCTATACTTACTAGTTGTGTCTTTGGGCAACCTTGACAAGCCTCACTTTTCTAAACTGTTAGATTAAGATGTTAACAGCCTCTCCGTCACGATCTTAAATCAAGGCTTCGGCAAGATCATTAATCATAGTAAATCATAAAGTAGTTAAGCCAGACCCTGGCATATATAGATATAATAAGTTATTATGATCTCTCAATAAATGTTAGTTTGCATTTTATTATATCAGTTTCCAAATGAACTGACCCACAGGGATCATTTATACATCTTGATCAGGCAGCCTTAATTGACTCACTCAGAGTCTAATCCACTCCCATTCTATGAGATGAAAACACCCTATAATGAACTATTTGGGTATCACAAAACCCCCTTACCAAATAAGTTTCAAAGGGAGAAAAACAAACAAACAAAAGAAACCTCTTTGTGTCTGGTTCTATACTAGAGTTGTCATTGCATTCTAGAACTTACTCAATGCCCTGAATGACTAAATACAGAGAAAAAAAGTCAAACTTGCATTGAAATGTCTGTGGAAAGAGCCTCTAATGCATTAAGACTTTCAAGATGGAAAACAAAGATGGAAATATTTGAAACATTAAGTGTTCCCTGATGTTCTTTCCAGCCTCCCACCAGCGGCAGAGTTTACCTCAGGGCACAGTTCTTCTGGCCTATTCTTCAGATTGAGTTCCTGTTGCTTGGGATGGAAGAATTACCATAAAAGGATTTTGAAAGCTCAATAAAACAGAGAAACAGACCATGGGTCATCCTTCAGTGACAAAGGACTCTTGAACCCCCCCAAAAAAACTGTAACAACTGTCAGTAAAATGTTTTGTGGGGAAGTTTTCAGGACTCCATGTTTTCTGGAGCATGGTGGCTTTAAGTAAAACCCTGCAGAACCTCAGTTCATGCATGACCCCCAGGAGTCTGGCTCAGAAAACAAGACTTGGGGTGGGGTTGGGGCTGGGGAGGGTGAGAATGCACAGTGGTTTTATTATTTTTGGAACCGATCTCTGTGTTTGAGGAGGGGTCATTTGCATGAGCAGGATGTAAATGGCAAGCTCCTTGGGGGCAGGGATTTCTGTTGGTTTGGTTCACTGCTGGATCTTGAGTACATGAAGCAGTGCCGACACATAGTAGGCACTCAATAAATATATGTGCAATAAGTCATGACTATTCCAGGGCAGACAGACTGACAGATCTCTTTCTAAATGTTGCCCCAGATAACTCCTTCTGTGTGGGAGCTTGGCTTACAAAAAGGCCACACTAGACAATACAAACGTCCTGCCAAAAGTCAATTACAGGCACAAAGGCAGGAAATTGGGCTGCAGGCCTGAAGGGACAGAATGCTTAGCCTTACAATGGTGCTGATGAAAAGCAGCAGGTACAGCCCTATGGGTCTGGTCAGGTGGAAGACCTCCCATGTTACATTCTGCTCTGTTGTTTTTATAAATCAATCGGGAATTTCCCCCAGCCAATCCAATTACTGCCTTTCAACCGTCAGATGTCGCTGTGCAGATAATAAGTTTTCTTCATTGCTGCTCATCAGATGGTATCTTTTTATTCATGGCTGCTCAAGTGTCTTTGGTTTCCCAGGCCCCTGAGTGAATGTGTAAATGAATAAGGTTTGAGCACTATGAGATCATGCTCTCTCTTTCCCACAGTGAGTTGCGGATGCACAGCAGGTTAAGGCTGCATGCTGGCTTGGAGCAGTGAGAGTCTTTATCATTCAGGCACAGGGAGAAAAGGGGCAAGGGGAGATGGAAGGATCAGATTGCAACCCTCAAAAACAGCTTATCATATAATTGGATCAGGCTGATGCAATCAAAGAAGCTGCCATGTGGTTTAGGCAGACAATGGCCCAAGAGAATAAAACATCTACACAGAAGAGGGACAATTAGAGCATTGCCCAAGTTTCCGTCTTTCAGACTTTAGTCTTTCCAATCAAAACCTCAAAGGCCTTGTTGCTGTACTGTGGAGACAGGGTACAGAACTTGGACAATGGACTCCAGTTCAGAGGTCTGAACTCCCCAGTCAGGCTATGCATTCGCATCTTGGATGACCTGAGATGAACTCACTGAGAAGACCAATGATTAGGAGGCTGGAGTTTTGAAATCTGGTCCCAGCTTTGTCATTCTTGTATGACTTAGGCCAGGCACTTCTTTCTGTGGGACTCACTGTCCCTATCTGTAAAATAAGAAAAACAATCCTCTCTCACTTACTCTAAAGCTGTTGTGTGAGGGTCATGTGTACAGAAGTGCTTTGAAGAAGGTAAAATATAGGTAATACATACATATAAGGCATTACTAGATGATGATCAACTCACAAGCCTTCATAGTCATCAGCCTTAGTCTAACCAAGCCTGTTCTAGGACAGTGGTTAAGTACTAGGCTCTATCCTTACAGTTGATTGGTGTCAGAGGCATTTGAACCAGAGCCATCTTGAGTGAGTGCTAAGACAATGAGGCTGGGACTTGCTGGGCTGCATTCCCAGAAAGTTAGGTATTCCTAGCCTCCAGATGTTTATGGTTAAGGGAACAGATTGACAGTGTTTACTAAACAGACCCAGACTTAGGAATGTCCTGATATCTTGAGAACAGAAGCACTCCTAATGTTGCTTTAAATATAATAATATTGATTCTCGCAAAATATAGTAATTAAGAAAATTAATCCTTTATCACGAACCATTGTAATAGAGCACATCCCCTCATGATCTTTTTTTATCCTATATATAAACAAGTCTTGTACATAGGGTGCATGCATTCCTCCTTACTTTCAGAAACGCCCTACTCTGTCTATGGAGTAGCTGTACTTTCACCACTTTACTTTCTTAATAAACTTGCTTTTGCTTTGCATTGTGGACTCACCCTGAATTCTTTCTTACATGAGATCCAAGAACCTTCTCTTGGGATCTGGATGGGGACCCCTTTCCTGTAACATTGGGATCTCTCTAAAAACAGCTACAAGCCACCAAAACTCCTCTCTTCCATGGGTGGAGAAGAAATAGGGCTCCAAACACTCTATGGAGCATCCATGACCGGCATCCTGGGCTGAGAAGGAAGGCCCTACACAGAGCTCCCCAGGGTTCTGCGTGACTCACAATCCAGCCACCTCCGTCCGTTTCCATGTCACAGTACACCTGCAGGGGCCGGCTGGCATCGCCATGCAGGTAGATGGTGTACAGACCACTGGCGGCATTGCTGTTCTGCTGAACCTGACTGCAGTCCGAAGGGTGTGGGAAACGGGCACCAACTGGGAGCCAAGCAGAGAGAGTGTTGTTAGGACAAGGGCAAGGAGGAAAGAGGTGGAGTTTCTTCCTATTTTAAGGCAATTTATTTTGTTTGGAAATTATTTCATAACTTCCTACTTCAGCTTCTTCCAACTCTTCACTCATATCTTATTTTTCTCATCAACTCCCCAAATGCACCAGGAAAAGGTCAAGTTCACATCACTTCCTCCCCCAACTCAGCTCCCTCACAAAGTAACACTCTATTTCACTCCTCTCTTTAGCCTCCCCACTGTGGGGTGGATTTCTTTTGAACACACAACCCCATTTCCACTTCCCCATGCCTAGAGAAATCAATAGTTCTGCATCCACTTGCTCCTCCCTGGACTCCTTTGCTAGGCTTTCCGGTGCTGGTTCTCATTGCACGGTCGTTCAGAGTACAGGATTCCATATTACCTGTGGAGAGGGTGGTGGATACATTTCTGCTCCGGCGACCACCCTTAAAGGCAACAAGGGAGACAGGGTAGGTGGCGCCTT
The DNA here is from genome assembly GCF_000001405.40 of Homo sapiens. Lineage (NCBI taxonomy): Eukaryota > Metazoa > Chordata > Mammalia > Primates > Hominidae > Homo > Homo sapiens. The sequence continues at coordinate 175,128,083 of NC_000001.11, read as the reverse complement.
GCTCAAGGCCTTGCAACGCAAACCTCTGGTCTTCCCGTCCCAGCTGCATCTCCTACCAAACAAGGGAGAGATTAGACAGCCAGTGACTCAGTTTATCACCCACTAGCACCCTAGGTGTCAACAGCGTTCCCTGGTGCTAATGACAGAAGCTCTCTGAGAGCACAGTGTTTTGTCTCTCCGAAGCCTCAGTGGCAGCCCAGAATCGCAGTGGGTCCCAGCCACTTCTCTGGAGAGCCATGCCATGGAGAGTCAGCACTACTGGGAGCATCAGCTGAGAACCAGCACCCAGGACTGCAGCTTCAGGATCACCGGCCAAGTTTCTGGGAGACTTTGGCCTTCAGATACACACAGGGGCTCTAACTATAGTGGCTACATTGCCAGCAGGAACAGGCTGGCAATGCCGCGCTAAGGAGAAATTAATAGGGGAGGTGAAACTGGCCACTGATATCTGAGACAAGGAGATAGTTGATATTTCAATAAACTTCCTTCTGAACCAGTCTTACTTCCTCTATAAACATAGGGCTAACCTTCCTAGCTGTGCTGTCATAAGCACTAATTAAGGTAACACATAAACCTAAGTGTCCTTCCTGTTTTTATTTCCTCCCTTCTTTCTTCATTGGCAAGGAGGGAGAATAATAATTTTCCATTGGGACAGGTTTTGAAAATTTGCTGGCCTTCAGATTCTAAGGGGAGGTATAACCCTTGAAATAAGGGTTAATCAATTTGTTCAATAAATATATATCGAACACCTACCATGTGCTAAGCACTGTCCTATGCACTTTAGATATGGTGATAAATGAAACAGACAAACATAGAGCTTACATTTATTGGGGAAGACTAACAATAAACAAAATAACCCGGGGCAGATGTACAACCAGCAATGTGATCAGTAAAGATCAGCAAGTTGCCGTGAGGCCAGCAAATGAGCTGATTGGCCCAAGTTAGTTGCTTCACACAGAAGAGAAGGCACCAGGAGAAAAGACAAGGAATCCCCGTACCTTAACTGTGCCATCTGGGAACTGGTAAGTCAGAATGTAGCCGTGGATCTGAGCAGAGGGGGGCGTCCAGGTCAATATGCCACCAGACTGCGTTACAGCAGATGGACGAAGGTTTCTGGGAGGGTCGAGTTCTGTACGTAGAAAGTCAGGTAATTGTTATTACTAAGATACAACTGAGGCAAGGTAATTTTTGAGACATCAGTTTATATTTTCCCCTTTTCAAACCCTCCCATTTCTCCTCCTTCTTTCAAGCAGTTTGCAGGCTCTCTTCCTCCCTGCCACAGGGCCTTTCTGACCTTTGTTTCTACAAGTACAGACCCATTAGAGACAAGAAGAACAGGGCGTTGGGTGGGTCCCAGAGGAAAGGAATCTGGGCCCCCATTTCCCAGGCAGGTTCCCACAAAGTGGTGGATATTAACAGCCTAGATTGGCAGATAGATCCTCAGAGATGGCAGGGCTCCCAAAAGGATGTGGAAAGATAAGAGGGCCACAGATCTGAAAGGGCCATGCACAAAGAAACCAGGGTGACTTGGCCCGCCTGGAAAGTTGCCTGAAATGCTGGATGGGCCCCAATGCCTGTCACTGGGAAACTACCCAAGACTTACATACAGCCCTGAGGAAGGAGCTTACCCTAAGTAGAATATGGGCTTATGATTGAAATTAAGTTGGCATAGAAACAAAAAGTTGGCCAGGCACGGTGGCTCATGCCTGTAATCCCAGCACTTCGGGAGGCCAAGGCAGGCGGATCACAAGGTCAAGAGTTCGACACCAGCCTGGCCAATATGATGAAATCCTATCTCTACCAAACATACAAAAATTAGCCGGGTATGGTGGTGGTCGCCTGTCATCCCAGCTACTCGGGAGGCTGAGGCAGGAGAATTGCTTGAACTCGGGAGGCGGAGGTTGCAGTAAGCCAAGATCACGTCACTGCACTCCAGCCTGGGTGACAGAGCAAGACTCTGTCTTAAAAAAAAAAAAAAAGAAAGAAACAAAAAGTTATGTTTCTTACATACTGTTACATATTGAAGTGTGTGGCCTTAGATGCATACCCAGTAGAGAAAGAAGAGAAGGAGAAGGCAAGGGAACAGGTGCTTGTATAGAGGAGAGAGAGAGAGAGAGAGAAGGAAAGAAAGAAAGGGAGAGAAGCGAGAGAAAGAAAGAAAGAGAAGAGAGAGAGAGCGGGAGAGAGAAAGAAAGAAAAAAAGAAAAGAAAGAAAGAAAAAGAAAAAAGAAAGAAAGAAAAAGAAAAAAGAAAGAAAGAAAGGAGGGAGGGAGGGAAGGAAGGAAGGAGAGAGAGAAAAGAAGAGAGAAAGGGAGGGAGAGAGAGAGAAAGAAAGAAAGAAAGAAAGAAAGAAAGAAAGAAAGAAAGAAAGAAAGAAAGAGAGAAAAAAGAGAGAAAGAAAGGAGGGAGGGAGGGAGAGAAGGAAGGAAGGAAGGAGAGAGAGAAAAGAAGAGAGAAAGGGAGAGAGAGAGAGAAAGAAAGAAAGAGAAAGAAAGAGGGAGAGAGAGAGAAGGAAGGAAAAGAGAAGAAAGGAAGAGGTGGGGGAGGGAAGAGGGAAAGAGAAGGGATATAGGAAAAGCAGAGCTCTTCTTCTATGTACTTCCTCACCCAAACACTAGAGGGAACGCGTGGGTAAGCAAGTGTGCACTGTAGACCAGGAAAACAGAAGCTCAGCAAAAATACTGGTCAACATCACTGGTCAGAAGGCTCTTTTTTTTTTTAACCAAAGAAGATATGAATGGAAATTTCTCTTTTGAAAAAGCATTATCATAGAAGGTTATTTTAATTTATAACTTCCCAAAAAGACGTCTCCAGGCTATTTTCTACCCAGTAGCATTTCAGCTGAGAGCTGAATTGCAGTATTTTAATAGAAATCAGACAGCTGTTGTTTTGAATTAGGATGTTTTGACAAATTTTGAGTTTCTGTAATATCAACTTGGTTTGATTTTCTAAAGCATAACATCTGGCATGGATTTTATTCTATTCGTCTCACAGAAAAACTGAATTTCCTGATTTCACAATCAAGGCAAAACTGTGGCTATTTTAACATCTTAAGCAATCTCCTGCCACCTCTTTGACTGCCCACCACTCCCTGGTTATGGACTTGAGATGTCTGTCTTAGTTACTTTCACATTTCTATGAAGCAGGAAAATGAGAATCTTTTTATTGCTGTCTTCAAAAATGGAGAAGGTGAACCCAAGAGAAGATAAACAAGGAAGAGGAGAAGAAAGGAATAAGAGAGAAAGGAACAGAGAAAGGAAGGGGAGAAGGAGGTAGGAAGTGGGAAAGAGGGAAGAAGGGAGAACTGGCTACTGGTTGCATCTGGAGAGCAACCCTGCATACTAGGGAGTCCAGGACAGAGAGAGGAGTTTGTTTGTTTGTTTGTTTGTTTGTTTGCTTTTGAGATGGAGTCTCGCTCTTTGTTGCCCAGGCTGGAGTGCAATGGCGCAATCTTGGCTCACTGCAACCTCCTCCTCCTGGGTTCAAGCAATTCTCCTGTCTCAGCCTCCCAAGTAGCTGGGATTACAGGCACCTGCCACCACACCCAGCTAATTTTTGTATTTTTAGTAGAGACGGGGTTTCTCCATGTTGGTCAGGCTGGTCTCAAACTCCTGACCTCAGGTGATCCACCAGCCTTGACCTCCCAAAGGGCTGGGATTACAGGCATGAGCCACCGCGCCTGGCCGTTTTTGTTTTGTTTTGTTTTGTTTTAACACGTCTCTATTTAGTTTGAAAATATTTACTATAAGCATATATTACTTTTTAGATTAAAAATGCAAGCTAATTTTAACTAATAAAAACCATAGAGAAATTCAAGCCATCTCTAGGTCCCGTGGCAACACTTGGTGCGCTCAGCCATGGATGGAATGGACAGACCTTGCCCGTACTGCCAGAAGAGGCTCATAGACCTCAGGGTGGGCACAGTGCTCTCTTCCAAGTGCCTCTGGGTTCTGACCTCAGTGATGCTCTGCCAAGATCAGAGGCCCCATCACACACACAAAATACATGCAATTCAGGCACCTTTCATCATCAACTGAGGATGGAATGGAGAAAGATGCATCCCCATTGCCTCCATTCTGGAAGATGGAAACAGAAGAGGCTCCTGCCTCTGTCTTCTCCCAACTGCAGCTGAGGCCCAACCATTTTCTCCATAGCAAGTGTGGAGATTCTGAGCGCTGGGCCGGGTGGAGGGGTGAGGGAGGCCACCTTTGACACCAGCACTCACTCCCTCTATACTCTCTCATCTTATCTGAGCTGTTGTGTCAACTTAATTAGCTCAAAGACGTAAAAAAGGAACCACTTTGAAGAATGTCCTCGGGTAAAGCAACCACCCTCCTGCTCCCCTCCCCAGCCCACTGATGGAGGAAGGTTCTCTCCTGATAAGTGTGAGGTGTTCCCCTGGCCTGGTCCCTCTCAGTACCTGTCTGGGCCTTGGTGTCAGCCTTCTTGCTCTCCTGGGCCCCCTTCTGGGCCCACACGTGCACCATGTACTCCATGCCTGGTCTCAGGCCCGTCAGGACAGTGCTGCTGTGCTCCTTCCCCACCGGAACCTCCCTGGTCTCTCCGTCAGCAGAGGTGTAGCGCACCATGTACTTGTCAATGGTGGCCTGAACCGGGTCCCAGGAGACAGTGGCCATATTCTCCGTCACCCAGTCAGTCACTAGGTTTTTGGGGCCGTCAATTTCTTTTTAAAAAGATTTAGAAAAGGCTGAACTTTAGAACAAAGGAAGACATCGCATCTTACCACCTCATCACCAGGAGCTCTCCATCATGTTATCATTAATAATGGTAGAATTCCACTTAAAACACGAGTCAAAGGCCCCTGGTCTCCATTTCCAAGGAAACAAACCACTGGATATAAAACTGGAAGGAATCAGATCATCTCCCACTTTTTAATATAAAAAATTTCTGTCCTTGTAATTCTCATCAAAATAACAATAAAACTTCCTGAGCAACAAGATAAGCCACCAAAACTGCTGTGGATATAACCTCTTTTCTGATCTCCCTGGTATCTAGTTATTTTGTTTCACAGAATTTGAGAGCCAAGAAGTCATATCCTCCAACCTTTCCGACTTATAAAAGGGGAGGAGAATGGAGGCCCAGGGAAATGGAAGGTCTAGGCCAAGTTCCTGTTGACATCTTATGTTAAAGCCAAGACTCTTCGCTCTGAATTTTAGGCCTTCCCACCCTCTCAAGGACTTTGCTGCAGATCTGCCCTTTCTCTCCTGTGTCATCAATCTCTTCTTCTCTGTCATCAGTCCCAGACAAGCAAGGTCTAGAATCCCCCATCCTCTCCCGTATCATTCCATTTCTCTGCAACCTTAAACTGACAGATTGTCTCAAGAGAAATGTCTACATACCTTAACTTCACTGCTCACTCTCCAATCAATCCTGTTTGCATCTTTCTATGCCACACAACTAAATCTGCTAGTCTAAGTCACCAACAACATCCGTGTTGCCACATCTAATGCATACTTGCCATTCTCAACTTTACACTGCTTCTGGGTGGCATTTGGCAGAGCTGATCCACTCCTTCCTTCTTGAAACACTCTCAACCCTTGGCTTCCATGACTACATACTCCCTTGATTTTCCTAACTCACTGGCTCTTCTTCAGTCCTTTGTTAGCAACCTTCAAACACTGGAGCACCCAAAGCTCCCTTTCTCTGTTATTTGTTGTGTTTTGTTTTGTTTTGTTGATACAGAGTCTCGGTCTTTCACCCAAGCTGGAGAGCAGTGGTGCCATCATAGGTCACTGCAGCCTTGACCTCCCAGGCTCAAGCAATCCTCCCACCTCAGCCTCCAGAGTAGCTGGGAATACAGGTGCATGCCACCACACTCAGCCAATTTTTGTATTTTTTTTTTTTGTAAAGACAGGATTTCACCAGGCTGGTCTTGAACTCCTGAGCTCAAGCAATTCACCTACCTCAGCCTCCAAAAGTTCTGGGATTACAGGTGAGAGTCACTGCACCTGTCCCAAAGCTCCCTCTTTTCCTCTCTGTACTTTTCCACCTAGGTGATCTCACTCATGCCCATGGCTTTAAATACCAACTGGATGCTAATCGCTCCACAATATCTATTAATTCTGAGCCCCTGACTAGTTTATACAACTGCATCTCCACCACGGTGCCTGGCCTGTATTAGACACTCAATAAATATTTATGTAATCAATAAATGAATCACTCAATTAACCAAGGAATCTCACAAGTATCTTGAACTTAAATATTTAAAAGTCTTGATGCTTCTCCCCAAACTTTTTATTTCTCAGTCTCCCCTCTCAAGAAATGGTAGTCCAATCTCCCATGTTGCTCAAATAAAAAACACAGGTCATACTTGAGTCCTCATTTTCTTCCTACCCCACATCTATCAACAGGTATTATCATCCATACCTCAAAAATATATTCCAGACATCCCCTCTTCTCTGTCCCTTTTGCCATCATGCTTACCTAGACAAGCAGCATTTTGCACCCAGACTTTTCTAGCAGCTTCCCTACGAACCTCCCAACTTCTATCCTTGTCATTTTCTCCATTTATTCTCCTCACTGTGGCCTGGAAAATGTTTTTTAAATGAACACTGCATCATATCACTCTTCTAGTATTAATAAGTATAGCCCATTTTGTCCTCTAAGTACCACATGGTCCTGGCTGATCTGCCCCTGCTCCTCCCGCCTCATCTCAGGCCACTTGCTCTTCCACCCTCTATGCTCCAGCAAAACTGGCCTCTTTTCATTCTCCAACCATCCCAGGTACTATTCCAGCTGGGGGACATCACACATACTCTTCCGTTTGCCAGAAATGGCTAGTTTTTGCCAAAATCCATTCTCCCCCTTCTTCTGTAAGCACACTTACTGTCCAACAGATCTCTCTGCAATGATGAAAGTATTCTATAATCGGCACAGTCCGATACCGTAGCCATTAGTCACATGTGGCTACTGACCATTTGAAATGTGGCTAATCCAAATGAGAAAATATTTTTATTTTATTTTTAATTAATTAAAATTTAGGCTGGGCATAGTGACCCATGCCTGTAATCCCAGCACTTTGGGAAGCCGAGGCAGGAGGATCACTTGAGCCCAGGAGTTCAACACAGTGAGACCCCATCTCTAAAAGAAATAAAAAATTACAGGTTTAGTGGCACGTGCCTATGGTCCCAGCTACTTGGGAAGCTAAGGTGGGAGGATGGCTTGAGCCCGGGAGGTCAAGCCTGCAGTGAACTGTGATCATACCACTGTACTCCAGCCTAGCTAACAGAATGAGACCCTGTCTCTGAAAATAAAATAAAAATAAAAATAATTTTAATAGCTACATGTAGCTAGCAGCTGCTGTGTTGGTCAGGACAGCATAACCAAAGTAAAGCTGGGCACAGGGCCATCCAGCTAAAGACCTCATTTCCTAGCCTTTTTTGCAGTGAGGTCTGTCTGGGACCTGGCAATGGAACATGAGAAGGGCTGATATGTGCAATGTCCCAGTGATGCCCTGACTTTCATCATGCCTCTTCCCACTGGCTACAATGCAGACAGGGTGGTGACCAGGTAAAGGAGGGCAAATTGCTAGGGATGACTAAGCAACAATCACAGAAGAAGCCTGGGTCTCCTGGACGAGGAGCTACCGTATCAGCCCTGGACATTCTACAGAGAGGAATACACTCCATTCCTGCTGATGCAACTGTTATTTGAGTGTTTCTGTCTATGTATATCCTATTACTACTCACCCTTCCCATCTGCAAGACATCCTTACCCTGTAATTCTCTATACCTACACCATGTTCATCTCCTTCACAGAATTTAGCATAATTTACGGTTTTAAATGTGTTTTCTTATTTATTGTCTATCTTCACTCTAGACTTCAAGAGAGTAGAGATATTTGTTTTGTTCACCACTGTGTTCCCCAGGCCTGGCACTTAGATGATGCTCATTAAAAGTCAGCTGCCTACTGCAAGGAAACAGGGCTCCAGCCACCCAGGTGAATACTTGCTCCTTTCTATCACACAGCGTCTATTCGGTCAAACCTATACAAAATAGCTTGCCACAAAACAGGTTTTTAATCAGTGGTTTTAAGAATTTTATATTGGTTTTACATTATTTCCTATAGCTGAGAGACACAATGATTAAAAACACAGGCTTTGGAAAGAGTTTTAAGACATTCATGGGCCCAGGCGCAGTGGCTCATGCCTGTAATCCCAGCACTTTGGGAGGCCATGGTAGGCGGATCACGAGGTCAGGAGATTGAGACCATCCTGGCTAACACGGTGAAACCCCGTCTCTACTAAAAATACAAAAACAAAATTAGCCGGGCATGGTGGCGGGCGCTTGTAATCCCAGCTACTTGGGAGGCTGAGGCAGGAGAATGGCATGAACCCGGGAGGCGGAGCTTGCAGTGAGCCGAGATAGCGCCACTGCACTCCAGCCTGGGCGACAGGGCAAGACTGTCTCAAAAAAAAAAAAAAAAGAAAAAAAAGGCATTCATGGGACTGCTCCCACTGGGTCCATTACTATAGTTTTGTCAGACATGCTTGAACCAGAGAAACTCCATCTTGAATAGGAACTGGGTCAAATAAGGGTGAAACCTACTGGGCTGCATTCCCAGATGGTTAAGGCATTCTAAGTCACAGGATAAGATAGGAGGTCAGCACAAGATACAGGTCATAAAGACCGTGCTGTTAAAACAGCCTGCAGTAAAGAAGCCGGCCAAGACCCACCAAAACGAAGATGGCAATGAGAGTGACCTCTGGTCATCCTCACTACTACACTCCCACCAGTGCCATGACAGTTTACAAATGCCAAGGCAATGTCAGGAAGTCACCCTATATGGTCTAAAAAGGGGAGGTATGAATAATCCACCTCTTGTTTAGCATATCTTCAAGAAATAACCATAAAAATGGACAACCACAAGCCCTCAGGGCTGCTCTGCCCATGGCTAGTAGCCATTCTTTTATTCCTTTACTTTCCTAATAAACTTGCTTTCACTTTACTCTATGGGCTCACCCTGAACTCTTTCTTGCACAAGATCCAAGAACCCTTTCTAAGGGTCTGGATCGGGACGCCTTTCCTATAACACGTTGTTCTTTCTTTGGGTGAATGAAAGTTTTTTGTTTCTTTGTTTGTTTTTTGTTTTTGTTTTGTTTTGTTTTTACAGCAAACTCTCCTAAAACAGTCTGCAGCCCTGAGGTTACAGATGCCAAAAGCAGCTGCATCATCACTCAGCTGCAATAGATCAACCTGCAGCTACTACCCGGGTTTGCTCTTCTCTTCACTTCTATTACCTGTCTGGGCCTTGGTGTCAGCCTTCTTGCTCTCCTGGTTCCCCTTCTGGGCCCACACGTGCACCGTGTACTCCATGCCCGGCCTCAGGCCCGTCAGGACAGTGCTGCTCTGCTCCTTCCCCACTGGAACCTCCCTGGTCTCTCCGTTGGCAGACGTGTAGTGCACCACATACCTGTCAATGGTGGCCTGCACCGGGTCCCAGGAGACAGTGGCTGTATTCTCTGTCACCCAGTCAGTGACCAGGTTTTGGGGGCTGTCAATGTCTGAAAAAAAAAATGCTGACCAATATGCACTATGAACAGGTGCCAGAGTGCAGAAACTGGTGGTCATTTTGCGTGGGGTGAAACCCTTTCATGTTGTGTGGGGTTTCCGCCTCATATGCTCTTGTTTCATTTTTAGCTGTTTCATGGACATCATCTTCTCCCCCAAGATATACCTGGCTCCTCAAGTAGAAAGCACAATAGATCAGAACCTGAGAATCCAGGCTGTTACCTCTACCAAGTCTTTAGCAAAACAAATCTTTTATTCATCTAGTAAGGGTATATCAAGCCCCAACTCTGTCCATGAAATGTTCTAGACAGTGTGCAGAATCCAGAATTGGAAAAGACATGGTCTCTGCTCACCAGGAACTAACAATTTTGTGTCTCACATCATGTCAGTAAAGACCTCCCATTTCATACTAGAAGATTCTAAAAGCCACTTCTAAATGTAAGCCCCTGGAGGAAGAGGGCAGCATCCTATTCTCCTGTGTTCCCAGTGCCTAGTAGTGGGCAGGGCACGTGGAAAATGCTCACTATATATTACTAAAGGAATCCGCAAAAAGTAAAACCCTGGTTGAATATTCTCTAGCATATCATAGATTCACTCATCATGCTGGTTTGCTGATTAAATCACTGTACAAAATATGGTTAGATATCGCTTCCACTAAAATAAGAATATAACGTAGGAGCTATCCTTATCCTCAAAACTCTGGCCAACGTACACTCTGCTATTCAACAAGAGGAATACGCTCCTTTCTTGTTTAAGCAACTGTTATTTGGTTGTTTTGGCCATGTGTATCCTATTACTATTTCCCCTTCCTATCTGAGAAACATCACTACTTCATTATTCTCTATACCTACACCATGTCATCTCCTTCATAGAACTTATCATAATTTCTAGTTATAAATATGTTTTATAGTTATAATGTGATTCATTTGTCATAAAGCAAATGATATACATCTCCTTGCTATGGCAGATGTGACATCTACGTTCTTAAAGTCAAATTTTCAATATACTATTATTATTAACAAAATTTGATTTTCATTTTCTGTTCCCACTCACAAACTCACTAAGAGACCCTCGATACTGTCTACAGCAAAAGATCCATGCAATCAGAAGAGGAGTTGATGGACATGACCATGTAATCATAGCTTGGAGACTGCCTTGTGGCCCTGACTTGCAAGGAAACTAGTTAAAGGAAAATGAGGGATGGTGTGTGCAATCTGTTATGAAGGGATGCCATCCCACTCTTCCATTAATCATTGACTTCTGCCAATGTCAGAGAAGGAAAACAAAACTTGTCATCCACTGACTTAGCATGAAAGCTCTTATATTCCCAAAGAACAATGCTCCTTACCTGTCTGGGCCTTGGTGTCAGCCTTCTTGCTCTCCTGGGCCCCCTTCTGGGCCCACACGTGCACCGTGTACTCCACACCCGGCCTCAGGCCCGTCAGGACAGTGCTACTCTGCTCCTTCCCCACCGGAACCTCCCTGGTCTCTCCGTCCTTGGCAGAGGTGTAGCGCACCACATACCTGTCAATGGTGGCCCGCACCGGGTCCCAGGAGACAGTGGCCATATTCTCTGTCACCCGGTCGGTCACCAGGTTTTGGGGGCTGTCAATGTCTGAAAAAAAAAATTGCTGATCAATGAACACTATGAACTGGTACCAAAGAGTGAGATCTGGGCATTTTACTTGTGGTAAGGCAGTTTCCTGTTCTTATGGTTTCTCCATATCATATGCTGGTTTTCAGTTGTTTCATGGATATAGACCTTATCCCCACAGCTGGATTCTTGGATTTTCAACAAGGCAGCACAGGAGAGTGGTATGAGAACTAAATCCAAAGTCAGAAGCACTGGGTTCTAGTTCCAGCCCAGAGAGGCAGAGCAGAGGTGCAGGTTGGAGCCAGGTTACTAGCAATCTAATCCCAGCTCTGCCATCTGCCAGTTGTGGCTCCGGACAGTTCAGCTGTTCCTGGCTGGGCCTCAGCTTCTTCATCTGTAAAATCTGAGGTTTGGGTTAGATAAACTTTTAAGGTTCATTCAAGCATGAATATTCCATGCATGTAACTAATTTCATAACTTACTAACTTGTTTTTGTGACTTGGGGCAAGTTGCTTTACTTCTGTATTTGTAACAAGGGGTTGTTAATGATTATTGCACTTATCACTCTGAGTAGCTCTGTAAACCAAGAGAAAAAAATGATATGTAGCAAAGGGGCTTTGAAAATGTTAAAGTATTACAGTGTTTACCACTCTGAAGCCACAGAATATTTACTCTATAATTTAAAATATAATTAAGGGCAAACCTACCTCTCTGCCTCAATTTTCTCCACAAGAAAAAAAAGGCAGGGAAAAATAATATTAGTACATATTCTACAGAGTTATTGTGAATATTATATGAGCTAATAACATGTCTCCTAGTGTGACATCAGCAAGATGGCCAGTTAGAAATCCCTGACACTCATCTTCTGCACAAAAACAACTAAAAGAATAAACAACGACATTTAAAAAAAAAATAACTAAAGGAGAGTGCAGAATTCTGTCAAAGGAGAAACAGAAACTCTGGTGAGCACAGAAACTCAGGATGGCCACATAGAGAACAGAAGGAAACACTGGGACCCCACCACCCCATTGCCCAGGTAAGAGCAGCTGGAAACCAGGAAGAACTTCTCCCTACAGCAAAACGTAAGCAAGAAGATCCCAGTAGCCCCTATCAGCACCTTGTACACCTACAGTCCTCACCACTGGGATCTCCTACAGCTCTCAGAGGCACTAAGCCCAGCTGAGGGAGCTGCCTACAGGTACACAACTGTGCTCCCTCAGAAATGGAGCCAACACTGTGCCCCACCCCCTGTGGCCTGCATGGCTATTGTACTACACCGTCTTGGTGTCTTGGAACTGGAGCTACTGTTGGAATGTGTCTTGCTCTCGGGGTGAGTAGCCATTCACCCCTTCATCCCTAAGGGTAAACTGCTGCTGAGACACCACCACCCAGTGACCTGACATCTCCAAGCGGAGCTGTGAGCAACTGTTACACCTTTCCCCATGGGGCCAAGCAGCAGTGGAACGACTCCACATCCCCCTCCCCTACCCACTCATTCCAGAGCTGAAACTGCACGCTCTTTCGTGGAGAATCATTACTTTGGTAAAACAGCTCCATCCACTTCTGTCACACTAGGCAGCACTCTACTCGTAGGGGCCTGAGCTGAAACTGCACTAGTTTCAGCTCCTCAGGGAAGCTCCCCAGGGAACAATGCTTTTGGCAGAGCCCTATATCCCAGGAAAATGGTGTTGAGGCCATCCAGCATAGTCACATCCCTCAGGACTGAGCTGGAGTGGCACATTGCCCACTGGGGAATCAGTGCCTCAACCAAGCTGAGCAGCTGCACGTCCTAGGGCTGTGCTGACATAGTACCCTAGGTCCCAGGGAAATACAGCAGTGGTTGGCTAAGACACCCCACCCTACTGGCCAGACAACTCTAGTATTATTCTTCCCTAGAGCTGGACTAGGCCCCCTGAGTCTGAGCTCCTGAGACACTCTTCTCCCAGGGAGTAGAGTCATTGTTGTGCTGCTCCCTGCCCTGGTACAGCCCAAAAAACAGTGTGCTTGATTATTTTGGGATGCTTGCTGCTGCTGCATCTGGCCTTACAGAGACTGGGATACTGCCAAGTCCCACCATTGTAGAGTTTAGAATCCCCACTACACAATTCCTCACCCCTAGGGATCCAAGTTGCCACTGAGCTCTATTGGTGCAGGTTTCCAAATTACAGCAATTACAGCCATATCCTGCAACCTGGTCTCACACTTCCAGAGCACTTCTTCTTCCTCCAAGTTAAACCACGGCTGCACCCTGCCCATCAGGGGTAGAATTACAGTTACAAACTGACCCCCTGAAGCCAAGCTGCTAGGCACTATAGGCATCCTATATCCAGCCCTGACACAGAGATCACTCTGCATCCCAAGACTCAAGTGCCACTATAGGTTCACAAGACCTTGAGCCTAAGTAAGACCTTGCCCCACAGTTGCTTTGAGCACCTGTACTTGAAACCCAGTGTCATGGCAACTGCTTCTATGCCATGTCAGACCTGACCCCAAGAGGGAGACTTTCAGCTAAGTCTTCCCATTATGGAGAAAATAAGAATAGAATAGCCCTTGCTACCAAGGACATTAACAACCTATACTGCCACCACCACTACCACAAACTTCTGTAGTCTAGGCCACTGATATGCCCATAGTTATTGCTGATGTCAAACACAGCCAAAGAAGCTGCACAAAGACTATACCACCGAACCTACGTGAACCACCCTTCCCAACTGGCACATTAAAATTCAACTGAGGTAAAAGTATTTCTCTAAGAAAGCCACTCTAGAAAGTTTAGAAGAGGCAATTGTTCCACCAGATACACAGACCTCAATGCAAGGACACAAGGAACATGAAGAAAGCAAGAAAACATGACACCACCAAAGGAACATAATAACTCTCTAGAAACAGACCCCAATTAAAAAGAAATCGATACATTGTCAGAAAAGGAATTCAAAATAATGATCTTAAGGAAACTTAATGAAATTCAAAAAATACAGATAGACTATTTGATGAAATCAGAAAAATAATACATGATATGAATGAGAAATTCAGTGAAGAGATAGATATCACAAAAAAGAAACACAGCTAATGAATTCAATGAATGGAATTTAAAAATATAATGAAGAGCTTCCACAGCAGACTTGATCAAGCAGAAAAAAGGATCTCTGAACTTGAAGATAAATTGTTTGACATTACCCAGTGAGAGAAAGAAAAGAAATAAAAATGAAAAAGAGTAAAGAAAGCCTACAAAACCTAAGGGATACTATTAAGTGAATAAATATTCATATTACAGGAGTTCCAGAAAGAAAAGAGATGTAAAAAGGTATAGAAAACCTACTTAATGAAATAATAGCTGAAAATGTCCCAAGTCTGGGGAGAGATATGAATATTCAGATCTAGGAAGCTCAAGTCCCTAAATAGATTCAACCCCAAAAAGGTCCTTCCTGAAGTATATTATAGTCAAGTTGTCAATAGTCAAAGACAAAGAGAAAATTCTAAAAACAGTAAAAGAAAAGTGTTAGGTCACATATAAGGGAATCCCATTAGACAAACAGCAAAATTCTCAGCAGAAATCTTACAGGCCAGGAGAGAAAGGGATGATATAGCCCAAGATCTGAAAGGGGTGGAAAAAAAGCTGTCAACTGAGAATACCACACCCAGCAAGTCTATTCTTCAGAAATGAGGGAGAAACAAAGTCTTTCCCAGAAAAGGAAAAACTGAGGGAATCCATCACCACTAAACTGGCTCTACAAGAAATGCTCAAGGGAGTCCTACGTTTGGAAGCAAAAAGATGATAATCACAATCATGAGAACATAGAAAAGTATAAACTCACTGGCAGAGCAGATACACAAAGGAGAAAGAAAAGGATCAAGCCTCAGTACTACAAAAACCTACCAAATCACAATAAGAAACAATAATAGAAGAAGAAATTAACAAAGGATATACAAAATAATCTAGAAAACAATTTACAAATGACAGGAGTCACTCCTCTCCTATCAATAATAACCTTGGATGTAAATGGATTAAATTCCCCACTTAAAAGATAGACTTGCTGAGGCCGGGCATAGGGCTCATGCCTGTAATCCCAGCACTTTGGGAGGTCGAGGCAGGCAGATCACTTGAAGGTCAGGAGTTTGAGACCAGCCTAGCCAACATGGTGAAACCCTGTCTCTACTAAAAATACAAAAAAAAATTAGCCAGACATGGTGGCACATGCCTATAGTCCCAGCTACTTGGAGGGTTGAGGTGGGAGAATCACTTGAACCTGAGAAGCAGAGGTTGCAGTGAGCCGAGATTACACCACTGCATTCCAGCCTGGACAACAGAGTGAGGCTTTGCCTCAAAAAAAAAAAAAAAAAAAAAAAAAAAAAAAAAAAAAGATCGGCCGGCTGAATGGATCTTTAAAAAAATGACCCACTTATGTGCTACCTACAAGAATCTTCCTTCACCTGTGGAAACACATATAGATGCAAAGTGAAAGGATGGAAAAAGATATTCCATGTAAACAGAAACCAAAAGCAAACAGGAGTAGCTATGCTTATATGAGATTAAACAGATTTTTTAAGTCAAAAGTATAAAAAGAGGCAAAGGAGGTTATTATGTAAAGAAAAAGAGATCAATTCAGCAAGAGGATACAAGTGAGATTTATCACAGGGATGCAAGAATAGTTAACATACACAAATCAATAAATGTGACACATCACATAAACACAATGAAGAATAAAAAAAAATATCATCTCAATAGATGCAAAAAGCATTTGATAACATTCAACAACGTTTCATGATAAAAACCCTAAACAAGCTAGATATAAAAAAAGCATACCTCAACACTCTAAAGGCCATATAAGACAAACCCATATTTAACAATACACTGATTGGGGAAAAACTGAAAGCTTTTCTCTAAGAACCAGAACAAGACAAGGATGACCACTCTTACCACTCTTATTCAACATAGTACTGGAAGTCCTAGCCAGAGCAATTAGGCAACAGAAAGGAATAAAGAGCATCCAAATTGAAAAAGAGGAAGCCAAATTGTCCCTGTTTGCAGATAACATGATCTCATATATAGAAAACCCTAACAAGCTCCACCAAGACACTCTTAGAGCTGATAAATTCAATAAAGTTTCACGATACAAAATTAGCATATAAAAATCAGTAGTGTTTCTATATACCAGCAATGAACTAGCATAAAAAAAAAAATCAAGGAAGCAATCCCTTTTACAATAGCTACTTTTAAAAACACACCCATAAATAAATTTAACCAAAGAGGTGAAAGATCGCTGCAAGGAAAAACCATAAAACACTGATGAAAGAAATTGAAGATGTCACCAAAAAATGGAAATATATCCTATGTCTATGAATGGGAAGAATATTGTAAAAAAAATTGTACTCCCAAAAGCAATCTATAGATTCAATGCAATCTGTATCAAAATATCAATGACATTCTTTAGAAAAACAATTCTTTTTTTTTTTTTTTTTTTTTTTTTTTTTTGAGACAGAGTCTCGCTCTGTTTCCCAGGCTGGAGTGCAGTGGCATGATCTCAGCTCACTGCGACCTCCATCTCCTGGGTTCAAGTGATTCTCCTGCCTCAGCCTCCCCAGTAGCTGGGATTACAGGCGTGCACCATCATGCCCAGCTAATTATTTTTGCTTTTGTTTTGAGACGGAGTTTCACTCTTGTTGCCCAGGCTGGAGTGCAATGGTGTGATCTTGGCTCACTGCAACCTCTGCCTCCCAGGTTCAAGCGATTCTCCTGCCTCAGCCTCCCAAGTAACTGGGATTACAGGCACCTGCCACCACATTCAGCTAATTTTTGTATTTATAGTAGAGACGGAGTTTCACCGTGTTGGCCAGGCTGGTCTCGAACTTCTGTCCTCAGGTGATCCACCTGCCTTGGCCTCCCAAAGTACTGGGATTACAGGCGTGAGCTACCGCACCCAGCCCTTTTTTTTTTTCTTGTATTTTTAGTAGAAACAGGGTTTCACCATGTTGGCCAGGCTGGTCTTGAACTCCTGACCTCAAATGATCCACCCGCCTTGACCTCCCAAAGTGCTGGGATTACAGGCATGAGCCACTGCACCCAGCCTAGAAAAAAAAATTCTAAAATTCATATGGAACCACAGAAGACCCCAAATAGCCAAAGAAATCCTGAGCAAAAATAACAAAGCTGGAGGCATCACATGAGCTGACTCTAATATGTACTACAAAGCTACAGTAACCAAAACAGCTTGGACCTGGCATAAAAACGGACACATAGGCACAATGGAACAGAATAGAGAACCCAGAAATAAATCCACATATTTACTGCCAACTGATTTTTGACAAGTAACCAAGAACATTCAATGGGGAAAGAACAGGCTCATCAATAAATAGTTCTAGGAAAATTGAATATCCATATGCAGAAGAATAAAACTAGACCTCTATTTCTCACCGTATTCAAAAATTAAATTAAAGTGGATTAAAGAATTAAATGTAAGACCTGAAACTATGAAACTACAGAAGAAAACATTGGTGAAACACTTTAGAACATTGGTCTAGGCAGATATTTTGGGTAAGACTGCAAAAGCACAGGCAACAAAAGCAAAAATAGACAAATGGAAATACATCAAGCTGAAAAGCTTTTGCACAGCAAAGGAAATAATCGACAGAATGCAGAGACAACCTACATAATGGGAGAAACTATTTGCAAGCTGTCTATGTGATAAAGTATTAATAAACAGAATACATAAGGAGTTCAAACTCAATAGCAAAATAATAATAACAATCATCATCATCATCTTATTTTAAAATGGGCAAATGATCTAAATAGACATTTCTCAAAAGAAGACATACAAATGACCAACAAACATTTACGAAAAAATGTTCAACATCACTAATCATCAGGGAAATGCAAATCAAAATCACATTGAGATATCATCTCATCCCTGTTAAAACTGCTATTATCAAAAAGACAAACAATAACAGGTACTGGTGAGGATGTGGAGAAAGGGGAATACTAGTTCACTGCTGGTGGGAATGGCAATTAGTACAGCCACTATGAGTAAAAGCATGGAGTTTCCTCAAAAAACTAAAAATAGATGTACCATATGATCCAGCAACCTCACTGCTGAGTATACATCCAAAAAAAAGGAAATCAGTATATCAAAGAGATAGCTGCATGCCCATGTTTACTGCAGCACTATTCATAATAACCAAAATACTGAATTAACCTAACTGTCCACTAGTGGATGGATAAGGAAATTTTGATATATATATATGTATGTGTGTATATATATAATACATATGTATGTGTATATATATATATAATATATATATACACATATACATACACAACAGAATACCATTCAGCCATAAAAAGGAATAAAATCCTTTCCTTTGCAGCAACACAGATCAAACTGGAGGTTATTATGTTAAGTGAAATAAGCCAGGCACAGAAACACAAACATTGCATGTTCTTACTCATATGTGGGAGCTAAAAAAATTGATCTCCTGGAAGTTGCGAATAAAATGATGGTTGCCAGAGGCTAGGAAGTGTAGGAGTAAGGGGAATGAACACAGGTTGGCTTAAGGGTTTAAAAATACAGTTAGATAGGCCGGGCCCGGTGGCTCACGCCTGTAATCCCAGCACTTTGGGAGGCCGAGGCGGGTGCATCATGAGGTCAGGAGATCGAGACCATCCTGGCTAACAAGGTGAAACCCCGTCTCTACTAAAAATACAAAAAATTAGCCGGGCGCGGTGGCGGGCGCCTGTAGTCCCAGCTACTCGGGAGGCTGAGGCAGGAGAATGGCGTGAACCCGGGAAGCGGAGCTTGCAGTGAGCCGAGATTGCGCCACTGCAGTCCGCAGTCCGGCCTGGGCGACAGAGCGAGACTCCGTCTCAAAAAAAAAAAAAAAAAAAAAAAAAAATACAGTTAGATAGAAGAAATACATTCTAGTGTTTGATAGCACAGTAGGATTAAGAGGTGACAGCGTGCTGGCAGTCCTCAGAGCCCTCACTTGCTCTTGGCACCTCCTCTGCCTGGGCTCCCACTTTGGCAGCATTTGAGGAGCCCTTCAGCCCACCACTACACTGTGGGAGCCCCTTTCTGGGCTGGCCAAGGCTGGAGCCCACTCCCTCAGCTTGCGGGGAGGTGTGGAGGGAGAGGCGTGAGCGGGAACCAGGGCTGCACATGGTGCTTGCGGGCCAGCTGGAGTTCTAGGTGGGCATGGGCTTGGAGGGCCCCGCACTCAGAGCAGCCGGCCAGCCCTGCTGGCCCCGGGCAGTGAGGGGCTTAGCACCCGGGCCAGCAGCTGCGGAGGGTGTACTGGGTCCCCCAGCAGTGCCAGCCCACCGGCGCTACGCTCGATTTCTCGCTGAGCCTTAGCTGCCTTCCCACGGGGCAGGGCTCGAGACCTGCAGCCCGCCATGCCTAAGCCTTCCCCTGCCTCCGTGGGTTCCTGTGCAGCCCGAGCCTCCCCAACGAATACCATCCCCTGCTCCACGGCGCCCAGTCCCATCGACCACCCAAGGGCTGACGAGTACGAGCTCATGGCATGGGACTGGCAGGCAGCTCCACCTGCAGCCCCAGTGCGGGATCCACTCGGTGAAGCCAGCTGGGCTCCTGGTCTGGTGGGGACGTGGAGAGTCTTTATATCTAGCTCAGAGATTGTAAACACACCAATCAGCACCCTGTGTCTAGCTCAAGGTTTGTGAGTGCACCAATCAACACTCTGTATCTAGCTGCTCTGGTGGGGCCTTGGAGAACCTTTATGTCTAGCTCAGGGATTGTAAATACCCCAACCAGCACCCTGTGTTTAGCTCAAGGTTTGTGAGTGCACCAATCAACACTCCGTATCTAGCTGCTCTGGTGAGGATGTGGAGAACCTTTATGTCTAGCTCAAGGATTGTAAATACACCAATCGGCACTCTGTATCTAGCTCAAGGTTTGTAAATACACCAATCAGCACCCTCTGTTTAGCTCAAGGTTTGTGAGTGCACCAATCGACACTGTGTATCTAGCTGCTCTGGCGGGGCCTTGGTGAACCTTTATGTCTAGCTCAGGGATTGTAAATACCCCAATCAGCACCCTGTGTTTAGCTCAAGGTTTGTGAGTGCACCAATCGACACTCTGTATCTAGCTGCTCTGGTGGGGCCCTGGAGAACCTGTGTGTAGAAACTCTGTATCTAACTAATCTGATGGGGACGTGGAGAACCTTTGTATCTAGCTCAGGGATTGTAAACGCACCAATCAGCGCCCTGACAAAACAGGCCACTCGGCTCTACCAATCAGCAGGATGTGGGTGGGGCCAGAAAAGACAATAAAAGCAGGCTGCCCGAGCCAGCATTGGCAACCTTCTCGGGTCCCCTTCCACACTGTGGAAGCTTTGTTCTTTCGCTCTTTGCAATAAATCTTGCTACTGCTCACTCTTTGGGTCCACGCTGCTTTTATGAGCTGTAACACTCACCGCGAAGATCTGCAGCTTCACTCCTGAGCCCAGCAAGACCATGAGCCCACTGGGAGGAACGAACAACTCCAGACGTGCTGCCTTAAGAGCTGTAACACTCACCACGAAGGTCTGCAGCTTCACTCCTGAGCCAGCGAGACCACGAACCCACCAGAAGGAAGAAACTCCGAACACATCAGAACATCAGAAGGGACAGACTCCAGATGCGCCACCTTAAGAGCTGTAACACTCACCACGAAGGTCTGCAGCTTCACTCCTGAGCCAGCAAGACCACGAACCCACCAGAAGGAAGAAACTCCAAACACATCTGAACATCAGAAGGGACAGACTCCAGATGCGCCACCTTAAGAGCTGTAACACTCACCACGAGGGTTTGCGGCTTCATCCTTGAAGTCAGTGAGACCAAGAACCCACCAATTCCGGACACATTTTGGCGACCACGAAGGGACTTTCGCATATCGCCAAGCGGTGAGACAATAGCCGAGCGGTGAGACCTTTCCCAATCGCCAAGCAGTGAGTACCATCGGACCCCTTTCACTTGCTATTCTGTCCTATCTTTCTTTAGAATTCGGGGGCTAAATACCGGGCATCTGTCAGCCATTTAAAAGTGACTAGCGGGCCGCCGGACTAAAGACACGGGTGTCAAGCTTTCTGGGAAAGGGCTCTCTAACAACCCCCAACTCTTTGGAGTTGGGACCGTTGGTTTGCCTAGAACCAGCTTCCGCTTTTCCTGTACTTCTGGGCTGAGCCGTGGGTTGACAGTGAGGAAAGCCATGCATCTCCGGGGTCCCGACAACATGTTGGTTGACCCTGCGGCCATGAGTGGAACTCTCAAAAGCATGTCGCCCAAGCGACACTCGCCTATCTATCCTATCTATCCTGACCCTTGCCCTCTGGGTCCTAATGCCTGCCAGACAAACTTCCTCTCGCCTCTCTTCTCTGAGGCTAGACCCGCTTCTAAAAATTGCTACCTGTCTCTGGTGCTTTTCTAGTTTCTCCTATAAGAATGATTTCTAGTATAAACTCCAGGACTCTGTTACCTTCTTTAGGCACCCGGGCTCACCAATCAGAAAGACACAGTTTTTGCCCAAGGCCCCATCGTAGTGGGGACTACCTGGAATTTTAGGATCCCTCCTCAGACTAACAGGCCTAACAAAAGTTATTCCTGAAGCTAGGATATGGGGAGCCTCAGAAATTGTATCCTTCCTATTCATATAAGTGAGAACAAAAGGTGTCACTCTTCCAACCCTGAAGATCCCCTCCCTCCCTCAGGGTATGGCCCTCCATTTCATTTTTGTGGCATAACATCTTTATAGGATGGGGTAAAGTCCCAATACTAACAGGAGAATGCTTAGGACTCTAACAGGTTTTTGAGAATGCGTCAGTAAGGGCCACTAAATCTGATTTTTCTCAGTCGGTCCTCCTTGTGGTCTAGGAGGACAGGCAAGGGTGCAGGTTTTCGAGAATGCGTCAGTAAGGACCACTAAATCCGACCTTCCTCGGTCCTCCATGTGGTCTGGGAGGAAAACTAGTGTTTCTGCTGCTGCGTCGGTGAGCGCAACTATTCAAGTCAGCAGGGTCCAGGGACCGTTGCAGGTTCTTGGGCAGGGGTTGTTTCTGCTGCTGCATTGGTGAATGCAACTATTCTGATCAGCAGGGTCCCAGGACCATTGCAGGTCCTTGGGCAGGGAGAGAAACAAAACAAACCAAAACTGTGGGCGGTTTTGTCTTTCATATGGGAAACACTCAGGCATCAACAGGTTCACCCTTGAAATGCATCCTAAGCCATTGGGACCAATTTGACCCACAAACCCTGAAAAAGAGGAGGCTCATTTTTTCCTGCACTACGGCTTGGCCCCAATATTCTCTTTCTGATGGGGAAAAATGGCCACCTGAGGGAAGCACAAATTACAATACTATCCTGCAGCTTGATCTTTTCTGTAAGAGGGAAGGCAAATGGAGTGAAATACCTTATGTCCAAGCTTTCTTTTCATTGAGGGAGAATACACAACTATGCAAAGCTTGCAATTTACATCCCACAGGAGGACCCCTCAGCTTACCCCCATATCCTAGCCTCCCTATAGCTTCCCTTCCTATTGATGATACTCCTCCTCTAATCTCCCCTGCCCAGAAGGAAATAAGCAAAGAAATCTCCAAAGGTCCACAAAAACCCCCGGGCTATCGGTTATGTCCCCTTCAAGCTGTAGGGGGAGGGGAATTTGGCCCAACCCGGGTGCATGTCCCCTTCTCCCTCTCTGATTTAAAGCAGATCAAGGCAGACCTGGGGAAGTTTTCAGATGATCCTGATAGGTACATAGATGTCCTACAGGGTCTAGGGCAAACCTTTGACCTCACTTGGAGAGACGTCATGCTACTGTTAGATCAAACCCTGGCCTTTAATGAAAAGAATGCGGCTTTAGCTGCAGCCTGAGAGTTTGGAGATACCTGGTATCCTAGTCAAGTAAATGAAAGAATGACAGCCGAAGAAAGGGACAACTTCCCTACTGGTCAGCAAGCCATCCCCAGTATGGATCCCCACTGGGACTTTGACTCAGATCATGGGGACTGGAGTCGTAAACATCTGTTGATCTGTGTTCTGGAAGGACTAAGGAGAATTGGGAAAAAGCCCATGAATTATTCAATGATATCCACCATAACCCAGGGAAAGGAAGAAAATCCTTCTGCCTTCCTCGAGCGGCTACAAGAGGCCTTAAGAAAATATACTCCCCTGTCACCCGAATCACTCGAGGGTCAATTGATTCTAAAAGATAAGTTTATTACCCAATCAGCCACAGATATCAGGAGAAAGCTCCAAAAGCAAGCCCTGAGCCCTGAACAAAATCTAGAGACATTATTAAACCTGGCAACCTTGGTGTTCTATAATAGGGACCAAGAGGAACAGGCCCAAAAGGAAAAGCGAGATCAGAGAAAGGCCGCAGCCTTAGTCATGGCCCTCAGACAAACAAACCTTGGTGGTTCAGAGAGGTCAGAAAATGGAGCAGGCCAATCACCTGGTACGGCTTGTTATCAGTGCGGTTTACTAGGACACTTTAAAAAAGATTGTCCAATAAGAAACAAGCTGCCCCCTCATCCGTGTCCACTATGCCGAGGCAATCACTGGAAGGTGCACTGCCCCAGAGGATGAAGGTTCCCTGGGTTAGAAGCCCCCAACCAGATGATCCAACAACAGGACTGAGGGTGCCCGGGGCAAGCACCAGCTCATGTCATCACCCTCACTGAGCCCTGGGTATGTTTAACTATTGAGGGCCAGGAAATTGACTTCCTCCTGGATACTGGCGCGGCCTTCTCAGTGTTAATCTCCTGTCCTAGACAACTGTCCTCAAGGTCTGTTACCATCCGAGGAATCCTGGGACAGCCTGTAATCAGGTATTTCTCCCACCTCCTCAGTTGTAATTGGGAGACTTTGCTCTTTTCACATGGCTTTCTTGTTATGTCTGAAAGTCCCACACCCTTATTAGGGAGGGATATATTAGCCAAGGCTGGAGCTATTATCTACATAAATATGGGGAACAAGTTACCCATTTGTTGTCCCCTACTTGAGGAGGGAATCAACACTGAAGTCTGGGCATTGGAAGGACAATTTAGAAGGGCAAAAAAATGCCCGCACAGTCACGTAATGCAAAAAAACACAAAGAGGTAGGAATCTTACACTGACAAAGCCATCAAAATGGGAAGGAGAGAGGAGAACAGCAGCATAAGCGGCTGGCAGAGGTAGGGAAAGACCAGCAAGAAGAAAAGAGAGAAAGAGAAAGTCAGAGAAAGAGACAGAGAGAGGAAGAGACAAAGAGACAGAAAGTCAAAGAGGTAGTCAGAAACAGAGACAAAAAAAAGGAGTCAGAAAGAGGGACAGACACAGAAAGTCAAAAAAAAAGTTAAGAAGAAAGGAAAAGACAAAGAAGAAGTCGAAGAGAGAAAGAGAGAGATAGAAGTAGTAAAGAAAAAAACAGCATATCCCATTCCTTTAAAAGCCAGGGTAAATTTCTATCTACCCAGCCAAGGCATATTCTACTTATGTGGATCTTCAACCCATATCTGCCTCTCAGACAGTTTGCAAGAAATAATGAAATCTATCCTTACTTTACAATCCCAAATAGACTCTTTGGCAGCAGTGACTCTCCAAAACTGCAGAGGCCTAGACCTCCTCACTGCTGAAAAAGGAGGACACTACACCTTCTTAGGGGAAGAATGTTGTTTTTACACTAACCAGTCGGGGATAGTATGAGATGCTGCCCGGAGTTTACAGGAAAAGGCTTCTGAAATCAGACAACGCCTTTCAAATTCTTATACCAACTTCTGGAGTTAGGCAACATGGCTTCTCCCCTTTCTAGGTCCTGTGGCAGCCATCTTGCTGTTACTCGCCTTTGGGCCCTGTATTTTTAACCTTCTTGTCAAATTTGTTTCCTCTAGAATCGAGGCCATCAAGCTACAGATGGTCTTACAAATGGAACCCCAAAAGAGTTCAACTAACAACTTCTACCGAGGACCCCTGGATCAACCCACTGGCACTTCCCCTGGCCTAGAGAGTTCCCCTCTGAAGGACACCGCAACTGCAGGGCCCCTTCTTTGCCCCATCCAGCAGGAAGTAGCTAGAGTGGTCATCGGCCAAATTGCCAACAGCAGTTGGGGTGTCCTGTTTAGAGGGGGGATTGAGAGGTGACAGCATGCTGGCAGTCCTCAGAGCCCTCACTTGCTCTTGGCACCTCCTCTGCCTGGGCTCCCACTTTGGCAGCATTTGAGGAGCCCTTCAGTCCACCACTACACTGTGGGAGCCCCTTTCTGGGCTGGCCAAGGCTGGAGCCCACTCCCTCAGCTTGCGGGGAGGTGTGGAGGGAGAGGCGCGAGTGGGAACCAGGGCTGCGCATGGTGCTTGCGGGCCAGCTGGAGTTCTAGGTGGGCATGGGCTTGGAGGGCCCCGCACTCAGAGCAGCCGGCCAGCCCTGCTGGCCCCGGGCAGTGAGGGGCTTAGCACCCGGGCCAGCAGCTGCGGAGGGTGTACTGGGTCCCCCAGCAGTGCCAGCCCACCGGCACTGCGCTCGATTTCTCGCCGAGCCTTAGCTGCCTTCCCGCCGGGCAGGACTCGGGACCTGCAGCCCGCCATGCCTAAGCCTTCCCCAACCTCTGTGGGTTCCTGTGCAGCCCGAGCCTCCCCGACGAATACCATCCCCTGCTCCATGGCACCCAGTCCCGTCGACTACCCAAGGGCTGAGGAGTACAAGTTCATGGCGCGGGACTGGCAGACAGCTCCACCTGCAGCCCCAGTGCGGGATCCACTGGGTGAAGCCAGCTGGGCTCCTGAGTCTGGTGGGGACGTGGAGAGTCTTTATATCTAGCTCAGGGATTGTAAACACACCAATCAGCACCCTGTGTCTAGCTCAAGGTTTGTGAGTGCACCAATCAACACTCTGTATCTAGCTGCTCTGGTGGGGCCTTGGAGAACTTTTATGTCTAGCTCAGGGATTGTAAATACCCCAACCAGCACCCTGTGTTTAGCTCAAGGTTTGTGAGTGCACCAATCGACACTCTGTATCTAGCTGCTCTGATGAGGACGTGGAGGACCTTTATGTCTAGCTCAAGGATTGTTAATACATCAATCGGCACTCTGTATCTAGCTCAAGGTTTGTAAATACACCAATCAGCACCCTCTGTTTAGCTCAAGGTTTGTGAGTGCACCAATCGACACTGTGTATCTAGCTGCTCTGGTGGGGCCTTGGTGAACCTTTATGTCTAGCTCAGGGATTGTAAATACCCCAATCAGCACCCTGTGTTTAGCTCAAGGTTTGTGAGTGCACCAATCGACACTCTGTATCTAGCTGCTCTGGTGGGGCCCTGGAGAACCTGTGTGTAGAAACTCTGTATCTAACTAATCTGATGGGGACGTGGAGAACCTTTGTATCTAGCTCAGGGATTGTAAACGCACCAATCAGCGCCCTGACAAAACAGGCCACTCGGCTCTACCAATCAGCAGGATGTGGGTGGGGCCAGAAAAGACAATAAAAGCAGGCTGCCCGAGCCAGCATTGGCAACCTTCTCGGGTCCCCTTCCACACTGTGGAAGCTTTGTTCTTTCGCTCTTTGCAATAAATCTTGCTACTGCTCACTCTTTGGGTCCACGCTGCTTTTATGAGCTGTAACACCGCGAAGATCTGCAGCTTCACTCCTGAGCCCAGCGAGACCACGAGCCCACCGGGAGGAACCAACAACTCCAGACGCGCTGCCTTAAGAGCTGTAACACTCACCGCGAAGGTCTGCAGCTTCACTCCTGATCCAGCGAGACCAGAGACCACGAACCCACCAGAAGGAAGAAACTCCGAACACATCTGAACATCACAAGGGACAGACTCCAGATGCGCCACCTTAAGAGCTGTAACACTCACCGCGAGGGTCCGCAGCTTCATTCTTGAAGTCAGTGAGACCAAGAACCCACCAATTCCGGACACAGGATGACTACAGTTAACAATGATTTATTGTACATTTCAAAATAGCTAGAAGAGAAGATTTGACATGTTTCTAACTCAAAGAAATGCCAAATGTTGAGCTGATGGATATCCTGATTACCCTGATTTGATCATCACACATTGCATGCATGTATTAGAACATCACATGTACCTATAAATATGTATATTATTATGTATCAATTTTTTTAAAAAAGAAACAAATGTCTATTATGAGTTCTTAGCACTGAGTAGATGCCCAATGACCATAAGCTATCATTATTAACACCAGTTTGTTGATACATTATAAATACAAGAAATTATGTTCCTCCATACCACATACATAGAAGATACTTAAAAATACATTCACCAAAAAAAAAAACTAGCATTTCTTTGTCCTAAATAATTCATTGCAAAAGCCGTTTTCCCAAAGTCACTTGCTCATACGTCCTATTACACATGTTGCTTTAGGCTGTAACCCCAAGAAAATGGATATCTACATTCCAACCTGAGGAACCACAGTCAAGGCAAGATCAACAACAGTTTTGTGACCCTTGGCTGACCAATCATTTTCGCCCTATAAAAGACATTGGAGAAGCCAGTGAGGTGGGACTTGAAGAAGGGATTTATTTGGAAAAAGATACACTGTGAGTCCCATGGGTGAGGCCCAAGCCTTGAATAAGCAGTTTTCAATGGAATCCCTTACAGACTTTGTTTTGCATACCCTAGAGCAGCAGTTCTCAACCAGGGGCAGTCAGCAATGTCTGGAGACACTTTTGGTTGTCACAACTCAGTGTGGGATAGGGGGAGACATCAGGGATGCTGCTAAACATCTTACAATGCACAAGATAGACCTCTGCAGCAAAGAATTATCCACCCCAAGATAGCAATAGTGCCAAGGGTGAGAAAGCCCAAAGCTTGGGGAATCATACGGGCTGGTGTCTGACATATGCTAAAATATCTAAGAGATAAGAAAATAGCTGGTTGCTCTGACACAGAGCAAAGACAGGCTGTAGCATTGCAAAAGAGCTGTGCATCTGGTTGAATGGACAAAGGATGCATGCAGGTTCTCCATGGACCAGACTTGGGCCTAGCACAGCAAGGTAGGCCTGGGAAGCTGTCCAAGAGGACCACCTAGAGGGGCAAGGCAACCCCACCAGAGAGGCGCTGGGGGAACCCCTGATGTATTGGCAGAGGAAGGGGAGTAAGAGACCAGTGGAAGACAGGCATTTGCCTACAGTGAGAGACCCAAGTAGAAGAGGAGCACAGAAGTGCTTCATGACCGAGTCAGCTTTAGCACTCGTCAGGCTCCAGGGCAGGCCCAAACACCTGTTACAGTCAAGCATGACTTTCCACGACCCCCAGCTCCCTCCTCCCTAACCCCTGGGCTCTATTCTCTCTTGACCCTTCACTTCGCTTCCTCCTGACCCCTCACCTCTCCTCCTCCTGACCCCTCACCTCTCCTCCTCCTGACCCCTCACCTCTCCTCCTCCTGAGCCCTCATCTCTCCTCTTCCAGGACCCTTACCTCTCCTCTTACTGACGCCTCACCTCTCCTCTTCCCAACCCCTCACTTGTCCTCCTCCTGATGCCTCATCTCTCCTCTTCCTGACCCCTCACCTTTCCTCCTTACTGACCCCTCACTTCTCCTCCTCTGACCCCTTACCTCTTCTCCTCCTGACCCCTCACCTCTCCTTCCCCTTGACCCTTCACCTCTCCTCCTTCCTGACCCTTCACTTCTGCCCGTCCTCACCCCTCACCTCTCATCAGTTTACCTCTCCCAGCAACGCCAAAGATAAATGGGTGAGAAACTGCATACAGCAAGCTAGAAGAGCAGTGCTTGAGGTACACAGCAGAAAATACAAGAGAAATTGTGCATGTCCCCTGCCTGGAGCAGGCAGCTGGCCCACAGGTGGCCCAAGTCGAGAGAGAGGAGAAGATTTCATGTAGGGAAGTAGGGACTATTACATGAAAATAGACATAATTACATCTGGGGGACTAAAAATGACTAGATATTTTATTTTTAGCTAATGGAAACACTGTTATTATTTCTGCCTAAAACATTCATTCAGATGGCAGGAACAAAAACAAACAAGCTTGCAAAGGGTTTAAACAGGTGAGGAATTTTTTTTAAGGGATTGATCACAATCCCTAAGTCTGGCTCCCTCAGCATGATAGTTACTTCTTAATATTTACTCCTTGTCAAGGAGAAGCAGTTAGTGTGTTAATGACAAAGGTACTCAGGCAAAGAAAGAACAAAGAACTATGTGCAGTGATCAGCCATCTTTAAAGACCAGAGTTTGGAGACCACCACTTAGGCATTCTAAGAGAGGCCAGTAAAAGGAAGTGAGGGGGACACAATGTATTATGGGAGGATACCAACCTGCTCTTCCATAAAGTCCCCCTTTATGCCAAGGTCAGAGAAGAAAACCCCATGTAGACAGACCCTGAGCATGGCATCGGCACAGCAATAATGCACACTCCTTACCTGTCTGGGCCTTGGTGTCGGCCTTCTTGCTCTCCTGGTCCCCCTTCTGGGCCCACACGTGCACCATGTACTCCATACCCGGTCTCAGGCCTGTCAGGACTGTGCTGCTCTGCTCCTTCCCCACCGGAACCTCCCTGGTCTCTCCACCAGCAGAGGTGTAGCGCACCACGTACTTGTCAATGGCGGCCTGCACCGGGTCCCAGGAGACCGTGGCCATATTCTCTGTCACCCGGTCAGTCACCAGGTTTTTGGGGCTGTCAATATCTGGAAGGAAAATGTTTGGAAAGGTTTAAGCTCTGAAGCCATGGAAGACATATCCTTACCCCCATCTTCATCATTTTCATCTTCCAGAGCTCTTTTAGAACAAGGCAATGGCATTCTCATCCTGAGTCTCCGCTGGGAGTCTAAGGAGAAAGTAGCCCTTGGTTCTGAACTTCAAAGGAGGAATCATTATAAATGAGGCATTCTTTCTTGGCTTTCAGTTCCCTAAAATGTTGGAGGAACGATGTCTTCTCAGCAGCATATGGCACATCACAACCTCCAATTAAACAGCTGCCATGACATTTAGGGTTCCTAACATAACATTTTATCAAGGGCTACTTCACTGATGAGCACTCTAAAAATATTATCACAAGCACTGCAATGACCAGATCCTGTACCCATCTTCTGCTAAAAGCATTGTTACTATAAGACTTTACTTCTCTCTTTCAGTGGGCCAAGTGGTCTCATGAACAGCTCATCACTGTCAGGAAAGAGCAGCCCACCGCCATCACCACGAGAGCTCAGTCTTTCTTTCATCTTTAAGACTTCTAATTGCAAAGTCTTTCTGCTCAGGCCACATCCTTTGATACCATACCTATTCAAATCCACAAGCTAAAACTCAATTCCAATTGACCATCTCTCTTTTGTTACCTGTCGGGGCGTTGGTGTCAGCCTTCTTGCTCTCTCGGTCCCCCTTCTGGGCCCAGACATGCACTGTGTACTCCACACCTGGCCTCAGGCCTGTCAGGACAGTGCTGCTCTGCTCCTTCCCCACCAGAACCTCTCTGGTCTCTTGGTCGTCAGCAGAGGTGTAGCGCACCACGTACTTGTCAATGGTGGCCTGTACCGGGTCCCAGGAGATGGTGGCGGTATTCTCAGTCACCCGGTCAGTCACCAGGTTTGCTGGGCTGTCAATTTCTTTAAGAGAGAGATGAAAGAAGAATGTAGCCTTTACCACCCTCTAATTCCATAAAGACAGCACGAACACAGTCAAAGTGATAACCTCAACAAATGTCAGAGTCTCTAATATGTCAATGATTGAGTTAATGTAAAGGTCTAATTAAGCAAATGGTCTGAAATTCCAGTAATAAGCTAATAACATTTAATAAGAAGTGGAGTTTTCAGACAAAGCCAGCATCTTTATCAACTCTATAAACTTTTCCCGGAAGTCGCTTTGGGATAAAAATAATTGGTCTTCACATTCAAATTTCTCCTTTACCCTGGATTTATATAACATATTCTTCTAGTTCCTGACTCCTTGTACTAGAAAGCAATTATACTGAATAAACCTCTGCATCTGCTCTAATATGTTCTTTGAGAAGAAAAATATCCTAGAAGTAGTAGCCATCAGTTCTTTCCATATAAAACATTACATCTGTGGCCAGGGAACCAGGAGACTTTTTAATTGATAGTATCTGAGGTCTGGTCTAATAAAAAGAATCAAACTTGTAGAATCTGTCTGGGTTTCTCTGTGATTAAAGTGGGTTAGAACCTGGGCTCCATCTCTTCCTGGTGGCTAACTTTGGACAAGCCGTGTAATTTAAGTGTCTGTCTCCTCAACTCTATGAAGAAAGAAATACCACTACCTACCTCATAGGTTATGGTGATAGTAAATGAGATATTGCATAGCAAATGCTTAAATATAAGTTGTTATTATTAATGGCATTTGAGGCATGAAATACCACTTTCTCCTCAAAATGTACATCCTTAGGGAGTCAAAAATCCAAGCAATTGTGTGTATGGTTAGCATGACTTTATTATCCTCTTTTAGAAACTACCTCCTCAAAAAAGGCTGTACTTTTTGTGACAGCACCTGCATTTCATACCTGCACAGGACCACTTGCCAAGGGGGACAGGCCAGCATGGTGGAATGCACAGCCACATGCAGTGACTCACCCTAGGGAGCAAAGTTCAGCATGCACCACAGACATCTGACATGAGGACAAATGATTTAGCACCCAGGATTCTGAGCTGGCTTATCCTTCACTAGTGCACCAAACACACAGACCGGCCCTCCATTAAAACCCCTTGAGATGACCTAACCTGTCATATTCTCACAACTTAGCCTCTGCATATGCTGCCTCCACTGCTAACTCCCACCCGTCCTTCCAGGCTTTGTTCAGGTGTCACCTCCTCCCACAGCCTGCATGACCCCTATCCTGTCCTAGTCTGTGGTAGGTCCCCTTTCTTCAGTTTCCCATAGCTCCAGGGACATTTGTTTGCTCTAGAACATAACTCACTGTCCTTTATCTTTTTAACTTGTCTTCTCTACCCAGAGGATTGTGAATGCCATACAGGCGTGAATCACTTCCTTCATGTTTGTGCCCCCAGAGCTCAGCTCTGGTCTGACCCCTTCCCAGTGGCAATGCCACCCTCCAGAGGCTCCCTGCTGCTCACACCACCACCGCCTAAGAAAAGGGAAGGTTCTTCTCTATTCCAACTTCCTTTGTTTTAAAAATGGGCCGGGCGTGGTGGCTCACGCCTGTATTTCCCAGCACTTTGGGAGGCCGAGGAGGGTGGATTGCTTGAGCTCAGGAGTTCGAGACCAGCCTGGGGAACACAGTGAAAACCCGTCTCTATTAAAAATACAAAAATTAGCTGGGCGTGGTGGCGGGTGCCTGAAATCCCAGCTACTTGGGAGGCTGAGGCAGGAGAATCGCTTGAACCCGGGAGATGGAGGTTGCAGTGAGCCCAGATTGCGCCATTGCACTCCAGCCTGGGCAAGAGAGCGAGACTCTGTCTCAAACAAAACAAAACAAACAAACAAACAAAAATGCTGACCCAAATGCTCTTTCTTTTCACGACACTCAAAATCCTAGTAAACAGAGAGTCACGTGTAATGTAAACCAGGAGGGGCAATCTACAACCCACAGGCCAAATCTGATCCACTGTCAATCTTTATCAATAAAGTCTTATCGGAACACAGTCACACCAGTCCATTTACACATCATTGTCTGTGGCTGTTTTCATGCTCCAATGGCAGAGTTAAGTAATTGCAATAGAAACTGTTGGACCCCCAAAGCCAAAAATATTTACTATCTGGTCCTTTACAGAAATTTGCTGACTTTGACTTTAAACAGATTTAGATATCACCATCCTTACTGTCAATGTCTTCTCTGCTCCCCTGAAGAAGAGGTCAACTATTGAGGCCCACATGGATCTAGGAGGCTGTGCACCACGAAATCTTTCAAGAGCCAAATACTGATTAACATTCTAAAAAATCATTGCTCTCACTTGTGCCATAAGAAACAGGAACGGAAGTAAAGTAACTTGCTCAAAGCCACTCAGCTAGTCAATGGCAGAGCTGGGGTTAAAACCTGGACAGTCAATTTTCTGAAACCATATTCCTAACCATCTCTCTGCTTCTCTGAGAGTCTCTATACTCAGTAACTGTCCAGAATAGAATGCAAACAATAAGCGAAGCCTTTCCCTCTGATTTCCTGCCAGGTGTTTTGGAACCTCATGCGGGCACCAGGATCAGGCTGCTCTAAATTCAGAGAAGCACCAGGAGAGGATTTAAGCAGAAAGAATGGCTGGGCTATGTCCCAGTATAGTCCCAGGACCCCTGCAGGCGCAAACTGAGCAGAATGACTGGGTGAAGTATGAGAACCCTCATGGCTTCTGAAAGCTTAAAGGAAGAATTGGTCCATTTAGTAAATGTTGACTTAGGATGCAAACTATTTCCACGGTCTAAAAGAGAGCTCCAGATTATATGCAAAGTGCCTGCACAGCCACTGCAAACTGAGATAAGCATTCAAATTCACTGTCAGCCCAATGTTTTGAGTTTTCACATCTAAAAAATGAAAATTAGGAAGTGTTACTCTATTCTGAGGGGGTTGCATACGGAATTCCAACTCAAATAAGTATGACCTTCTGCATCAAGTGAAAAAGCTGATCTCTTTTGTTTGATGTTAAAAAGGAAAAATATATATAATTATGAAAATCAAAATTGGTTTTGCAACCTCCTCCCCACTCCTGCAAACAAAAGAGCTGATGCCAGGTGAGCAATGACCTCCTGATTCAAAAATCAACCTTCTCCCTGCCATGAGGAAACCTATTTATGCTCCCGTCCTTCTGTTACCTGTGAGGGCATTGGTGTCAGCTTTCTTGCTCCCCTGGTTGCCCCTTTCAGCCCACACGTAGACCTTGTATGCCTCTCCTGGCTTCAGGCCCGTCAGGACAGTGCTGCTCTCATCCTTGTGCACTGCCATTTCCTTGGTGTCCCCATCAGCAGAAGTGTAGCGCACTACATACTTGTCTATGACAGCCTGCACTGGGTCCCAGGAGACAGTTGCTGTGTCTTCAGTCACTCGATCAGTGACAACATTGGTTGGACTGTCAATTTCTTCATAAAAACACATGAGAAAGAAAAATCAGAGAAACCAGTTGGTTAGTCAAGATCATAGATTGTTAAAGATCTAGTTCACCTGGGTGACCTAGTTCAATAGTTTATGCAATACAAGGGGGTCTCTCCATCATCAGTGACAAGTGGACAACTGGCTTCTGCTTGAACCCTAAACTAAGAAAGGACTCTCCAATAGACAACACAATCCATTCCATTTTCCATTTGCAGACTACTGAACATATTAGAGAAAACTCCTTCAAATGTAACTCCTTCTAATTGTCTACCCTAGGTAGACAGAGAGAATACATCTAATTCCCCTTCCAGAAGACCAACCAGCAAGTATTCAAGAAGAGTCATCATTCCCCTCCCTAGTTCTCCTCAAATCAAAACAACATCACCTCCCCTGTTCATTGCTTCCAAATCACAGTTTCCAGGCCTGGCACTTTTATCTACACATGCTCTTCTCTCTCTTTTCAAATACAAATCTCCAAAACTCACTTCATTCATTCAACAGCACTTCACTGAACATCCATTATGTGTCAGGGAATGTAATGACATTTAAGAGTTATCAATGAGCAAAACAGTCAAAAATCCCCACCAATGTGGAGCTTATATTCAAAAAGAACTAACCCAGAACAATATGCCAGCTGTGTCCTAGAGACTGTGCTTCCCAAGAACATATCCTGAGCCCATGACCTTAGAAAATCTCTCATTTTTTCTTTGACACATGTCCCTGCTAACCCAAGGTCCTGCTTCATGTGTTCAAGCAACAGCAAGGAGGCCAGTGCATCTAGACAGAGTTAAGTCAAGCGGCTGGAGGGGAGGCCAGGGAAGTGAGAGGGACAGTGGACTATGGATGGCCTTGAAGGCCATTGTAATGACATTGTCTTTTACACTAAGTAACAAGAGAAGTCTCTGGGGGCTTTGAAAAGAGGAATGACCTGATCTGACTTGGGCTATCAAAGGATCCCTCTGGCTTCTGAGGAGAATACTCACTCTAGTGAACCAAGAGTGAAGGTCACACAGGAGGCTGCTTCAGTGGTGTATATGCAAGATGGTGGGGGTGCAGGCCACTGCAGCAGTAATGAGGGTCATGGGGAAGGCTGGCTTTGGAGCTTTCAAAGGTAAGGCTGTCATAATCTGCTGATGGATTCAACATGGGATACAATGAATGATTTGTTGGCTTGGGGCCCAAGTAATTTGCAAAATGGAGTGGCCATTTATAGAGACAGGGATATCTGAGGGAGGGAAGCATTTGCAGTAGGGAGTGGGGAGAGGAAGAGGACCAAGCGTTTGCTTTTGGATACATTAAGTGGTAGAGCCAAGATTTGAACTCATTCTTATCTAACAAAGACTATACATTTCCACTTTATATGTCTATGTCCTAAGCAGCACTATCAATAGCATTTTCCTTTGCAACTAATAATAATAATAAATTATAAATAAAGTAAAGTGTGAACTGAAAGGTTACTGTGACATGAAATCCAGCAGCAGTAATAGACAGTAACTAGAGAGAGAAACTCGTTCTTGAACTATTGCCTTGTGAGACAATAGTCTCACTGTGACTGGCACTGTGAGCTCAGAGCCAATAGTCTGCCACTTGTGGGCCTCCAGGAATGACAGAGTGGACAATTAGGATGCAGGCACCCACTGTCTGACCCCATGGCCAGGGCCTCTGGAGGCTCCAGCAGGCTGTAAGAGGACAGTCAAGGAAAAGAGTGCAACGATAGAGAGAACTCTCTCCCCATCCTGTAACAACTTTCTGTGCAAGACATGATCCTGCATGTCATAGGGAAGAGATGACAAGAGCCATCCAAAACCAATATCTCAATCTGGGGAAATTAGTGACAAAGTGGAAATGGAAAACTAAGGAGGCAGGAAGAAGCGAGCAAGAACACCCTAGCAGTCCTGCTCGTGAAGTTCATGGCCCTCACCTTCTCAAAAGCATCCACATCTGTACAACCCCAGGTCCCAGCAGTGCCTCCCACCCCATCTCCCTGCCCCAGATTGGTGCTTGCTACCATTGCTTCCAGGACCCACAGCAGAGGCCTGTGGCTTTGTGGGGTTGGTGCTGCCTGTGTGTATTGAAAAATATATCATAGCCAGGCACAACAGCTCATACCTGTAATTCCAGCACTTTGGGAGGTGAAGCTGGGTGGATCACTTGAGGCCAGGAGTTCGAGACTAGCCTGGCCAACATGGCAAAACCGTGTCTCTACTAAAAACACAAAAAATTAGCCGGGCAGGGTGGTACATGCCTGTAATCCCAGCTACTCGGGAGGCTGAGGCACGAGAATGGCTTGAACCTGGAAGGCAGAGGTTGCAGTAAGCTGAGATCATGCACCACACTCCAGCCTAGGTGACATAGCAAGACTCAGTCTCAAAATAAATAAATAAATAAATAAATAAATAAATAAATAAATAAATAAAAATAATAAATAAAAGTAAATAAATAAAGGAAAGATCCATCATGTCCACATGGGTGGAAAGAGGAAGCAGCAGCCAGCTCTGTAGCTCCTTTCTCTCCCACCAGTCCCAGAGCACTCAAGGGATGGAGAAGAGCCAGGAAACAGCATCTTGGGTATGAAGAGTAGGAAGGTAAAACTGAATCATATTATGCCCAGGGTTATAGGAGACCTGGAGGTTTAAAGAAGTTTAAGAGAGGAGATGTGACTTCTCCAAGCTCACAGTGCCAGTCACAGCTCTTGGCCCCCTGCCTTCCCTTTTCTCTCAGTTCTCTAACCACAGCAACTCAACTCAGAAGGGGCTCTTCACAGAGCTTGCTCTCCTTGACCATTCCCCCGATGGGGATCAGGTGCTGAGACACAGGAATGGGAGGAAGGCCTCAGAGATGGGACCTCCATGATAGGCCACATTGCTGGAAGAGGCCAGCTTTGCAGGACTGAAACCTCTTTCTACCAAAAAGGGATCTGGAGATTATGAAATAGTTTTTCCATGCAAGGAAGCCTTTCAGCAGCTGCAGCAGCTGGCTAAATCACAGATTAGCCACAGCTGTAGCCTCTACTACAAGACAGGCTCTCCCCACCCTGGCCCCAACATCCTCCCCAGGCTGGAACTTCCCAACTGCTGGACACTAGCAGCCCTGGTGGGACCTTTCTTAGGGACATTCAAGGTCAATGAGATGTAAAGTAAGGTTTGTAAAACTGGATAGGTGGGACTCGCCTGTGAGTACATACGTTAGTTAGAATAAAGGTGCACTTCACTTCAAAGAGATCTAATTTGCAAAACCTGAACACAGTATATGGAGGAGGTTAATTAGAAGCTCTGTTCACATCAGGAAAGCTTATTCCACTTTATAACAAGATTTGCCACAGAGTTGGGTAGGGAACATCTGTCTTCACACTAGGCTGTAACATCCGAAAGCTCCTGTCCACACTTGAGCACATAGTCACAGGCATTAGGAACAGGTTTCTCCACTCACAATTTCCACCTGTGAATCTCCCAGTTGGTGCAGTAGAAGATGGCACTGACGGGATGAAAAATCTATGAGAAATGATCTTGGGGGAGGAAGACACGGGGGGCAGGACCTGTGTCATTGATTTGAAGGTGGGTTCCTGGAAGAGGTGCCTTGAGACCACAATACCTACACGTTCTGTACTCTTGTTTTCACAGACCTCCTCTAATGTCTTTCAATTGTGGCAACAAAATTATCCAAAAGGCATCGTTTGTAGAAAATGCACTCAGAGAGGTCAGCCCTTCTTCCTGTTGTCCTCCAGCTTTGCTTCTAAAAAGGTTATTGACTTTGATTTCAAGCGAACCTAAGTTGTACCAGCTAGCTGTTCACTAGCTCACCCTGAGTCTCCTAAACTTTGTAGGCCTCAGTGTTCTCATATGTAAAATGGAAATAATAATGCTTACAATCCTATTGATATTATAAGGACCAGAGATAATATTTACAAAGTCTCACAATATACAGAAGCCCACTAGAATACAGTGATCGCGCAAATGATAGAGATTGTTGCTGTTGTCCAGATGCTAAATGTGTGTGTTGGTGGCTGTGTATGAGACAGGAGTTCTCAATGGTGACAGGAGCTCAGCCTAGGACATGAAGGAGTTTCCAAAGTTTTAGGGGCTAAGCCATTTCAAATGGAACATTGTGTTTGGAAATCAGTAAAAAGTGAAAAAGATATTAAGAAAAGCAAAACTGCTATTTCACAGCATAGTCTAAGGAGGAAAGTTCTGAGAAAATTGATGACAAGTGAATATTCTAGGCTATAACCTTTGCTGTGCATGGGAGCTTGTGAAATTATAACAAAGCAAGCATGCTTTGTTTTATACACACCAGGGAAAAGCATGAAGCTATTAACAGAATACCATCATCATAAGAAAAGAGAAAGGACTTTAAACTCATTTAGTCCAACTCTTCATTTTATAGATAGAGGACAAAAGAATGACATCACCTCTCAGTTAGTAGCCTCCCTTTCTTTTCATTGAATGGGAAGCATAGCTGTCAGGGTATGATGCAGAAGTCCAGGGACATTCCCCTCGCCAATCCCCCAGAGACACTGGCCTGGCGTATGCTTGCTGCTCCTTAAGCTGACCTGCTTCTGAGGCTGGCCTTTCTGGAAGGTGTTCCAGCGCACTTTGAGCATGTTGGGTAACAGGGTGAGGAATTTCAGTCAACCATTTCCCTGTCATGGTGTTAGTTACACTGGGTGCCTCGTTACATGAAAAATCCCTGAACGGTGTCATTTCCTCGTTTCCTCCTGCACATGCTTAGGCTGTTCTTAAGTTCCAGCATCCTTTTCCACCTGGTGGGATGCAAAACGTTTGGAGAAAACAGAGATTCTTCTTTTCCCTTAAATTAATTAACAGTCTAGCCAGGTTTAAGAGTGTTTCCTGACCCTATAAATTACAGTGTCTTTTTCTTTTTGATGCTGGTAAAACACATGACACAAATTTATTTGCAATCCAATAAAATATTCTATCCTGGTTTTAGGATATAATTGACAATAAAAACACTTTTGAGTAACAACATTCCAGTATAGGTGGAAGGCTAACTAGCAATTCAAGGCCATATGTGATTAAATGCTCTCAGACCTCAGAAACAAATCTGGCTGACATTTAATGCGGTCATAGAAGGCTGCAGTGGAGAAACTGTTTGAGCACAGCCTGGAAGGATACGTCACATTATTGCTGTGATCCCCTGAAGGAAAAGGACCATGGCTTATCAGCTCTGGAAATTTCTAAAGGGACCAGGTCTCTTTGGCCCAGATACATCCTGCAATAAATGTTTGTTGAATTAAATTAATTTGTGGCTAGAAATAATGGCAAGGGTTTTCCAGGCTAAGTAACAACAGAAACCCACTTGCAGAGATAAGCTTTCTGTTAGGAAACCCCACAAACAGTCTGGCTACAGGAAGGCTTTCCCTGGGGAAGTAATGAGAATAACAGTGGCCCAGGCTGGGTGGGCCACGGAGGCCAAGATAAAAGCATTATGCTTCCTCCTCAGTCAGTGAGGAATCATAGAAAATTTTTCAGTTAGGAAGCAAACAGTATGAAAATTAACCAGAAATAATGGGCAAGAAGGAGGGGAGGTGTGATGTTATGATTTATAACAAGAAACACATGTTTGGTTTTGGGTCCCTGATTCCTGGCACACAGCTCCTAAAACCCTTGGAATCTCCAAAGTGAGGTGTCTTCTGTATGTTAATGAGATGACTGCTGTAAGGGGTTGAGGGGTGCTCCTGGGTAGCCTCAGAAAGGGGGTGGTTTCCAGGGAACCAACATTGTGATTAGAGGATTGGAACTACCAGCCCCACCTACCCACCCCCCTAACAAGGGGAAGGAGAGAGGCGCTCACAGTTGCTAAAGGTTGAGTTAATCACCAGTGGCCAATGATGTAATCAATCATTCCTATATAATGAGGTCTCCATGAGAACCCAAAAGGACTGGGTTCAGAGTGCTTCCTGGTTGCTGAACAAGTGGAGGTTTGGGGAGGGTGGCACACCCACAGAGGCCATGGAAGCACGTACCTTGACCTATGCATCTCTTCCATCTGGTTCTTCACCTGGATCTTTGTAATATTCTTTATTATACTAAATAGGTAAACGTAAGTAAAGTGTTTCCCTGCGTTCTGTGAGCTGCTCTAGCAAATTAATGGAACTCAAGGAGGGGAGTCATAAGAACCCCCAATTTCTAGCTGATTGGTCAGAAGTACAGGTCCTAACCTGGGGACTGTGACAGGCATCTGAAGTGAGGAAAGTCTTGTGGGACTGGGCCTTTAACTTGTGGGATCTGAGGCTATTTCCAGGGAGACAATGTCAGATATGAATTGAATTATAGAACATCCAGTTTGTGTCCGATGGAAAACTCCCTGGTGTATGGGGAAAAATCACTTCCAGAGGTGAAATGTTCTGTGTTGTGTTGACTGTGTAAGAGAAGAAAAAGTGTTTATCTCTTACAGGAAGGTAAAAGTGGGAAGCACTTTAGCTTTGTAGTTTGAAATGAAAATAAAAAACTCGGGACCCCAATTCACTCTGCCAAAAGGAAAAAATAAAGCTGAAAGCTGAGTTATGCAAGAAGCTGCCTTTCCTTTTGTTCCTACGCCGGATAAAAGGTTAAATATCTCCACAGGTAGCTACTCCACGTTCACCTTATCCTGAGAAAAGTGCAAATGTACTCAACACGTAATTGACTATCCCGCTACCTGCTCCTTTCTCTTCCAACATGGGAATTATACCCTCCCTATTTCCTCTTCAGCCCACTTTTCCCATTTAAATATTGAAGTCCTCAAAATCATCTTTGGAGAAAGGTACAGACCACAGATTGTTTCTGTGATTCCATGTTTCTTTCTCCCAGGCATGTCCTTAACCTTGGAAAAATAAACTTCTAAGTTGATTAAGGCCTATCTCAGATACTTTTTGGTTTGCAGTAGCTAAGCCCAAAGGTTTAGACTTGGGTATCCTGGGTTCAAATCCCAGCTCTGTCCTTTCCTGGCTGGGCAATCTTGAGCTTAACTTCTCCAGTTTTCTTATATGTGGCAGAGAAATAATAATAGTATCTACTTCATTGGATTGCTGTGAGAACTAAATGAGATATTCATAAAAAGTGCTTAGTGATTATAATGCCTGGCACTCAGTAAGCTCTCAATTAATTCACAGCTACAGGGAATGCCACTGGAAGCACAGAAGTACTTACCATTTTCTAACCCATTAAAACAGTTCCCTAGTCCACTATTCAGGCAGACTGTACAGTCTACCTTGTCTAGTTTGTAAATTAAGTTATATGTTCTCCATTATAAATGCCCAACTATAACTGTTTCATACTGCAGATAAGCAATCTGTTAGGCAGCTGAAATAGTGAATTCAATTCTCACAACATCTCACCTCTTATTCTCACCACCATAACCAGCTATTTCCAGGACTGAATTGGAAAGAACTAAAAAACTTTTCAACGAAGACTCAAAACTCAAAGACTCCTTCTTTACCAGCTCCAAGGATTAGTCTCCCCGAATGGCACTATGTTCTAGATCACAGGTTTCCAGCATGGGGAAGGCAGGAGCACAGAGTTAATGAGGAAGTTCACAATTCAATATGGGCTCAAGCATGGTTTAAAAACTAAAAGTTACCTAGGATGTCTCGTATGTATGCCTACCATGTTTTCCAATTCTGTTCTGATTAATAAATTACAAACTTATTGTCAAATATGACTGATTTGTAACCTTTTATCATTATATATTTTCTCAATACACAGATGACAACATACCACTACTCCCATGTGAGGGTTTTTAATATCTTTTGACATTTTAGAGGAGTCTACTGAATGTGGGCATCAGGAAAAAACACAGGTGTGGCAAGAAGAAAATTATAGATCACTTGTCTTTAGGGAATAAGGAGCTATGTGCCTATGTCCTAGATAATAAATGCCTTAAAAACAACGCGGTGATAGAAGCTATTAAAATAAGCAGAACGGTGTCAGACAGTCTTGTCCCTTGACTCCAAGACCCTGGGAGAGATTTTCAATGGCAAGAAAAATTTGAAATAGGAAAAGTTTGCTTCCCTTTCCCTGCCCAAAAATAGACATCAGTACATAAAGGGATAGACTCTCTCTACATGTAAATCCCAGAATTCTCTTTTTTTTTTTTTTTTTTTTGAGATGGAGTTTCACTCTTGTTGCCCAGGCTGGAGTGCAATGGCACGATCTCGGCTCACCACAACCTCCACCTCCCGGGCTCAAGCAATTCTCTTGCCTCAGTCTCCCGAGTAGCTGGGATTACAGGCATGCGCCACCACGCCCAGCTTATTTTGTATTTTTAGTAGAGACAGGGTTTCTCCATGTTGGTCAGGCTGGTCTCGAACTCCCGACATCAGGTGATCCGCCTGCCTTGGCCTCCCAAAGTGCTGGGATTACAGGCGTGAGCCACCCCGTCTGTCTGCAAATCCCAGAATTCTTATCCAGAGAGGAGTCAGCCAAGAAAAATATGAGAATGCAAACATGATTAAATGCCCATAGTGCCTCCAAGTAGCTCTCACCTGTCCTGCCATTCAGGAGGATCGGCTTGCCCTCCAGCTCTCCTCTCATGGGCACCACCGTGATCTTATACTCAGTCCCCGGGTGCAGACCTGGAAACAAGCAGGCAGCGCAGGATGTGAGTGCAGGCTCCAGACCCCTCTCCCCAGCACTACTCCTCCCTGGGATTTCTCCCGTGAGGGAAGATGAGAGGTGATGCTTCCTCCTCCAAAGATGAATCTGTATTTGCAGGCAAATAAAGCCCCGCAGGTGCAATAGAACATGAGGTGTCACTGAGGGGGCTTATAGGCTGGGGATGGGAGTAGGGCATCACAGCAAATGAGATGACAGCAATTGAAATGCATTTCAAATGTTCTCTGGTTCTTCACTGGGCCACCTAGCACTTATTTCCCAATTTTATTTATAGACCCAAATGTGTTTCTGCTCCCAGCAACCCTTTTCCTTCCAAAGCATCTCTCCTTCTCATTGTGACATTTAGCCTAATTTTTTCCTATTTATTTTATTAGAGACAGGATCTCACTGTGTCACTCAGGCTAGAGTGCAGTGGTGCAATCACGGCTCATGGTAGCCTCAACCTCCTGGGCTCAAGGGATCCTCCCGCCTCAGCCTCTTAAGTAGCTGGGACCACAGGCATGAGCCATTATGCCCAGCCCTTTTTTTAAAAAAAAGTTATTTCTCTGTAGAAGCAACTAGAATTATTTTTCCTTGGGCACAAATATTCAGACTGTGGTGGT
Source organism: Homo sapiens (assembly GCF_000001405.40). Taxonomy (NCBI): domain Eukaryota; kingdom Metazoa; phylum Chordata; class Mammalia; order Primates; family Hominidae; genus Homo; species Homo sapiens. The sequence continues at coordinate 175,084,762 of NC_000001.11, read as the reverse complement.
AAAATGCAGACAAACAGAAGCTTGTGTGAGGCACACACCCTCATTCTGCACTCCACAAACACTAAGAACCCCAAAATGTCCTGTCAAGACAGAACTCAAGGAGTGGACAGCAGAACAAGGCTCCAGGAGGGAATTTACCATGAAGCTAATAAGCCCCACACTTTCACGGGCCCATTCCAAGGCCTTGTACCTGATTGGGTATTCATGATTGCGTATTACTTTTCTTAAAAAAGAGCCCTGGAATTGTACAGACTTCAAGCACTGCCAAACTTGATCCATCCCTGCAGCCTTGTTTCCTTAGCAGCCATTTGAGCTCTAGCTCTTGGCAGCATTAGCTCAGAAATCAGAGACAGAGAGCCACCCCTGCTCACTGCACCCTGCCCCCCTCCACATCCCCCAACACAACCCCTTCCATGCATCATGCTCAACAAACCAATCTCAATCTCTCTCTCTCTCTTTCTGTTCCCTCCTGTCCCCAACACCCAAATACTAAAGTTCCTCCAAAAGGAATATCTATACACCATCAAATCCATTCTGAGACACAGACAGGGTCTTCAAGAGAGTTTGCTGACTTGGAGAACATCTCACAAATATAATCTGTTAACAAGGTGCCCTGGGATCGAGCTCTGGAATGCTGGGGCAGAGTCTACAGGCCTCCCAGGTGGGCTTATGTCTGGCAGATTCAAGGGTCAGATTCAAGTGTGATTCCTAAGGCCCCTGGGCTGTCTGTGCACACTTGAGCAGTGCAGATGCCAGTGCCCTCTGCACACACTATCCCCACCTCTGCATCCACAGCATACATCTCACATTCCAGTGATGGCTCTTACCAGTGATGTCATATCGGCTCTTGGGGTCACTGCTCTTGGGCACAGTGACCTCAGCTACCTCCTGTCCTGTCATGGGGCCATATCGCAGCTTGTAGTAGTCCACCTCAGTTGAGGGGTTTTCCCACTCCACGTCAAGGGAGTTCTCAGTCTCATCTGTCACCCAGGCAGTGCCAAGCACAGCAAGGTCTAGGGCAGGGGTGACGGAGGCAAGAGAAAGTGGTGAAGAGCAGAGGTTCCAAGGTTCTGTGACAGGCTGTTGGTTATCAGGTCAGCTCCCTTTCTTGACATCTCAAGAGCTGGCTTCAGCCCCAGGACACAGTTCTTAGCAGGTGTCTTTGAGCTACCAAAGTAGCAACTAAGCTGCTGGTTTTCACATATTCCATGGGCAGACTGTCTTTTGGGAAAGCCTCCACTTCCCCATCCCATCAGAGGCCATGTGGTCTTCCCTGTCCACACTGACTTTGGCCAAGCCCAAACTGTACCTCTCAGGTTGGCCACCCAAACCACTCAGTCCAGAGCTCTGACAGCTACAGCCCTGAACTAAAGGCCCACTCTTCAGCTGCAGAGCCCCTGCCCTCTAAGACGACCTCAGGATAAGCAGCTCAGGCACTTCCACGGAAAGTGGAGAGAATCTATTTCAAACTTTCTCAAGGACAACATTGGTAATCCAACAAGCTCCTTCCTCCATCTCCCAAATTGCAGCCCTTGCCTCTCAAATTCTCCTCTAAGGATGAACCCTAGGCAAAACTATAAAGTAGGTGAATTTTAACTTGGTCCATCTGAGTGTACTTCCTGCTATTTTTACCAATTTTAGCACTTCCATCTGGTACCTGGTATTCTCATGCTGCCCAATCTGTCTGTCCTGTGAAGGAAGAGAGTTATTGTATACATTTATTCATAGTAAAGTATTAACGGCTAAATGTTTACTCTTCTACTCAGAAAAAAAAAAAAACATGAAGTTACAGTGATTAATACAAAGGAATGGATCATTGCTACAGCTCTAAGGGGAGAACTTTTCTAGGGATGGGAGGACTAGGGTCTTTGAGAAGCACTTCAAATTCCAACAGCCATATCCCAGGCTGAGGGAGCCTGGCCTTCTAAGTTTTTGACAGGAAAGCCAAGGCCCTCCAATTCTCAGGCTTCCCCTCTTCATCAGTCACGCCCCCACCTTCACCTCCCTGGAGGTGTCTCCACCCAGGCCTACTGACCACTGACGGATGATGAAGGATCGAGAATTAGTGTCAGGCCAGGTGTGAACTCAGTGATCTCAAGGTCCCTGGGCTCTGAACGTCCCCGATTCAATCAGTTATGGATAAAGAGCCTCACAGAGCCTTTTCTCTGAAGCTTTTCCTCTCACCCACTGGCTTCCATCTGCCAGGTGCTGTTTTTAGACTCCCATTAAAGATGGAATTCCCTGAAGGCCAGGTCAAGAGGTGAGTAATAAATGTGACTTGAGGCTTATATAAGAGTTCCTACATGGTGTAAAAGAATTGGGAGGGAATCACAAATGAAAAAGCAAGGACTTAATGAGAATGTTCACGATTATGGTGGGGATGAGTACCTCTTGTCTTAGGCTCCCCTGAGGAGCAAATAAGAATGTGTTTAACCTGAATCAGATTAGAAAGAAAGAGAAACTTCACACTTGCAGAATTTTACAAATCCCGAGAGCAAGATGGATGAGGGGTTGCTAGGACTTTCAGAATAGGCATCTCTGTGCTGCACTGGGAGGCTTTGGACACAGTGCTAGCTGTACCAGAGGCAGCCACAGACAAAATGGGGAAAAAGAGAAAAGCAGACTCTGCCAGCCAGAATGGGCCTGGCTCCCACAGTGAGGACTTGGTGTCTCCTATTGAACATAAACCATTTCACAGGACATCAATGTCAGGTCACTCTGTGACCGCATAGATCAAGACAAAAACAAGACACTTCCATGATCAACTCTGAACACAGACAAAAACATGACCATTGTCCAAACCACACAAATAGCTGAACACCCACTCTCCTGACTACTATGAGTGATGGCCACTTCTGTTACAATCACCAACTTCAGCCTCTCAGAGGGGAGAGGCTCTCCCCACTTCTTGACAGCACCCAATCCCTGCTTCCTTACACCTTCCCCCAAATTACCTAACACAGGCCCAGATTCTCTAACCAGTCCTTTCTAACGCTGTCTTACTGAGATACCTCTATGGTCCCCCATAGTGTGCAGTCACCCATGCTAGAACAATCAAGACACCCAAGTTGTTCAACTACAGGGGTGCTCCTGGGGGTCTTTAGCTTGAGGGCACTGACAAAGGTAATCACATATGGTGACCTCATGATGGCCAAGTCTCTCACAGCCCTTTCCAACACTGACCCATCCCCACCTCCACCCTAGTCCCACCACCATAAAGGACAGGCAGCTTGATGTCTCTGCAAAGACAACTGCATGCCAAAGTTCCATCCATCTGTATCTTCCTAGATCTTTCCCTAGAAGTTTAGGGCAGGATGGAGGCAGTGCATTTTTAGCACCGAGAACAGTGCCTGACAAATGGTAAGTGCTCAATAAAAATGTACTGTGTGAAGGAATGAGTTAGTCATTCAACCAACTACGTTTCTCCAAATCCTTGAAGATCTAAGCTGCTTTAAGAATGTTCACGAGGAGACAAGAATGTTTAAAGAGTAAGCAGTGATGCTAATCCTTCTAAACATTTTGGTGGCATTTGCTGGTGCACAGGAGATTCTGTTTCTCCAGATCAAGCCTCCACCATCCTCCATCTTGTTCTGTACCCCAGGCTGTGATCTCTGTGAATTGAGTCTGCCTGTTTACCTGACCCTTTGGCTTCCAGGTTCAGCTAGCAGGAATCACCAGCAGATCAGAGGGCAGGAGACAGAATTCTTTGGAGACACGGTGGACTGCCTGCATCCCTCTACCAAAACAACCCTACCAGGCAGCTCTTTTCTACAGCTCTCTCTGGGTCCAAGTACCAACATCTATCCCTTGCCCCTTCAGGCAGGAGAGTATCCTTATTGATGCAGGTCTTAGTGTGTCACCATCCAACCCCTACCCACACCTTTGTGAACAATCTGTTAGTTAAACTTTGAAATTTCATTTACCCCATTTGTGTCCTGTCTTTCCCACGAAGATGAATCTAACTGATACAGGTGGCTTCAGCAGCCTCTCACCCATACCTATCTGAACTTTCTGAATGGCTTTGGGGGTTCAGTAAGAGACTGGGGATTCATGTCTACACTTTGACTGCTTATGAGAAGGTGCAGACCCAAATAATCTCAGGGACAGAGAAGACCCCATGAGCCCCCATCTAGCAGGTCTTCATGGGCTTGGAGAACCCAGTAATCAGGGAGCAAGGAAAGAAGAGAGAGAACTGGGACTCTTCAGAACCTAGGATTGTGGCAGGTGTGTTTTTCAAACCCCTAATCAAGGCAACTGCCTACAGGTGTTTAATGAAAGAAACCATTTAGAATGGGGCCTCTCCTGGGAACCCTGGGGCATCAGGTGGCTTCCTCACCTGTGGTGGCAAGTAGATGCTGTGGGCTGCTAGAAACTTCATTCTTGACGTTACGCAGGGTGACTATGTACTTGGTTCCAGGCAGCAAACCAAGAATCTCATAGCTGTGCTGCTCCTTGGGCACTTGGATCTGCTTCCCAGAGAGCTCCTTCCCCAGGGGGTAGTAGCTGAGGAGGTAGTGATCCACCTGGCTGGAGGGCTCCCAGCTCACCAGCAGAGAATCCTCCGTGTTCTTGAGCAGCTGCAGGCCCTGTGGGGTGACCACTGCAGGCAGAACAGGAACAGGGCAGAGAGGGTGAGCAAGGGAGGCGATCCAGACCCAGTGAGTATTCCCTGAGCACTATAAGGGTGGGTGTGCAGGATGCAGACCTGTGTAAGGCGCCATTCCCGACCCCTAGAAGTTATTATCCGAACGACAGGTAATTAATACTGACCCCCTCACCACACACACACACACACTCACACACAGCCATTAGATCACAAGACCAGTGGTCCTCAAGGTTAGGGCCTCTAACCAGCAGCATCAGCATCACCTGGGAACTTGTTAGAAATGCAAATTCTTAGGCCCCATCGCAGAATCAGAAACTCTGGGGTTGGGACTCAGCAATCTGGCGTAGGCTAAAGGAAGAGACCCCCAAAGATGACAACGTGTAATTGAGGGTTAAATGGTGCATTGGAAAGAAGAGTCCGGCGGCCCGAGGGCACATCTCCGCTCTCACCCTGGGCACAGTCCAGGCCTGTGAAGCCCTCCTCGCAGTAGCACTCGCCCGTGTCACAGAAGCCGTGGCCGCTGCAGTCGCCGGGACAGCGCTTCTCGCTGCAGTCCTCCGACATGAAGTCTTCGTGGCACTGGCACACGCCGCGCACGCACTCGCCGTGTCCGCTGCAGTTCTCAGGGCAGGCCGGGTAGCCGCAGTCGGCACCCACGTAGGGCTCATGGCACAGGCAGCGCCCGTCCACGCAACGCCCGTGGCCGCTGCACGCCCCGGGGCAGGCCAGCCGCTCGCAGGCGGGGCCCTCCCTGCCCTCTTCGCAGTGGCAGCTGCAGGTCTCCAGGGAGAAGGTCCCGTGGCCGCTGCAGTGGCGGCTTAGATCTGGGAGGGAGAGGAGAAACAGTAGGTTGGGTTGAAGGGTTGTGCGTGGGGATCTCCTTCCTCTGAGATCAGCCATGCAAGACCCAGAAATCATTAGCCCCACTCTTAAGGGTCTGGTGATTTCTGGGTCTTGCACGGCTATTTTTTGGAGGATGGTGGAGCTCCACAAGGGAGAAAAGGTGTTGGCCCTTTCCAGCCTGGGCCAGGCTTTCTAATCTGTGACATCTGCAAACGTCTCCTTCTTTCTCTGCCTGAAAAGGCTGCAGGACCCACCCTTCTTTCCTTTCCCTTCCCGTGTGAATTCCCCGGTTCCTTCCTCTCTACCTGGTGGTCATTATTTAGTGCCTTCCTATGGAGGGGCCTTAAATGCTCCACCCTGGCCAGCTGACACTGCAGGGCAGGACTCCTGGGGGGAAAGTGAGATCCAGGGAGGTTGGAGTTTGCTGGAACTAGCAAGGCTGGGACCTTGTGAAATGAGCCCAGATTGAAGTCTGGAAAAAACGGAACTGCAGAAGCTACAAAATAGCCTACTCTCAACTATGGGTACAGTGGAGAAGGGATTTAACCAGGCTCCCCTCTCTGACCCTACACAGCAAGAGGCAGCTGGAGGGCAGACTGGTTAGTGCAGTCTCCTCTGTGGCCCAGCTTCTGCTTTTCAGAACACCTTCTTTCCTTCCTAAAAACGCTTCCAAAGTGGGAGCTCCTCAGAAGCAAGTCCATGCTGGTTATTCATGGCAGTGTCCCTGGTGCCGAGTTCTGTATCTGGATCTGATGGTTAAGGTGCTCTTTACCATAGCAATTCCTTCAGGCATGAAATCCTATGCCAAAGTACTGTTCATTATCATTGGATCAGCCTGGGCAGTTTATGTTTAAAAGTGACGGGGTTGCGTTGGGGGAGAACCTTCATTATTTGTAAAATTAAATTGTAATTATTTTACAATTATAATTGTAATTTTTACTAATAAAATAATTATAATTTACTGATTTGTAAATTCCTCTAAGGGCCAGGAATCTTCTACACATCATCTCTAGTTCTCAGAACTATACTAGCTGATAGAATCATCCCTGTTGGACAGTTGAGGAAACATAAGGGATTTACCCAAAGTCACACAGCTAAAAAGTGGTAGAACTGGGATTTGTAACCTGTCTTGTCTAGCTCCAAGGCCCTATCTTTCCTGTGTATCCCATTGCTTCCTCTCTGAGTAGCGCTTTGATTCACAGGTATGACGGCTCCTGGAAGCATTCCCATCTGGAAGCAATAGGCCAGGAGTCTAGACTCTCTGCAAGAGCTGCTGGTCCCTCCCTGCTCAGCTTCCAGATGCCCCCTGGAGCTAGTACCAGTGAATAAATGAATAAATAGCAGGGATGGGCCCCCTAGAGAAAACCCAGAATGAGAAGTAGGAGCACACCAGAGTCACAAAGTGCTCATGAGGCTAGTGGAAACCCTGGCACATAATAGGTGCTCATCAAATGTTTGTTGAATGAATACCAGGTGGTGAGCTCACCAGTGACTCCCTGGCAGCAGCGCTGGGCACTACACTGTTCCTTCATCTCCACCATCTCTTCCTCCAGCTTCTTCACCCGGGCCAGGAGGTCCTGGACACTGCCTGCCAACTCGCAGTCCTTCTGTGGCGTCTGAAGGCGGATGTTGTGCCTGAAGATGATGTTCTGTTCCTCCCTGGCCTCCCCCAGGGCCAAGAGCGAAGCCCCATCGTCACTGAGGGGCTGAGGGTCAGCGTCAACCTGAACCAAGGCAGACTTGGGCACATCGATCTTGTAGGTGTGGCTGACAGTGACCTGTTGCTCCTTGTTGCTGCAGCCGGGAGGCTCCAGAGTGGCTGGGGCCGAAGCCACCAGGAGCACAGAGCCAAGCAGGAGCCCCATAGGGAAGCGGAACATCTCCTGGAGACTCATCCTTGGAAAGACAGGGAGCAGACCCTCCAGGATGCCTGTATTCAGAAACATTGCAAAAGAAAGCCACGGAGATGTGCTGAGGGAAGCTGGCTTTTTTTTTACCAGATTCTAAGAGCCCAAGGAAGCTGGGAAACCAGCAGAAAGAACTCATTCTATTTCTCCCAAGGATCCGAACCAAATTACTTTCTGTTCCTGCCTCACAGATTGCATATTCCTGCCTCCTCTCTTTGCTTACTGTTCACACTGCCCAGGATGCCCTTCTCTTCACCTCTCATTCTAGGCTCACCTGCACTTATTAATAATAAGAAGAGCAGCTCTCTTGTGTTGACAGCCTATTGTGTGCCACGCTTTGATCCCCCTAATTCTGGATCTTTACAGCAACGCTAATATTATCCTCCCTTTTAACAACATCAACAATATGAGCTGCACATAGAGCACTTGCTATGTGACAGGCACTATTCTAAATGTTCTAAGTGTTTCACATTTATTAACTCATTCCATTCTCACAATTGTTTGTTGGAATATACTATGATGACCCCCATCTTATAGATATGGAAACTGAAGCACTACTACTTTAAATGACTTGCCAACCAGCACCCAGCTCAGAGTGGCAGGATTTGAACCCAGGCAATCTGACCCCAGAGTCCATGCTCATCCCCACAATGCCATGCTGCTTTGCACAGATGAGAAAGCTGAGCAAGTTGTCCTGAGTCCCACGGCCAGGAAGAGCAGAACCTGTACTCAGACCCAAGTCCACTGACTGCAGGGCCAGCATCCTGCTCACGAAACTCACTTGTGAACCAGTAAAACATAAGAATTTCTAATAAAATTACCTGCTCCACAAAGTCTTCTCTCCTGTCCCCCTGCCTTACCCAGCTGGAGACTAGCTTCACTTCTGCTAAGCATTCAGAGAAATGGACCTGTCCCTCACTGCTGGTCTCTTGAGCGTTGACCTGGTGTTACAGTTACTCTTGTATGCAGCTTGTCTTAGGCCGTGAGCCTGTTAAGGACAGGACTGGGCTGATTCATCTTGGGGCCCTCCTGTGGCAGGAGCACTGTCACACATGCGGAGAGGTTTGGTCACTGTTTCTCAAATCCATCCGTGCATGGGTGGCCTGGTTTGTCAGTCAAGCCAGGCGACCTGAGATGGGGCAGGTGGTTAGGTTTTTCCTCCTCCTTCACCAGGAGGTGGTGTCTTCACCACTGTCAATGAGCAGAATTACTCTCTCCAGCCATTTCCCCTTGTGCCCCCAACCCCCATCTAGGACGGCCCATTCTTTGCACACTAACAAGCTGAGGCAGGACAGACCACAAGAGACCCAGCTTTCACCTCACATTTTGCTCACAGGAACCTCAGTCACAAGATACATCCCAGTTGGGCTTGCATAGCAGCAGTTATCTAGAAAGTGATCTGCAGAGCTGTCTCTTGACAATGGGTTTCTGTAACTAACCCAAGACCTGCAATTATTTATGCCAAAATTTGAAGTCAGGAAACACAGTCCTCTCCTGTGGTCTGTGTTTTGCTTGAGCACAGGCTCTCCCTGCCCGTGGTGAGAGGCAGTTGGGATATGGTGGAAAGGCACCTCAGACAGGCTGTAGGATGTGCATCCCTAAAAATGCTCCTCATCCTGAGCCTCCGCCTCCTTGTCTGTAACGTGGGAATGACAGCGCGTCACCCCTCTTAGATGTGAACAGCAGTGAGCACTATGTCTGGTATGTGAGCAAGGATTAGTCAAAATTTTGAGGTTTATTTTATTTTCAATCGATTTACTGAATGTGACTTCCTTTTCTTCCTCATCTGTTCTGCTATAAAGAATAATGCTGGCCGGGCACGGTGGCTCACATCTGTAATCCCAACACTTTGGGAGGCCATGGCAGGAGGATCACTTGAGGCCAGGAGTTCGAGACCAGTCTGGCCAACATGGTGAAACCTTTCTCTACTAAAAGCACAAAAATTAGCCAGGTGTGGCGGTGCACTCCTCTAATCCCAGCTTCTTGGGAGGCTGAGATAGAGAACTGCTGGAACCCGGGAGGCGGAGGCTGCAGTGAGCCGAGACCATGCCACTGCACTCCAGCCTGGGCGACAGAGCAAGACTCGATCTCAAATAATAATAATAACGCCTAGGTTGAAAGGCATCTTTCAACTATATTGATTATAAAAGGAAGAAATATTTCTAGCCACTAAGCCAAATTCTAGTAATATGTAAAATGTTTAATTTTAATAGTCATCATTCATTTAGTATCAGGAAGTTGAGGAAACAGGGGGTGAAGAGCCCTGGAAGAATAAAAGAAGAAGAAGAATCACAATAGCATGAAATGCTAAATGTTATTTACTGAGTTGCTGCTACGCACTAGGCATTGGCTGGGTGCATTATTCCTCGTAATTAATCCCCAGAGCTGCCATGTAAGGTCAGTGTTCCTCTCCTCACTCAAAAGGTAAGGAAACCAGATCTGAGAGGTAAAGTCATTTGCCAGGGTTGCCCAACAACGAAGTGGCAGAGCCAGGATTCAAACGCAGACCCATCTGATTGCAAGCCTATGCTTGCTCTGTGCCAATATGACATTCTGATACAAATGACAAATGAGCGCAGTTAGATACATGTCCCTATGCAATGCTTTCATCCATTATACATGTTGTACCCAAGGGATGTGACACCACTGTGAATTAAGCAGAATGGTACCTATGAAGGGTTTTTCTTTGTGTTACCCCTTTGCCCTCCCACTCCTTCATGGCTCTTCCTATCACCAAAAGCATGTATTGTTGATAATAATAAAAGCTCACTTCTTCTGAGAACTGACTGCATTTCAGGCACTGGACTCAACACCCGGCAGATGGAATGGAATAGTCAATGGGACACTTCTTGTTGTCTTGTGACTTGGACCATGGGTAATAAGTGCCTGCACACTTCTTTTTTTTTTTTTTTTTTTTTTTTTCAGACAGGATCCCATTCTGTCGCCCAGGCTGGAGTGCATTGGCACAATCACGGCTCACTGCAATGTCCACCTCCTGGGCTCCAGTGATCCTCCCACCTCAGCCTCCTGAGTAGCCGGGACTACAGGTATATGTCACAGTGCCTGGCTAATTTTTGTATTTTTTTTGTGGAGATGGGGTTTCACCATCTTGCCCAACCTGGTCTCGAATTCCTGGGTTCAAGCAGCCTGTCCACCTCAGCTCCCCAAAGTGCTAGGATTACAGCCATGAGCCACTACACCTGGCCGTGCCCACACATTTCAAAGACAGTGTGCCACTGGAGGTTTGGGGGTTGGGGGTGGGGTCACGGTGAATTAGTGGGGGTGGCAGGCAAAGAGACTGGTGCCTGATTCTGGCCCGGAGGAATTCACAGGTGGAAGCTTGGCTGGAACAGGCTGCATGGCAGAGAGAGGAAGGGGGCTGCAGTGTGAGAGGACTGAAACTCAGACTTTGGCGAGGCCAAGTTGATGTCACAGAAATGAGGCATGTTAGAGCTACCAAGAGGGCAGTTCAGGGCCCGAGCTGAGGTGCAGGTCCACCGTTCAGCAGGAGTGTGCCACCCCAAGGGGGCGACTGCAGCAGGACATGCCCAGTGGGTGGGAAGGGGAATATCTAAAGATCCCACAGAAGCTCCCCACAAAGGAGGGGTGGCCCAGCACTGGAAGCATTCACCATAACAAGGGCATCCAACAGAGGGAACCACAACAGCCCCAGTAAAGTAAAAGTGCCCTCTCCCTTCTTTTCTAACCCTCACCTCGCCCCAGGCAGCAGCAAACTGGTGAAGCCAGAAGCAGCCATGCATGTTAAGGAGAGAGAAGTGGAGGGAGGAAAGCCCCAAGCCCCTTCCCTCCAGCTTCTCTGCAGGTTCCAGCATCAGGTCTGAGCTGAGAAAGAAGAAAAGATGTGGCCTGGATGAGAGACTGAGGCTCAATACTGAAATGGACTTGCTTTCACAAAAGCAATTCTCTTCTAAGACCAAAAGCCACCAGAAAAGCTCTGGAATCTGCTTGAGATTTTTGTCAGAAGATGGGGGGAGTGGGAAGCCAGGAAAATGAGTTGGAAGGCAGGTGTAGGATAAAAATAATGATATTTCACAACGGCCATCCTTAGACGTTCATCACAAAGATAAAAGCCACACGCTATTCTCCACTTGATCCCCAGGATAGGAACTGAGGCTCAGTGGCATTGAGCAACTGATTATGCAATTGATGAGCACACGGCCACAGATGCAATCCCAGATGCACAGTGTCCAGCAATGGAGCCACTAATCCCTATACACTTCTGCCGTTCACCAGTAACAACGCATATTGATCTCTAAAGCACCTACTGTGTTCATGGCAGCACATGAGTTTCCACTGTCCAAAAATCTTCTTCCTGGGCAAAAATAGGGCTGAAAAAGCAGACTTCTCTGCCCGTGCTTTCCATCCGACCCCCCACCCCCAGCCTGAGACATAAATGAAGTGCAGATGGTTTTCTGAAGAAGTTCTCAACGAAAGCAAAAAAAAAAAAAAAAAAAAAAAAGCCGTGGACTCTTGCCATCAACCACAGTAAGGCTGCCCAGAGCCCAGGTCTACAGCATTTGTTTTTGTAGCCTGGAATATGAGAACTCCCACAAGTCCCTGTTGGAGCCCTTGGTGTTGCCTGTCCTTCTGATTTGTAACAAGATGTCCTCATTAATTACTGCCTCTCAGATTCCACAAGTTGCGCTCAGATTTTCCTGGGTAGGTTGATTGTTCGAAAGAAGATGAGAGCAAGGGAAATCCTCAACCTAACATTCTGTCAAGTGTAATGAGCAAGAAGAGAAGCCTGCTGGCTCTCACTCCAACACGTGGCAGGAAAGAGACTCCTTGTTTAACAGCAGAAGGGAAGGATGACTTCATCGACTCTTTCAGTATGCACAGCAAACCACAGGCTGAGCTCCGCGAGGGTGGGGAGGGGGCAGACAGGGCAGAAGATTTTTCTGAGCAAAACGCAGGATGATACATTTCCAAATAGGGAGGATTATTCTGCTGAGGGGTATTTTCCCATGGAAAGTTGGGTAAATTCTGCAGGGATGCATGAAGCGAAGGGCATTTACATGCAGGAAATGTGTATGCAGGAACCACAGGAAACCAGTTGTCCCCAAGAATCATTGTCTTACAGAGGCTGGTCATGTCTTTAATTCTGACTGCAGAAGGGGTGTTGGGTGGTGTGGGAAGGTGGGAGGGAGGGATACATTAGACTCAGGAACAAATGCTGCCTTGTGTTGCTTTTACCAGAAAGGCTCTTTGAGGAGTACACGACTGACCATGGGCTGCATGGATGGTCCCCCTACTTCTGCCTTCAGATGTTGCAGGGCTCTATGCTTCTGCTGTGTTCTCTCTTGGTATCTGCATCTACCCCTGTGGCTTTAATTTCCAGCCAAATGTTGACAGTTGCCAAATCTGTATGCGTGTTTCTAGCCCAGGTATCCTTGTGAGCTCAGAGATGACAGAGAGGGCCATGACTGTGTTGATCCCCTCTGTATCACCAGCCTCATAGCACAGTCCTGCCAAAGTAATATTTTGTGAAGTAAGTAGTAATAGCCACTGGATTTGTGTGTGTCTGTGTATGTGTGCTTATTAGATAATGGACATTGTGCCAAACGCTATAAAAATTATCCTCATTTAATCCTCAAAGTCCTGGGAGTCAGTTGATATCATTCTTTGTGACAGGTCCTCAGAGAAGTTAAGTAATTTGCCAAAGGACACACAGCTAAAAAGCAGCAGAGCTGGGATCACACACCAGGTCTGTCCACTGCCTGCGTCTGTGTTCTTCATCTGTCTGTTATATGTCCTGTATATACAAAACAAAAACAAAAACAAAAAAAACACCAGATGTCCTCCGTTCTGCCATGTGTTTTTAAGAGAGGGTTACTTCCTCTGAGTGGTGCCAAGGATGATCCACTGGGGACATGAATTGCATTTCCCTCACATAGAGGTTAAGTCCCAGTCAATTCTCATGAGAAGCTGGAGAATTCCCTTCCTAGGAAACACCAAAGTGCACAGATACTTCTGTCTGCAGGGGCAGATGGCATCCAAGCCTTGGCCAAGGGAGGAGGATGGCCCCTGAATCCTGATGGTCCTCTTGGACCCCAGGGGTGGATGGTTTCTGTGTCACCTCATTTTCCCCAAAGAAGGACACACACCCTGGGTCAGGAAAAAAAAAATACTACTTACGCCAAAGAAGAGAGGTAGCCAATTTCTAGCCACTGTTACAGACCTTTATACTTAAATTCAGGGCTTTCTCTGGTTCCCTTATTATCTCATCCTGCCTTGACAGTTAACCACAGGAAAATGAAAGCACTGCTTTGGGTTTTAGAAAAAGTGTATCATCATGGATTTCCAACAGAGTCACTTAAGAAGATATTCTGTCCCCAAATGACAGGGTGGATATCATTAAACTATGAAGGAAAATGAGGGAGATGAGTGGCTAGGGATGCATCAATGTCACAAATGTCACTGGCAAACTTGTCACTCCTTCCTTAACTCTCTTTGGCATATATTGCTAATGATCTGCAGCTTGGGCCCTGGGTGACTCAGGGGCCTTCCCTGTACTTCCCAAGTAACCTGGTCCAGGACAGCAAGTTCTCAGCTGGCTGAGGAATCTACCCTGGCTCAACTCACCTTGAACTAGAGGCTTAGGGGACCGATTTCACCTCTGTATCTCTTTCTCCTTCAGATCCAAGAAAATGGATATACAAGGGAGGTCTGTCTCTCCTAGGTTAAACTCCAGTAGAAGCAAGTACATACAAACATTTTTATTTCTAGTCTCTGTGATGTTGAATATAGGATTGCATATAGGATACAAGACAGCTAAGTATGGAAGAGAATGGAAATTTGGTTTTATGTGATAGGGCTTAGTATGGTCACATTCTGGGTATCACTCTGTCCCCCCATTCTCCTAGTTCTGTGGGATACCCAGGGAGTGTCCAGGAAGTCCTTGGAGATGACTCTCACACCACCGTGCTAGAACCCTTTTCCTGGAGAGCCATCCCATCAAGTCTGCCCACCCGCCTGAGGCTTGAAAAGATCAAGGATGGTGTCCTGACCCAGCCTCAGCACTCAATCACTTTTTCAGGGGTGACCACAGGCTCATTTTGTTTTGTTTTGACAACTGACTCTTAATCTGCCTTGCAAAGGCTCAAATGAGTGATGATAATGGTAGCTACCATTTTCTATGCATTTATTACATGCCAGGCTCTGTGCAAAGCACTTTAAAATCTCCTCTTGGACATCAGGCAAAGATGTTCATTTACCCCCAGAGAATGAATCACTTTCTCACAGCAAGAACTTCCTTTAGCTTTTGTGGGACCAAGCTCATGCACAATAACAAGATAAAATAGACACGGGACCTAAATTCAGGAACCTTCCTCTCCCTTATTCAACCAAACAGCCAGTCCCCAGAATGACTAAATATTACTTTGTATACAATTAGCCCTAATATCCATGGGTGTGAGGGGCGTCAGATTAAAACAAAACAAAACAAAAAACTCTGCAATTTCTTTCTTTAGCTAACGTGTTGTTTTCCACATATTGAAGTAACTTTAAAGTTCCAGTCTTCTAGCAAGGAGGAGAGCGTTTGCTAATTTCCAAGCATTTGCACTGTTCCACTCACACTCGCTGGGTACAGATTCAAATGGTGGCTGGGCAGCATTAGCAGTGAGTCCACTGTGGCAGAAGCAGCAAAGTCCCTGTCCATCCAGAGATCAGGCCTGAGATCTTAGCAACTTCTGCTCACAGACTGGTGGCTCCAGATGTGGCTACAGGACCTAAACCATGATCTCATGTCTGTATCCAGATCCTATAGGAGCCAAGGCTCTGGAATGAGCAGTGAATGGACAAAAGTTTCCACTGGGCCTGGGCACAATTTCCTCAGGCATCTTCTCAGAAAGAGAGCTCTGCCCACCCTACATTTCAAACCACAGAGCAGCACTGGACTGGAAAACCAGAAGCCACGGGATGATTTGAAATCATTTGTTCTATTTTCCCTCCTTCGGGAGTCAGCTGCAGCCTATAAACTGGGGACAAAGCAGTACTTAGAGTTGTATGAAAGAATGCCAGGTGCCTTCTTCCCTTCTCTCCTGGAAAAATGATACCAGTATTGATACTCTATTTTTTCCTGTGTCTGACACTGTCACCTTGATTCTGAGTCTGCAACAAATGTCTGAATGTCAAGAGGCCAGCTGCCAATACGTAGCCCTGACCGAGCAAGGTATCATCTGATGCCTTGGTGACACCTCAGCTTTTCCAAGAACCAGTGGATTTTAGGCACTGTGGCTAACCTGTGTCCCAATGTGGGCAGTTTGTTACTTTTATGTTGGAACTTGTTCTTTTTTTTAATGCTTATATAAGCAACACAGGTTTCATGCTTTTAAGTGAAGCCCTGCCTGTTCTCATTCATTCTTTCTCCATCCTTCCCCCAGATCTCTCCCAAGCACAAAAATTAATAAATAAGTAAAAAGTAAGACCTCCAAAAACTAGTTTTTTTTGTTTGTTTGCTTTGTTTTGTTTTTGTTTTTTAGATGGAGTTTTGCTCTTGTTGCCCAGGCTGGAGTGCAATGGTTCAATCTCGGCTCACCGCAACCTCCACCTCCCAGGTTCAAGCAATTCTCCTGCCTCAGCCTCCCAAGTAGCTGGGATTATAGGCATGCGCCACCACGCCCGGCTAATTTTTTGTATTTTTAGTAGAGACGGAGTTTCTCCATGTTGGTCAGGCTGGTCTCGAACTCTCGACCTCAGGTGATCCACCTGCCTCAGCCTCTCAAAGTGCTGGGATTACAGGCATGAGCCACCATGCCCGGCCAACCACATCATTTTTTTAGATGTCTTGAAATGTTTTCTTTGAGGTATTGTGAGGGTAATAGTATGGGGATTTCGAGAGAAGTTGTCGTCTTAACAAATAATAATTAAAACCTGTAAAATTAAATGTCTGGAGATACTTCAAAGCTGTTCAAATGTGTTTGCAAACATCCCCTTAACTGATTCACACAAAATCCAGACAAAGGGAAAGTTATCATAGCTTCCTAATCATAACTAAAATAACAATTCTGTTTTAGGATTTAAAAGAATAATGAAATACAACAATACTAAATTATCCAAAAAAAGACAGAGAGAGAGAAAGCTTTGACATTGTAAGTAAGTTAAAAAGAAAAAAAAATGAGAAGGAACATCTTAAAGGAAACATTTTATACAAAAATGTGTTACGCCAGGTAGAAGCTGATACAACACAGACGCATCTGTGTTGCAGGAAAGAGGATAACTATGCTTAGCCCTGTCTGAGACTGGAGTATAATACTAAGGATGCAGTACACGGGTCCTGAGAGGTACTTCCCAATTCATTTTAACTCTTCATGGAGGTGATAGGAGACTAATTACACTGCCCGGATTTTCAGGCTCGGGAACGGAGGCACCTGAGCCACCACTTTTGAGCTCATCTGCATTGGCCACCTCCCTCCCTCCAGTAAGTAAAGCTTGGGCAACTGGCACTCTTACCTGGGAGGCTGCTGGGTGCCTCTTCCAATGCTGCTGCTCCTGTGAGCCGGTCTCCTCCTGCCGCAGACCTTGGTACTTGCTGGTCGTCCCTGGTTCTCGTCTCTCCTTGGCTTCCCTTCCTGGGTTTAAATCCTGTCTAGGCCAGAGGAGGAGCAAATGGAGACTCCTGGTGTTTTCCTCCCTTCCTAGCAGGGACTCTGCTAAAAGATAATGAGCAATTCCTTCTCTTATTCTAACTAGGAAAGAAAAATATATACATTTCCTTCTTCTTTTTCACTTTGATTACACAGCAGCTAAAAATACTGGAGGCTGTTTCCATTTAAGTGAATCCAGAATAAGGATATTAAAAGAGTTTGCCTGTCTCCTGGCCAGGAGCTGGGTCTCGGGGTTCAAAAGTGCATTTATAAAGTTTCTTTCTCTTTTTCCTGTTTCAGGCATTCTGGGACTTCCTGCCTACTGCTTTTAAAATGGGAAAAAGCCTTTAGCACAGAAAGAAATGAGCAGAGACCCTCAGGGACAGAAGCTCTTCTGACTTCCCTCCTCCTTCATCCATCGTCTCACACTTGTGAGTGGCAGGACTCTGAAGTGGGGGCAGGAATAACAGACTGGGGACATTCGGTCCCACAAGCCCACTCTGACCCTCACCCCATCCCAAATGCCTCCCACACGCCAACAGTACAAGAGCTCCAAAATCAGGAAAGAATAGTCGTGCCCCTTTCTGGCTGCCCTTCCTCTTTTGCCCTCAGATGGACAGGCCTTCATCCTTCCTATGAACCAGAGTCATTTCAATAGGGCATGGGCTGACACCTGCCACCCTTCCTTACACCCCATCCCTCTCCTGCTCTGTGGGAAGTAGATTCTGGAGTGCAGATCCACAACAAAATGAAGGAGACCATATGTTTCCAGTTCACCTATGTCAGCATCAAATGCTGCTGGAGGGAAAGGAGAAGGAGAGACGGGGGACCAAAAAGTGGCCCCCAGAAATTGGAGGGGGGTTCCCAGAGGCAGCTTGCCTGGATCTGAAGCTTGTGTCTGCTACTTGCAAATGACCTTTGACAACTTCTTTGTGGCTCAGCTTACTCGTCTGTAAAATAGGAATAGTGTCTTATGGTTATTGTGAGGTTCAAATGAGTAGATGGGGTAAAGAACTTAGACTAGTCCCAAGACACAATGAGGACTTGGTAAAGATTACCTGCTACCATGATTATTATAACTTTTTAATTCTCCTTATGTATCCCACTAAATCATATTTGATCCTCTCCACCTCAGTCCAGGTAGGTTCATAGTTCTCTGCCCTTCACTTACAACCACAAATAATCCTGCTATCTGGCCCTGGAATCTGGGCCAGCCATATACAGAGGTGACCAGTGCAGTAGGAACCAGGGTCACCAGAAAATTTCCCAACTCCCAAACATCTCTTTTCTCCCTTGGACTATTTTCTCTGCTTCTTAAAAGGGAAAATCTCTCCCAGAGGATCCTAAGACTCTATTGCGCCCTCAAGTTGCTCTCCTATTCTTAATTTCCTTTCACTAACTCTCCCCAAATGAGTGGTCTTCACCAACTCTCTCCGTGACCCCATTTTCCATGCCCTCAATAGGAATAACTAAACCAGTGCACCAGGCTCCTAAGAAGCCACCTTCCTCCAATCTCTCCTTATTACAGCTGGTATTAGTTAGTTGCAGGACATGGAGCTGTAGCAAAGAGACCCTCCAATGCAGTGACTTAACAACATAGATGATTTCTCCCCAAACAGTAGAAGACAGTGGCCCAGGGCTGGTAGGGCAGTGCCACCATCCACAGCACACACCCACCACTCTCTAGGGTCATCATCTCCCAGCCAACAGGAAGGGTAAAGGGATGAGGGCAGATGGAAGTGCGTGCTCATTCCTTACAAACACAAAAACAAAAACTTTTTATTTTATAATTATTTCAGACTTGCAGAAAAATTGCAAAAATATTAAAAGAATCCCTGTATACCCTTCACTCATATTCTCCAAGTGTTAACATTTTGTCATATTTGCCAATCATTCATTCTCTCTTAATAGTTTTCCCTGAAAACATTTGAGAGCAAATTAAAGACATGATTTATCTCTTTACCCATTTATGTCTAAAAACTTTAGTATAGGGTGTTTCCCAACAACAAGGGCATACTCTCTCATAACCTCAATACAATGATCAAAATCAGAAATTGACATTGACATAATACTATTGTCTAATTTACAGACGATATTCAAATTCCATTGATTGTTTCTCTAATGTCTTTTATAGCAAAAGAAAAATAATTTACAGACCCAGGATTCAATTCAGGATAATTAATTGCATTTAGTTGTCCTGTCTTTAAAATTTCCTTAAGTTGGAATAGTTCTTCAATCTTTATCTTTCATGACCTTAACATTTTTGAAGAGAAAACGTCAGTTATTTTAAAGAATGTCCTCAGTTTGCATTTGTGTGGTATTTTTTCATGCCTAGATTTAGGCCATACGTTTTTGGCAGGCAGCGGCAGAAGCGGCGTGTCTTTGGTCCATCACATCAGGAGACACTTGATGGCAGTCTGTCCCAGTGTTGGTGATGTTACCTTGGACCACTTGGTTAGGGTGATATCTGCCAGGTTTCTCCACAGTAAATATTTGCCCTTTTTTATTTAACAGGTATATTGTGGGATGATGTTTTTAAACCATGTAAATATTCTGCTTCTTTTTATATTTTCACTCACTAGTTTTAACACCCATTGTTGATTCTTGCCTGGAACAATTACTACTATGCTGGCTGCCAAATGGCGATTTTCCTAATTTCATCTTTCTTTTTATGTTTACTAGATAGAATTCTATTATAAAAAGTAATTTTTCTTCCCCCACCTTTATTTTATTAATCACCTTATATTCAAAGTGACTCATATTCTTTTTTTCATTCTATGGGTTATATTCCTGTACTATCATTATTTTGTTGCTCAAATTGCCCCAGATTTGGCCAGGGTGAACCCTTCAGGCTGGTTACTGTGTGCTTTTAACACACTTCCATCATTCTTTGAGTGTTTCCTTACTTTTGGCACAGCAAGATATTCCAGACTGATCTTGCACTTCTCCTACCCAGTCCTTTAGAAGCAGCCATTTCTCCAAATATCTTTATTTCTTTCTATTGGAGAATGATGCACATTTTGGATAACGCTAGAAAAGGAACACATCACTTCTTCTGCATCCCATTGGCCAGAATTTAGCCAATGTGCACATACAGCTGCCGGAGAGGCTGGCACAGTGGTTGTGTTCAACTAAACCTCAGGAGCTCTGTGAGTAAAGAAAGGAAGAAAGAATAGGGGTTGATGGGCAGCTTGAAGTCTGCCACAGAGCCTACCCAATCACTACCGGTATAGTGTTCTCCCTGAATTCTAAAATCTAATCATATCTTTTCCCTGCCCCAAATCCTCCAGAAACTCTCATTACTTACAGGATTACGCTTCTAAAGTTCTCTGTAATGCCCCATCATGCCCCTTCCTATGCACCTCCATATCCAAATTATTCCCCTGCTATTTATAAATACAAACCATCAGGTTTTTTTTATTTTTTACTTATTTTTTGAGACAGAGT
Organism: Homo sapiens; assembly: GCF_000001405.40. Classification (NCBI taxonomy): domain Eukaryota; kingdom Metazoa; phylum Chordata; class Mammalia; order Primates; family Hominidae; genus Homo; species Homo sapiens. The sequence continues at coordinate 175,064,354 of NC_000001.11, read as the reverse complement.
CTCACTCTGTTGCCCAGGCTGGAGTGCAGTGGTGAGATCTCGGCTCACTGCAACCTCCAACTCCGGGGTTCAAGTGATTCTCCTGTCTCAGCCTCCCGAGTAGCTGGGATTACAGGCACCCACCACCACGGCCGGCTAATTTTTATTTTTTTAGTAGAGGCAGGGTTTCCTCACGTTGCCCAGGCTGGCCTCAAACTCCTGACCTCAGGTGATCCACCTGCCTCAGCCTTCCAAAGTGCTAGGAGTACAGGCGTGAGCCACCACACCCGGCCCAAACCATCAGTTTCAACCAACTCAGCCTCCTCTCAGTCCCTGGTAAACATGATGCTCCTCCTTGTCTCCAGACACTGGTGATGCAGCCCCCACTTCTTGAAGTCAATCCCATCTCCACATCCAAGAGATCTGCTCAGATTTCCCTACTATAATAGCCTGAATCAATGTGAAATGTTTTTTTAACACCTGGCTTCAGAGTTTTTCTTAGAGAGATAACTCTCTTTGTTCAGGAAAATACTTAGGATCCTTAGGACAAGTTTGCAATGAAACAAAGAAACAAACAAACCAAAAAAAAAAAAATGCAAAACTGCTCTGCATGAAATAAATAGGAACTGGCAGTAGGAAAACAGAAAAGATTGTTAAGATTATGAAGGTCATGAGGCTAAGGCCTGGGGAGGAGTGGGGCAGGTGAAATAGGAAAATCACTTTTAAGAGCAAGAATGTCTACTCTATATTACATTGTTTGCTTTGCCTTTTTTTTTTTTTTTTTTTTGAGACAGTCTCACTTTGTGGCCTAGGCTGGAGTGCAGTGACACAATCTTGGCTCACTGCAACTTCTGCCTCCCAGGTTCAAGTGATACTCCTGCCTCAGCCTTCCAAGTAGCTGGGACCACAAGTGCCCACCACCACGCCTGACAAATTTTTGTACATTTAGTAGAGATGGGTTTCACCATGTTGGCCAGGCTGGTCTCAAACTCCTGGCCTCAAGTGATTCACCCTCCTTGGCCTCTCAAAGTGTCGGGATTATAGGTGTGAGCCACCAACCCTGGCTTGTTTGCTTTGTTTTCTATAAATCCCTCTTCCTGGTCCCAAACCTTAAGTTAAGTCTTCCACCCACACAAATGCTTTTTTTTAACTCATGTGATGGGGAAAGATAAACCAAAAGACAGGAGCTACATCACACATCTGGGTCAGCACTGCACAAGGAAATGTCTGTAAGATGTGAGGCATAGTGCAACAGACTTCAGAGGAAGCAGAAATTCGGGTCCAGGCATGACCCCTGGGATGTAAGCCCTTCACACTGCCCAGGACAGAATCCAGAGGAGTTGGTCATGGATGTGGGAATGGGGAGATCTCAGATTTCTCACAAGATGTAGGATCGAGATTGGAGCCAATTTTATTTAACTCCCTAAGAAAGCTGATCTTGGCTGACACCTGAGCTATAGGATTTCTTCTCAGAATTCTTCATTTAGAGACTTTCAGTAGTGGCTAGCTGTTAGTTGTGTCCACGAAGAGGCTCCTTAACTTCAGTATGAGCTCATGGAGAATGAGGACTGTTTTCTTTTATTGCCTTCACTACCTATGGTATTGTAAAGTAAATAATAAGCTATCTGAAATTCCATCATGACAGATTTATGCCTTAAGATGCCCAAGAACAAGGCAAATTCCCCAAACATATGAGGCCTACACCGTGGTAGCAGGCCCTATTTTGCCTGCCTCCCTGAGAGCCTTGCCCTTCTTCTTCACCAAGAACCCTAATTTTATTTTGATGTCTACTCACCACCTCCTGATCTTGGTTGGGCTCAGGGAAGGGCTCTGACTGATCTAAGCCAACCAGGGTAATTTCATCACCCTTGCCAGTGACTAATTTAGGCAAGAACATGCAGTGAATTTGAGGGTGGGTGAGACATAAAGGAGAGGACACAGATGGAGATTCAAGGAAAGGTTCCTTCACTCAAAAAAAAAAAAAAAAAAAAAAAAAGACCAGGTGTGGTGGCTCACACCTACCATCCCAGCACTTTGGGAGGCCAAGGCAGGCAGATTGCTTGAGCCCATGATTTTGAGACCAGCCTGGGCAACATGACGAGGCCCTGTCTTAAAAAAAAAAAAAACAACAATGAAAAAAAAAAACCCACAGCAACAAACACAAAACACATACACAAAAATTAGCTGGGCATAGTGGTGTGAACCTGTAGTCGCAGCTACTCTCAAGGCTGAAGTAGGAAGATCACCTGAGTTCAGGAGGTCAAGGCTGCAGGGTGCTGTGATCATGCCCTTGGACTCCAGCCTGGGCAACAGAGTGAGACCCTGTCTCAAAACAAAACAAAACAAAACAAATTCAAAAGAATTGGATATTGTCACATCTACAAAGAACACCTAGAACTGTGGCAGACACCTTACAACCAACCATAAGGGGTGCTAGCCAAAGACAAAGAAAACACACCAAGGATGTCGGAACAGAAAATGGAAGAAATCCTGTGTTTTTATGATGTTGCTATCCTGCTGAATTAACCACCTCTCAAGTTTTCCTACTTCAGAACTTTCTTGAATCAGGAGTTTGTTTCTTAGAGCTGCTAGCATTCTAAGGGATTCAGTTTTTTTTTTCTTAGTAACATGTAAATGGAAAAATGATACAAGAGCCTATATTCAAACTAGGGGAATAGTTTAATATGAAACTAATTTCAACTCATTTTGTCCAAATAGTATAACCCATTCCAGAACAACCCGGAAAAAAGTCACTGATTCAAATGATGGTTCAACCAACATGTTATTATGTCTTATTTTATTTGAGAAAAATGTAGGAGAAAGCATTCCAACGTCAGTCATCTGTGGTCGTCTCTAATTGTATTCATCCTAAGAAATCTCCCAAAACCCAGTAGGCCAATGTGCTGGCTCTAAGGGAGCCTGAATCAGTTGTCTAGTTTGGAGACCTAGAGCTGCTCTCAGCTGGTTTTGATCTGTTTGAGCTGGCTGGAAGATATGTCTTCATATCTTTAATTAGGATTCTGCTGAATCTAAAAGAACTGAAACCAAAGCTGAACAGACCTCTAGGGTCAATATCTTGTGTTGGCGCTCTCTCTCTCTGTGTGTGTGTGTGTGTGTGTGTGTGTGTGTGTGTGTGTGTGTGCGCGCGCGCGCACGCTGTCACGCTCCATAAATTATATTTATTCTGTACCCATTTTCTTCTTATTCATCCCTTGTAATAGTTACTGAGTTCAAGTCTCTAATAGTGCTTACAGAGATGCACCATCTTTGACATTAGATGTGTGTGCCTATAAAAACAGAGAAGAGAATGTGGGATTCAGCTAAGAAGGTTTATTACTCCCTTCAAGGCAATGAAAGACCTTGATTCTTTTCCCATCAATATTTCCTTCTCTTGAGTCAATATGTTTTGATATCCATCTCAGTAGAAGTCAGTATCTTCTCATTAACCTCTTTTAGCAATAGCAGTTGCTATGAGCCAATGACCTGGTGTGTGAAATTAGAAATCTGCATTTGCAGCTAGGGACCCAGAACCTAGGGGCTGACAGTTCGATCCTTAGAAGGCTCTTGATGCATTACTTGACCATAGGTTGCTATTTTGTAAATATCATTATTTTCATGACAAAAGTAACTTATTATTGTAGACTAACTAGAAAATGTATAAAAATATAAAAAAGAAAATTAACATTTTCTGTAATTTTCACAACCAGAAATAACCAGTAATTTTTTTCTACGAATGTTTTCATATGTAGAGAGACATATAATATCTGTGCATATACATAAAAACAAGATTAAACAATTAAGATTATATTATATAGGGAATTTTTTCTGTTTGCTCCTTATATAGTAACTTTTTTCTCCATTTTCTTACATTTATTTAAAAAGACATGCTTTTTAATGTTGCACAGCATTCTAGTATGTACATCAAATATACGGGGGAAGGGATTGGTTGCAGAGGGACACAAAGTAATTTAGGGGAGTACTGGAAATGTTGTATATCTTGATGGTGGTGGTTGTCAAATACTTTGCCAAAACTCATTGAACTGTACATTTTACAAGTATAAATTTTAATATATATATATATTATATCTCAATAAACCTGACTTAAGAAGAGAAAAATGAAAAGACTTGCTGAAGGATCCCCACATAATCTGACTCAGTGTTGCCCAGGTCTTGGTCTACCCTATAATTCTCTCAGTCTTGGCAGCACATGGTAATCGCTTGGGAAGTTTTAATAAAAGAAATTGGCAGTGTTGGGGTGGGGAAGAGAACCAGAGACTCTGATTTAATTGGCCATGGGTCAAACCCAAGAACTGTATTTTGTAAACGTTCCCCTGGTGGTTCTAAAATGTGCAAGTGTGTAGCCAGAGTTGAGAACTACTGATCTACACTGTAAGTCATTTAGATCAGGGAGGCAGGAGGATAAAAAATGGAGTAAGTAAATTTCACAACCATAATATCATTTTATATAATAAATGTCATAAACTAAACATTTATTAGTACACTGATTTTCTTTGTCTTATTTTCCCCAAAGCCCTGAGATAGTCATATATATATATATGCGCATATATATATGTGTATATATATATGTGTATATATATGCGCATATATATATGTGTATATATATGCGCATATATATATATACATATATATATATATATATGTGTGTATATATATATATATATATATATTTGAGACAGAGTTTTGCTCTTGGCTCTTGTTTCCCAAGTTTGAGTACAATGGCGCAATCTTGGCTCCCTGCAACCTCCGCCTCCCATGTTCAAGCGATTCTCCTGCCTCAGCCTCCCAAGTAGCTGGGGTTACAGGCACATGCCACCACGCCCGGCTAATTTTTTGTACTTTTAGTAGAAACGGGGTTTCACCATGTTAGCCAGGCTGATCTCGAACTCCTGACCTCAAGTGATCCATCCACCTCGGCCTCTCAAAGTGCTGGGATTACAGGCATGAGCCACTGTGCCCGGCCATTATATATTTTTTGAGATTTAATTCACATACCATAAAAGTATGCTTTTAATATTTTGATCTAATGGTTCTTAGTGTGCTCACAAGGTTGAACAGCCATCACCATTATCTAATTTGCGAACATTTTTATCAACTCAAAAAGAAACCCCACACCTATTAGCAGTCACTTCCCACTTCCCCCTCCCCCAGTCCATGACAACCACTCATCTACTTTCTGTCTCTATGGATTTGTCTGTTCTGGACATTTCATATAAACTGAATCATGCAATATGTGGCCTTTTGTGTCTGGCTTCTCTCACTGAGCATAATGTTTTCAAGATTTATACATGCTGTAGCATATCTAAGAATTTCATTCCTTTTTATGGCTAAATAATATTTTATCATATGGATATACCACATTTTGTTTATCTATTCATCAGTTGATGAAGATTTGAGTTGTTTCAACTTTTTGGCTTTTATGAATAATGCTGCTAAGAACATTTGTGTCCAAGTTTTTATGCAGATAAATGCTTTTGTCTTTGATATTTGGATATTTGACTAGGAGTGCAGTTAATTTCCGGGGCATATGGTCTCTCTATATTTAATTTTTTGAGGAACTGCCAAATGGTTTTCCAAAGTGGCTGCACCATTTTATATTCCCACCAACAATGTATAAAAATTCCAATTTTTCTGTGTCCCCACTTGTTATTATTTGTCTTTTTTTATAGCAGGTCTGAAATGCTATGTTACAGTTTTTATTTTCCTTTCTCTAATGATTAATGATGTTGAACATCTTTTCATGTGCTTATTGAACATTTGTATATCTTCTTTGGACAATTCTTTGCCCATTGTTTCATTTGTTTTTTTTTTGGTTTTTATTGTTGAGTTGTAAGAGTTCTTTATATATTCAGGATACTAGACCTTTAATAGATAGATGGTTTGCAAACATTTTCTCCCCTTCTTGGATTATCTTTTCACTTTCTTGATAATGTCTTTTGAAGCACCATAATTTTTAATTTAATAAGGTCAAAATTTTTTTCCTTTGTTTCTTGTGCTTTAGGTGTCATATATAAGAAACCATTGACTAATCCAGGGTTATGAGATTTACAAGTTTGTTATAGTTTTAGCTTTAACACTTAAGCCAGTGATCCACTTTGAGTTAATTTTTGCATATGACATGAGACAAGAATCCAACTCTATCCTTTTGCATGTGGATATCCAATTGTCCCAGGAGCATTTTTGGGGAGGACTCTTCTTTCCACATTAAATTGTCCTGGCATTCTTTCCTGTTGAAAATCATAGTCACATGCACTTTTTTAAGTATTTAATTTACACTCCCATCAATAGTGTAAAAGCATCCCTATTTCTCTACATCCTCTCCAGTATCTGCTGTTTCCTGACTTTTTAATGATAGCCATTCTAACTGGCATGAGATGGTATCTCATTGTGGTTTCGATTTGCATTTCTCTGATGACCAGTGATGATAAGCTTTTTTCATATGTTTTTTGGCCACATAAATGTCTTCTTTTGAGAAGTACCTGTTCATATCCTTCACCCACTTTTTGATGGGGTTGTTTGTTTTTTCTTGTAAATTTGTTTAAGTTCCTTGTAGATTCTGGATATTAATACTTTGTCAGATGGATGGATTGCAAAATTTTTCTCCCATTCTGTAGGTTGCCTGTTCACTATGATGCTAGTTTCTTTTGCTCTGCAGAAGCTCTTTAGTTTAATAACATCCCATTTGTTAGTTTTGGCTTTTGTAGCAATTGCTTTTGGTGTTTTAGTCATGAAGTCTTTGCCCATGCCTATGTCCTGAATGGTATTGCCTAGGTTTTCTTCTAGGGATTTTATGGTTTTAGGTCTTACATTTAAGTCTTCAATCCATCTTGAGTTAATTTTTGTATAAGGTGTAAGGAACAGGTTCAGTTTCAGTTTTCTGAATATAGCTATCCAGTTTTCCCAACACCATTTATTAAATAGGGAATTCTTTCCCCATTGCTTGCTTTTGTCAGGTTTGTCAGAGATCAGATGGTTGTAGATGTGTGGTGTTATTTCTGAGGCCTATGTTCTGTTCCATTGGTCTATATATCTGTTTTGGTACCAGTACCATGCTATTTTGGTTACTGTGGCCTTGTAGTATAGTTTGAAGTCAGGTAGCATGATGCCTCCAGCTTTGTTCTTTTTGCTAAGATAGTGTGGTGATTCCTCAAGGATCTAGAACTAGAAATACCATTTGACCCAGCAATCCCATTACTGGGTATATACCCAAAGGATTATAAATCATTCTACTATAAAGACACAAGCACACATATGTTTATTGCAGCACTATTCACAATAGCAAAGACTTGGAACCAAGCCAAATGCCCATCAACAATAGACAGGATAAAGAAAATGTGGCACATACACACCATGGAATACTATGCAGCCATAAAAAAGAATGAGTTCATGTCCTTTGCATGGATATGGATGAAGCTGGAAACCATCATTCTCAGCAAACTAACACAGGAAGAGAAAACCAAACACCGTATGTTCTCACTCATAAGTGGGAGTTTAACAATGAGAATATATGGACACAGGGAAGGGAACATCACACACCAGGGCCTGTCAGCAGGTGGGGGGCAAGGGAACGGATAGCATTAGAAGAAATACCTAATGTAGATGACGGGTTGACGGGTGCAGCAAACCACCATGGCACGTGTATACCTATGTAACAAACCTGCACGTTCTGCACATATATCTCAGAACTTAAAGTATAATAAAAAATAAAAATAAAAAAATTAAACTATTTACCTCTACTCACCTGGAAGAAATGTTAATGTATTCTGTCTGTTGATTAGGAGCTCTAAGTCCAATTATTTATGTCTACATACCGGTGGGCCTGGTGCCTACTAGTTGTGGCTTCTGAGTGCCAAGTTCCCATAGCTCCTGAATAAGTGCTTTTTAAATAAATTGATCTTGAGGTTAATCAATTTAGTAAACATAGCATAATTTATTTCTGATCATGTTGATTATTCTGATTCAAGTGGATCTCTATAATCAGCCAAAAGGACCAAACCAACTTGTCAAGTTGACAGCCTTAGAGTTGAAATAGTGGAAGAATTCTTGGGAGGACAGTTGCCTACCAAGCATGACCACAATTTTGTCTGGTTGTTTACACCTCTTCCATGTGACTCGTATTAAATCCTGATCTATTCTAAGACAATCATAGTAATTCTAGTCTCCCTGACATTGTTTCATGTAGAAAAGAATGTTTGACCCAATTCTGTCAAATGAGGCTTCTGGAACAGTTTTCCAATATAGTAAGAGTTGGTCCTTCTCCTTCCAATGGTGGTTGTCACCCTTGCCTGGAATATGGCAGCCATTTTACTACTATGAGGGGAGCTGAACATGACAAAGGATGACAGAGAAGAAATATGGGAGGAATCTGGGTCCTCAATGACATTCTTGATCCCCTAAGTTAATCAATCTTGGTGCTTTCTTACCTTGGGATTTTTCATTCTCTGAGTATTTATTTCTTCATCATTTAAGCAAATTGGGTAAGGGTGCTGTCTTACTTGTGCTCAAATCATTCTAACCAACATAGACCCCCTAAGTTTTCACAGAAAATGCCCTTCAGACTGCAAAACTTCAAGAGGATGGTAAAACTGGACACAGTACATGGAAATTTGAAATTCTCCAAGAGTAGAGTTTCCAAACTAAGCCCCAGATGAAGCTTCCCTGAGATCTGCAAACAGTCCTGCCTTCTAGGCTGGGGATGATGGGAGAAGTATCATACATAGGTTGAATTTTTTGCACTGAGAAGGAGCTGAGAGAGTCCATAGATATAGGGGTCTCCTCCCTGACAGTGACCATCCTCCCTGAGGCTGCGACCTCCAGCTGGAGTGCTCACCATCCTGTAATGAAGGAAACTCCAGCAGTATGTTGCAGCCAGCATGTATGGCTTTCCAAAGATGATTATGCTCCGTGACATCACATTGGTAGCTTAAAAATCGGCCATTGTGGGAGTATTCATGCCATGGAAATCAGCAAATGGATTTTCCCCCTGGAAAGCCGGCTGTTAAATGTTACCAACACACCACTGGAAATTCCCTCTACATCGCTTCTGGGGATCAGAGGTTTCCTTATACAACCAAGGCATCCTAACATCTCCCAAATTTCATGGGTGTAAATCAAAAAGATGAAAGACCCCACTGTCCCTCCCTGAAGATGACTAACTGCTTAAAAATGATGGGAAAATCCACTTACTTTCCTTTCCTACTGAGTGGTAGTGGTACTGTCCTGTCTCAGATTTTCCTCCTAAGGCCATGCTGTTCAGGCTTTAAAAAACAAAACAAAACACAAGTTTGATTCCCCCTAATAGCCTAACTGCCAATGTTTGGGCTTTATTTTTCAGTCTTCTTAATTGTTTTCTCAGAGGATGGTATTACAGCAAGTCTGCTGTGTGGGCGATTGTTCCATTCCATGCAAGGGCAAAGCCACGGGTAATGACGAGGTCCTCTTGTGGAAGTGCTGAGGTCACCCATTTAAGGCCATCTGGTCCCTGAAAAATGAGTGTATAGGCAGCTTAGAGTGACTGGGGAACAGGATTCCCACAGGCACCTCTGCAGACCACCATCCCTCTGCCTCCTGCCTTCCCATCTCCCTCCAGCTCTACTCCCCTGTGGCCATTCCTAGCTTGGCCTCACAGGCTCTTCTTCTTCCCATGCTCTTGCCAAGTACAGGGCTGGAAAATGTTGGGAAGGGGGCAAAATTCATTATCAACACAGCATCATCCCCACTGGAGCTTAAAGCTCGAGACAGACATTTTTTTAAATTATGGAATATTTCAGGCAAACAAAAAGATATACGGAAGAGTGTTATAAACCCTCTTGTATCTTGTAAGCTGGGTAGGGTCCCAGCTTAGGAAAGAAAAGACATTACAAACACTTCCTGTGTATGTATCTCTGATACTTCCCTCTCTCCAAGAAAGAAACACTTTCCTGAAATTGGGATTATCATTCCAGTACATATCTTTATATTTTTATCACGTATGTCTATAGGTAGGTTTAAACAGTATATAGAATTGGTCCAAGTGTTTTTAAGCTTTATGTAAATAGTATCATTGTATGTCTCTTGATGCAACTTGCTTTATTTCTGTCAATATTATAGAGTTTTTTGTTTTGTTTTGGTTTGGTTTTTGGTTTTGTGTTTTTGTTTTTTGTTGTTGTCTGTTTGTTTGTTTGTTTGTTTGAGACAAAGTCTCACTCTTTTGCCCAGGCTAGAGTGCCGTGTTGTGATCATGGCTACTGCATCCTCAACCTCCCTTGCTCAAGCGATTCTCTCACCTCATCCTCCTGAGTAACTGAGACCACAGGCATGCACCACCATACCCAGCTAATTTTTTTAAGTTTTTTTGTACAGACGGGTCTCCCCGTGTTACCCAGGCTGGTCTCAAACTCTTGGCCTCAAGTGATCCTCCTGCCTTGGCCTCCCAAAGTGTTGGGATTACAGGCATGAACCATTGCACCTGGCCCAATATTATGTTTTTATCCATGTTTGTGTTTATTTCTTATTGCTGCATAACAAACTGCTACAAATGTGGTGGCTGAAAACAACACATATTTATTGTTTCACAGTTTGTGTGGCTCAGAAGCCCAGGTGTGGCTTAGCTGGGTCCCCTGCTCAGGATCTCACAGTTGCAGTCAAGGTGCTGCCTGGGCTCCAATCTCATCTAGAGAAGCTGGCTGGAGAAGAACTCACTTCCAAGCCCTTCAAGGTTTTGGCATAACTCATTTCCTTGATTCTATGTGGCCGAGGGTCTCAGCTTCTAAAAGTTGCTCACAGTTCCTTGCCATGTGGCCCTCTTTCTGGGCAGTTCATGTCACAGCAGCATGCTTTTTCAAGGCCATAAGAAGTCTCTCGCTCTAGTCTGCTACAACGGAGTCTTACATAGTATAAAGACCTATCCCATCACTTTTGTCATATTCTATGGATTAGCATCAAGTTACAGGTTCTTCCCATGCTCAAAGGGAGGGGATTACAAAAAGGATGGACACCAGCAGGTAGGAGTCATTGGGATCTGTCTATCTGCCTGGATCTGTCTGTCTGCCTAAGATCTGTCTGCCATACTATTGATACATGTGACTCAAGTCCATTTATTCCTGTTGCTATGTTCTAAGCATGGAGGAAAGACCAGGTGAGGACAAAGAAAGCAGCTGGCCATCTACATGCCAAAGAGTAAGCCTTCCAAGGGAATCAACCCTACTGACACCTTTATCTCAGACTTCCAGCCTCCAGAAGTGCAAGAAAATAAATTTCTGTTGTTTAAGCCACACAACCTCTGGTACTTTGTTATGGCCACTCATGCAAACAAATATAGGAAACACTGGTGTACCAGTCAGAACATTAAGTTTTCTTATCTGCAAATGTGGGCTATCTCTCCATTTATTCTTCATTATCTCTCCATTTAATATTATTGGTTTATTTTCTACTGGCAAGGTTCTATAGGTTTCTCCATAAGCATCTTAATATATCTTTTGTTAGATTTATTCTAAGTTACTTTATATTTTTGGTTTTATTCCCTTACTAATTCTAATAACTTTTTCGTAGATTTTCACAAGTTTCTCTAAAAAATATCATGTGAAAATGACAGTTTGATTCCCTTCCTTTCTATTCTTATATTTTTGCACAAAATTGAATAGGAGTACTGAAAGCTGCTATCCTTGTTTTAATCTTGATCTTCAAGGGTATACTTCTAAAGTTTCAAGGTCACATGTTTTTCTGAAGGGACTTTTGCCCCCTAACATCCTGCAGCAGATGCTGAGTAAATCAACCCCTATTGCTCCCTTTCTCTTACCCCTTCTCTCTCCTTGCCCTCCATTACAATCTATCTGTTCTGAGCTACACATCTTGAAAATAAAGTGAATTGATGCGGCAATTCACACTAAGATGCTTCTGGCTGATCAATGATCAAATGACACATACCCATTTGCGGGGGGGATGTCTAGACCCAAGAGATAACTGTGACTGCTGGGGCCTGAGTATAAACATCTCAGATCACAGCAGTCATGGAAAACACCCACAGGCCCACTTTACAACTACCTCTTAAAATTATCATTTCTTTGGCACTTGCTCTCTGGGTAGCCAGATCAGACTAGCTCAGATGAACCAAGAGAAATTCCAGAAGATGGAAACTTAATTTCTCCCCTAATTTTGATCAAACTACCCAGACTCACACTTCAGTCCCACCATTTATTGATGTGGCCTTGGGCAAGGTTCTTCTCTCCTGCCCCAGTAGCCTGACCTGTCAAATGGGGATCATAGTAGCACATTCCTACCCACAGGTTTTGTGAGGATTAAATGAATATTAATATAACTCACTTGGAACAGTGCTGGGCACACAGTAAACCCTCAGTAAACGTTAGCTAAACCCATGGGATGGCCACCACTGCACCTCTTCAGTTACTTAGTAGATTTTATATTTCTTTCCTTTTTCCTTAAAATCTCAAAATACAGTATTTAAATGTTATTCTATCCCCTATATGTTCTACCCTGCAGCCTGGCATAGAATACTGCTCTAGTCTGTTTGTAAAAGTTCATCCAACCCCACCTTTCAACAGTCACATTACCACTCTCCTTTTCTTTTTTTTTCCCTAATATTTAAGGTCAGATGCCATGAGCTTCTAGGCCAGGTTTCTGCAGTAAATGAAGTGCTGAGCAAGAAGAAAGCAATCCTGAAAGGACCATGCTGACCTTGACAATAGTCAAGGAGGCTATAAATGCTGGCATGCTGGAGAGAACCCCAGACAGGGCCTGGTTCACAGCCCTGTCTTCTAGAAACTCTAGGGGCCTCAGTAGACATGGTGACTTCGATGATATCTGGGCCAGGGTCACAGAGAGTAACGGTGGAATGGGGAATGTCCAGCCTTACTTCTTTTCAGTAAGACCCATCAGGCATTGAACTTACTAGGCTGTAACCTCTTGGAGGGCAGAGAGCTGCCATGCTCATTGACCACATTATCTCAACATCTAGCACCATGCGTGGTACCTACTAGGCACTAGCAGATGGACACAAGTTTATAGTAATTTCCCCCGGCATCCAACCCCATCAAAGCCTAATGCAGTTCTAGCTACACAATAGATGGTTAATAAATACTGGTGAATTCTTCAAGTGGTGGTTGGTTGTGCTGCAAAATTAGTGTTATCACTTCGGTGAGCTGAGTTACTGGTAGGTATTCACCTGTCTTGCAACATTCTTCTGTTATATTACACAAGTACACACATCCTCAGTAAACCACTGTAGAGGAGAAGGTTAAGTCACTAGAAAGATACAGCTCTGTCCACTAAGATAGGCATTTTTTCAACAGTAATGAAGTATTGGATGTTACTGTCTTTCTCAGCAGCAGCAGATATGTATTGAGGAACTAAGCCAGGCAAAGCACTGTGCCACATAAGGAGATACAAAGAGGCATAGGACATAGCTCTAGCCCATGAGGGAGTTCAGGTGAGGCATCAAGAGAAAGAAGCACTAACACAGAATGAGCTAGAAAGGAACAAAGGCACAATGGTCAGAACTCAAGTTTGCCTCTTTTAGAAAATCCAGAGCTTCTGGAACTGCAGAAAGCCACCATTGATAATTCCAGCTGCCGACAACAGCAAAGCAGGAAAATTTCAGAGGAAACCTCTGCCACACATGTGCCTCCTCAACCAGAAGAGCGACGAAATGCTTCTGCTGCCTTTCTTACTCCAGATCTCAGGTGAATGCCTCTCATTGGTGGAATCTAACTGGGAACACTGCCAGCAAAGTATTCAGGGACATGTGGTTCTCCGGCTTTCAACCCCTGAGATGAGGGTGGAGTGCAGAAGGAATGGCATGATGTTGTCCACAGACAATTAAGCACAAAAGATTTCTAAGTGTAACTATAGAAAAATAAATTCTAAGGCAGTTAACCTTTGCTGAGGACCTCAAGAGCAATACAATCTGTGCTTAAAGATAGGTGTTATCATGAGAGCTGGGGCCTTTGAAGAAGGCTTTGGGTAGAGTCAGAACCTAAGACAAGGCTTTGTTGAGTAGGGAAGGAAAAAGAAGAAGAGTGCATGGAGATGAATACTCAAGCATTTATTCTGTTGCTCACTCATGCAATTAGCCTTACATTCAGCAAACATTTATTGCTAAGCATTAGGCTAGGTAACTGGAATCCTAGACAGTGAGAAGCCACTGAGGCTTTTTAAGAAAGGAAATAATTTGATGAGATTTTTAGTGTAGAAAGATCATTTCGAAAACATATATGGGCTTAGACAAAGCTGAAAGGACGTGCACCTCAATGTTACAATGCTTGTCTCTGAATGGGAAAAACGTGATTAAATGTTACTTTCTTTCCTGCATGTCTCATATTTTTTAAATATCATACAATGAGTATGGATTACTTTCTAACAGAAAAAAATTTTTCAAGTAAGAAGATAGAAATATCAAACTTTTCACAGCGTGGAGGAGGCTCATCACACATTTTGTCATCCGACGGTTCCAAAGACTAGGATACCCTACACTTCCCCTCACCTTCTCCTTCTCCTAATTGCCTCTTACTCATTCCCCAGTTTTCAACTGAAACTTTGCTTCACTGAAAAGCTTTGCTTGACACCTAAGGCTAAGTTAGCTCTCCAAGTTTTTACACTCTTGTTCCCTAGGGTTCTCGCACCATTTGTGATACTTAGAAGTATGGAATGTCTGTCTTTCCCACCAGAACATAAGCCCCATGAGGGCAGGATCACAGATGTTTCCCAAGCACAGTGGTCCCTCCATTAAATATCATTGGAATTAATCAATATGGCTTTACAGGGTATAAGACTGGAGACAGACAGACCAGTAGGAAGGCAGTTATGGTCATCTTGACAAGGGACGGAGAGTACCTATACTGAATAAAGGGCAGAGCAATGGAGGGGAGGAAGAGCTATGGAGATGTTACAGAAAAGAATCTGCAGAACCTAGTGACTACTTGGATTCATTCAACAAGAAACAGAGGCTTGGGGAAAATTTTGGAGATAGAACCGATAGGACTTGCTGAAGGATTAGATACTGGAATGATGGAAAGAGAGAGAGAGATCAGGGAGACTTCAAGAGTTTTGTCTTGAGCAGCTGGATGTATGGTGATAAAATTTTCTGAGATGGAGATGGCAATTGTTAGAGGGAGGGATAAGAGTTGCAATTTCAGATGAGAAGTAAGGAGTGGGAAGAAACGCAGGGTGAATCCCAGATTTTGGCTTGTGGGTCATTCTTTTAGACTAAAAATACAGTAAGTGAACTAAGCTCAAGGAAAAAAACTGAATTTGGTTTTGGACAAGTTGAGTTTGAAGTGCCCATTGAGACATCAAAAATATATGCAATTATCCAGGTCTAGAATTCAGGAGAGATTTCTAGATGTAGACAAACATATGGACTTGGTGATTATAGTAAAGCCATCCAGGTAAATAAGAACGTACATAAGATGAAAAGGGCAGAAAAAGACCAACATCAAAACTTTTGGGAAACTGATATTTATGAGGAAAAGGTGCCCTAAAAGGAAATTGAAAAGGAATTGTCAGAAAGGTGAGAATATCAGGAAATTATATGAAACAAGGAGCATCATTTTAATCAAGGCAAGAGTTATAAGAAGTGAGCAATACATTGAGTGACAAGTAGGAGCCAGATGCTGGAGATCCTTAAATGCCAGGGAACACACATCCACTGAAAATAAAGGGATGAAAAAAGATATTCCATGCCAATGGAAACAAAAAAAAAAAGAGCAGGAGTTGCTATACTTCTATCAGACAAAATAGATTTCAAAAAAAAAAACAACTATAAGAAGAGACAAACAAGGTCACTATACAATGATTAAGGGGTCTTAGGAGGTGGAGTTTGCAATCAGCTGAGATTGCACCACTGCACTCCAGCCTGGGCAACAGAATGAGACTCCGCTCAAAAAAAAAATGATAAATAAGTCAATTCAGCAAGAGGAGATAACAATTTTGAATAAATGTGCACCCAACACTGGAGCACCCAGATATATAAAGTAAATATTGTTAGAGCTAAAGAGAGAGATAGGCCCTGATACAATAATAGCTGGAGACTTCAACACCTCACTTTCAGCATTGGACAGATCTTCCAGACAGAAAATAAACAAAGAAACAAACATTAATCGGCACTATAGACCAAATGGTTCTCATAGATATTTACAGAATACTTCATCCAACGGCTGCAGGATACATATTCTCCTCAGCACGTGGATCATTCTCAAGGATAGATCACATGTTAGGTCACAAAACAAGTCTTAAAACATTAAAAAAATTGAAATAATATCAAGCATCTTCTCTGACCACAATGGAATAAAACTAGAAATCAATAACAAGAATAATTTTGGAAACTATACAAATACATGCAAATTAAACAATATGCTCCTGAATGACCAGTCAATGAAGAAATTAAGAAGGAATTTGAAAATTTCTTGAAACAAATGATAATGAAAACACAACATACCAAAACTATGGGATATAGTAAAAGCACTACTAAGAGGGAATTTTATAGTTAAAAGTGCCTACATTGAAAAAGAAGAAAAACTTCAAATAAACAACCTAACAATGCATCTTAAAGAACTAGAAAAGCAAGAGCAAAACAAACCCAAAATTAGTAGCAGAAATGAAATAATAAAGATCAGAGAAGAAATAAATAAAATTAAAATGAAGAAAACAATACAAAAGATAAAAGAAACAAAAAGTTGGTTTTTTAAAAAGTTAAACAAAATAGAGGCTGGGTGTGGTGGCTCATGCCTGTAATCCCAGCACTTTGGGAGCCCAGGGCAGGAGGATCACTTGAGGTCAGGAGTTTGAGGCAAGCTTGGGCAACATGGTGAAACCCTGTCTCTATAAAATATACAAAAATCAGCTGGGCGGGGTGTCCATGCCTGTAATCCCAGCTACTTGGGAGGCTAAGGCAAGAGATTCACTTGAACCTGGGAGGCAGAGGTTGTAGCAAGCCGAGATCATGCCACTGCACTTCAGCCTGGGTGACAGAACAAGACTCTGTCTCAAAAAAAAAAAAAAAAAAAAAAAAAAAAAAAAAAAAAAAAAAAAGACAAACCTTTAGCCAGATTAAGAAAAAGAAGATAAACAAACAAATAAAATCAGAAATGAAAAAGGAGGCATTACAACTGATACCACAGAAATTCAACAGATTATTAGTGGCTACTATGAACAACCATATGCCAATAAATTGGAAAATCTAGAAGAAATGGACAAATTCCTAGACACATAAAACCTCCCCAGGTTGAACCATGAAGAAATCCAAAACCTGAACAGATCAATAACAAGCAACAAGATCGAAACCATAATAAAAAGTCTCCCAGTAATGAAAAGCGCAGGACTTAACTTCACTGTTGAATTCTATCAAACATTTAAAGAAGAAATAATACCAATCCTATTCAAACTATTCCAAAAATAGACGAGTAGGGAATACTTACAAACTCATTCTGAGGTTAGCATGATACCAAAACCAAACAAAGACACATCAAAAAAAAAAGAAAACTACATGCCAATATCTGATTAATATTGGTGCAATAATCCTCAACAAACTACTACCATACCAAATTCAACAATACATTAAAAAGATCATTCATCAGGTGGGCGTGGTGGCTCACGCCTGTAATCCCAGCACTTTGGGAGGCCAAGGCGGGCGAATCACGAGGTCAGGAGATCAAGACCATCCTGGCTAACACGGTGAAACCCCGTCTCTACTAATAATACACAAAATTAGCCGGGTGTGGTCGCAGGCACCTGTAGTCTCAGCCACTCGGGAGGCTGAGGCAGGAGAATGGCGTGAACCCGGGAGGCGGAGCTTACAGTGAGCCGAGATCGCGCCACTACACTCCAGCCTGGGTGACAGAGAGAGACTCCGTCTCAAAAAAAAAAAAAAAAATCATTTATCATGACCAAGTGGAATTTATCCCTGGGATGCAAGAATAGTTCAACATACACACATCAATCAGTGTGATACATCATATCAACAGAATGAAGGACAAAAATGATATGATCATTTTAATTGATGCTGAAAAAGCATTTGATAAAATTCGACGTCCCTTCATGATAAAAACCCTCAAAAAACCAGATATAGAAGGAACATACCTCAACATAATAAAAGCCATGTATGACAGACCCACAGCTAGTATCATACTGAATGGGGAAAAACAAAAAGCCTTTCCTGTAAGACCTGGAGAATGACATGGATGCCCACTGTCATCACTGTTATTCAACATAGTACTGGAAGTCCTAGCTACAGCAATCAGACAAGAGAAAGAAATAAAAGGCATCCAAATTGGAAAGGAAGAAGTCAAATTACCTTTGCTTGCAGATGATATGATCTCACATTTGGAAAAACCTGAAAACTTCACCAAAAAACTATTAGAACTGATAAATTCAGTAAAGCTGCAGAACAGAAAATCAATATACAAAAATTAGCATTTTTAGTAGCATTTCTATATGCCAACAGTGAAATCTGAGAAAGAAATTTAAAAAGTAATCCCATCTAATAATAGCTACAAATAAAATCAAATACCTAAGAAATGGAGAGGCTCGGAGGAGCGGGGGCGGCCGAGCAGTGGGCGACTGGGGCGGCTACACTGGCCGCGGCACTGGCGGAGCCCGGGCCATGGAGCCGCCGCTGCCGGGCTAGGCAGGTCCTGCCCCGCCGGGCCCGCGGCGATGTCGGGCTACCCGCGCCGCCCGGGCGCCACCCCGCTGTCCCGAGCCCGGAGCCTCGCCATTCCCGACGATGACAAATTTGAAGATCTTGAAGAGGCAAATCCATTCTTCTTTAAAGAGTTTCTGAAGACCAAGAACCTCCGCCTGTCAAAAGAGGACCCAGCCAGCAGAATTTATGCAAAGGAAGCCTCGAGGCATTCACTGGGACTTGACCACAACTCCTCACCCTCCCAAACCGGGGAGTATGGCCTAGAGTATCAGCAGCCATTTTTCGAGGACCCGACAGGGGCCAGTGACCTCCTGGATAAGGAGGAGGATGAGGACACCAGATGGAGTGGGGCCTACCTGCCGTCCGCCATCAAGCAGACTCACCCCGAGAGGGTCCCTGCCGCCACGTTGCCCTGCAGCACATACCTTTCCTTTTTCTCCACCCCGTCGGAGCTGGCAGGGCTTCAGTCTCTGCCCCCGTGGGCGTTGAGTGGCACTGATTCTCGTGCCTCCGGCCTCTCCGGCAGGGAGTCCTAGCGCAGACTTTGCGGCTCATGGAGAGTCTCTGGGAGACAGGCACCTGCGGACGCTGCAGATAAGTTATGAAGCATTGAAAGATGAAAATTCTAAGCTGAGGAGAAAGCTGAATGAGGTTCAGAGCTTCTCTGAAGCTCAAACAGAAATGGTGAGGACACTTGAGCGGAAATTAGAAGCAAAAATGATCAAGGAGGAAAGCGACTACCACGACTTGGAGTCGGTGGTTCAGCAGGTGGAGCAGAACCTGGAGCTGATGACCAAACGGGCTGTAAAGGCAGAAAACCACGTCGTGAAACTGAAACAGGAAATCAATTTGCTCCAGGCGCAGGTCTCCAACTTCCAGCGAGAGAATGACGCCCTGCAGTGCGGCCAGGGCGCCAGCCTGACAGTGGTGAAGCAGAACGCCGACGTGGCCTTGCAGAACCTCCGGGTGGTCATGAACAGCGCACAGGCTTCCATTAAGCAACTGGTTTCCGGAGCTGAGACAGTGAATCTGGTTGCTGAAATCCTTAAATCTATAAACAGAATTTCTGAAATTAAAGACGAGGAGGAAGACTCTTGAGGACCCCTGGGTGTTCTCAGCATGAAGCTCCTTGTATGCCCTGAAATCACCACCGCTTGATCTAAATGTGCAGTTGCGTCCTTAAATATGCAGTCTTTACCCAGAGTAAAGTGTTTATCGCAAGGGTCCAGTGTCGTGACCTCAGCCAGTTCTTGGCCACTGCAATGGGAGCAGCCCTGGCCGAGTTGCCTCTGTGGTTTCTATGCAGCCCTTCTTGGCGAAATTCCTGCGATCTTACAGATTCTAATGAGGAAGACACTGTCATAAAAGCCAAAGATTTTAAGAAAAAGAGCGGTTCTGGAATCAGTGTTTTCCAGTCCCATCCCAGAACATCAGTTGTAAGATAAGTACAATTGATTGTCCTTGATTTCATAAGTAGAACAAACACTAAATGTGCCTCTGAGACGGCGATCCTGGGCAGGGACCTGTGCCTTACGCCGACACTCAGGGCTCCCTCTGGCTCCCAGGTCACTCCTGTGGCCCCAGAGGGCGGTCCGTGCGGTCATGGCCCGAGTGCGCAGGGGCCACCGCGTGGCTGCTGCTGTCCTCCCCCAGGACCCACGGGGACCAAGGTCACACATTCTGTGCTGTGAAGCTGTCCAGATGCGCGTCTTTGGCTGGGGGTTCTGGTGGACGTTTCAAGTGGCATTTTGTACAATGCAGTTTAGAATTCAGGAATTTCAAGTATGTGCAGAGCCCACCCGGGTCTGTGAGGTCCCAGCTGCCTTTCTGACGGCCTCCCGCAGAGGGAAGGCCACGAGTACTAAATGCCTTTTTTCCTATAGATTTTTTTTTAAACTTTTTTTCCCTCCTGTTCCAATTGATAGCCTTCTTATTTAATAAATTCTGTAGTTCACAAAAAAAACCTAGGAATTAACCAAAGAAGTGAAAGACATCCATAATAAAAACTATAAAACACCGATTAAAGAAATTGAAGAAGACACCAAAAAATGGAAAGATATTCCATGTTCATTAATGGGAAAAATCAACGTTGTTAAAATGTCCATACTACCCAAAGCAATCTACAGATTCAATACAATCCCTATCAAAAAACCAGAGACATTCATCACAGAAATAGAAAAAACAATCGCACAATTTATAAGCAACCACAAAAGACCCAGAATAGCGAAACTATCCAAAATAAAAGGAACAAATCTGGAGGAATCACATTACCCGACTAAAAATTATACTACAAAGCTAAAGTAACAAAAACAACATGGTATTGGCATAAAAACAGACACATAGACGAATGGAGCAGAATAGAGAACCCAGAAACAGATTGATGCACCCACAGTGAACTTATTTTTTACAAAGGTGCAAAGAACACACTGGGGAAAAGACAGCCTCTTCAATAAATGGTGCTGGGAAAACTGGATATCTATATACAGAAGAATGAAACTAGACCTCTATCTCTTGCCATACACAAAAATCAATTCCAAATAGTTTAAAGACTTAAATCTAAGACCTCAAACTATGAAACTACTAAAAAAAACATTGGGGAAAATGTCCAGGACATTGGTCTGGGAAAAGACTTCTTGAGTAATATCCCACAAGCACAGACAATCAAAGCAAACATGGACAAATGGGATCACATCAAGTTAAAAAGCTTCTGTGCAGCAAAGGAAGCAATCCATAAAGTAAAGAGACAACCCAACAAATGGGAGAAAACATTTGCAAACGACCCATCTGACAAGGGATTAATACCTGGAATATATAAGGAGCTCAGACAACTCTATAGGAAAAGATCTAATAATCCAATTTTTAAAAGGGCAAAAAGCTGAATAGACATTTCTCAGAAGAAGACATAAAAACGGCAAACAGACATATGAAAAGGTGCTCAACATCATTGATCATCAGAGAAATGCGAATCAAGACTATAATGAAATATCATCTCACCCCAGTTAAAATGGCTAATATCCAAAAGACAGGCAATAACAAATGCTGGCAAGGATATAGAAAGAAGAGAACCCTTGTACATGGTTGGTGAGAATGTAATTTAGTACAACCACTATGGATAACAGTTTGGAGTTTTCTCAAAAAACTAAAAATAGAGCTACCATATGATCCAGCAATCCCACTGCTGGGTAGATGCCCTAAAGAAAGGAAATCAGTATTTCAAAAAGGCATCTGCACTCCTATATTTACTACAGCACTGTTGACAATACCTAAGATTAGGAAGCAACCTAAGTGTCCGTCAACAGAATGAATAAAGAAAATATGGTACATATATGGAGTACTTCAGCCATAATAAAAGAATGAAATTCTGTTATCTGCAACAACGTGGATGGAACTGGAGGTCATTATATTAAGAGAAGTAAGCCAGGTACAGAAAAACAGACATTGCATGTTCTCACTTATTTCTGGGATCTAAAAATCAGAGGATGATTAATGGGTACAAAAAAGTTAGAAAGAATGAATAAAGTTGAGTGCAGTGGCTCATGCCTGTAATTCCAGCACTTTGGGAGGCCGAGGTGGGCAGATCACTTGAGGCCAGGAGTTCGAGACCAGCTTAGCCAACATGGCGAAACCCCGTCTCTACTAAAAATACAAAAATTAGCCAAAGGTAGTGGTACACACCTATAATCCCAACTACTATGGAGGCTGAAACACGAGAATTGCTTGAACCCAGGAGGCAGAGGTTGCAGTGAGCCAAAATCACACCACGGCACTCCAGCCTGGGCGACAGAGAAAAAAAAAAAGAATAAGACCTAGTATTCAATAGCACAACAGGGTGACTACAGTCAATAACAATTTAATTGTACATTTTAATATAACTGAAAGAGTATAATTGGATTGTTTGTAACACAAAGGATAAATGCATGAGGGGATGGATGCCCCATTTTTCATGATGTGACTATTATGTATTGTATGCCTGTATCAAAATATTTTATGTACCCTATAAATATATATGCCTACTAAAACCCACAAAAAGTAAAATAAAAATATTTTTAAAATAAAAAAATAAAATAAAATAAATCCCAGGGAAGAGGTTGACTCTTTACCCAGCTCCTCCATGATGAGTAGTGATGATGGGTGTATTGGATGTGCTGGCTATTGCCGGCTGAGCCTCCCAGCCCTGCAGGGGAATTAAAAAACAATGTGGGCCAAGGGTCCAGAATCTGAGATTTGGAGGAAGGAAGTAGAGAATGACTTTTTAAGAATATATTTCTCGTCAAAAAATATGTCATATAAACCAAATCACCACTGACTTGGATAAGCTGAAAAGTAAAACCCAGAATTTCAAGAGCTGTCATTATTTTGCTTGGTTCTTCTAATCAGACCTTCAGCAATGACAGAGGACAAAAAAACATCCCCCAGGAATCCTGCTGGTCTAGCCAAGTCCAAAACTAACCACGGCTCATCCAATAGCCTCTACCATGAGCCTCTGTTGTAGAGCTCTGGCGCCACATGGACCATGGAACTTTTTGTTTATGTTCCAGAAGGAGCCGTCAGGCAAGTGCAGAAAAAGATCCGTGCACCTTTCCATTACAATGTTCCATAAGAAGAAGATGGCCTGAGGCAAGGGGAAAGCAGACATCATGACTCTTTTAAACTTTGGCAGCCTTACCTTCTACCATGCCACTGTGGTTTTGGGAGAGGTTTAAAACTAAGCTTCAAAAACAATTACAAAGGAAGGATCTGGATAAACATAACCACACAGGGAGACAGAGATGAGGCGGGTCTGTGCAGAAGACATTGGGGTGCATGGAGAGTGTGTGAGCATGAACGTGGGGGAAGGCACCTCAGCTGACGTCTTAGTGGATAGCGTGTATTAGGGAATCTGTATGTCACCAGAGTATGTGCCTCTCTGTTTGAACTGGAAAAGCAAATAGCAATTCAGACTGACAGAAAGATGGTTAGTAACTGGCAGCGTGTTTATGAACATCTGCATGAAACTGTGCTTGGCATAAACACGTTGCAGACACACAATGTGTGGTTGCTTTCAAATAGTCCCAAAGTTCTGAACACTGACAGAAGCCAGAAGCTGCAGAGACTCAACTGAGGGATGAACTAGATCCATCTGCTGCCCCAGGAATGGCTGGCCTGAGAACTCTGTGCTTGAGAACCTGGCTGGGGAGACAGAGAACAAAGAGCAAGGTAAACACAGCTGATGGGGAAGCTCTTTGATCAAAGCTTTGGCCAACCTTCCCCCTAGCCCCCAGTTTCACTCCACACTGGGTTCCTCTTCCCAGTGGAAGGTGAGTGAATAGGCAGAGAAATCTTAAAGAGAGAGACCACCTCCAGGGATGCAAAAGCCAGAGCCTGCACAGCCTTGATCTCCTGAAGCTCAAGAAGCTGTGGGTGAGCTGAGCCCTCTACACTTCCTTCCCAGTGAGAGAAGACAGGCCCTTTCTTTCTCTTGGCTTTGTGGTGAGGCCTAGTGTCTCCAGTGGGATCAAAGAGGCAAAGAAAGAAGCTCACAGGTGAAGAGGAACCAAGAAGGGGTCAAGGATAACAATTAGTCCTAAAAGTAAGGTAGGTCTAAGGCTAAAGTTATGGCACCAAAGCCAATGGAAGAAGAGGAAGATCTACACCAAAGAGACAACCTCTACCAGCTCTGTCCAGTCCTGCCCTGTCCAGCGAACTACTTCTGGGTGCTACAAAAGCCAAGAAGACATGATTTGTAAGCTCCTGAAGCTCACTGGTTTCTAGACAGCAGGCGATTACAAAGCCCAATAATACATGAGTGCCGGAGGTGAGTGCAGGGTGCTAGGAGCAAACAGAGGAGCAATCCTAACCTTGCTTGGAGTCCCGAGGAAAGCCTCCTGGAGGAGACGGGTATAGGTTCTTTGAGGGCAGGAACAATACTGTGTACATGCATGCACACGCATGTACACGTGTGTGATATGCACCCTCCA
The DNA here is from genome assembly GCF_000001405.40 of Homo sapiens. NCBI lineage: Eukaryota > Metazoa > Chordata > Mammalia > Primates > Hominidae > Homo > Homo sapiens. The sequence continues at coordinate 175,039,766 of NC_000001.11, read as the reverse complement.
CATCCCTGCACAATATTTTGCATATGGTAGATACTTAATAAAGGTGAATCCTAATTCTTGAGTGAATTCAAGAATTAATTATTTTTTCTACTATGTCTGTGAACACTCCTCTGCTTTCTTCCTAAATCTTCTTCCTCTTCTTTTCCTTTGCTGGAAATATCCAAAGAGCTTCATTTGGGGGTAAAATCCAGCAATCTGAATGTCAATAAGTTATAGAAACGGCCATTTTATGACATTAGACAAAATGAGAGAAAAGTATACTTGTAGCCCCAGTTAGAATGAGAAATCACCATCGTTATGCTCATCATAGAGCATTTGTTCAATACTCACTGTGTGCTAGTTGCTATTTTAAGTGCTTTAAGTATGAATTTTGCTAAATCCTTTAATCCCCACAGCAGCCCAGTGAGGTGAGGAGTATTGCAGGTTTAGACTCTTACACACAGAGGGGTCGTGTAACTTGCTCAAGGTCCCAGGGCAAGCAGATGGTCGAGCCAACACAGTCTGGCTCCAGAGTCTGTAACTCATACTACATCCCACCCTCAGGACTGAAAACTTGAAAATTCAAGCATCTGGAATTTACACTGTAATGTATAGACCAGAGATCGCTCATTATTTAAAAACCTTTTGAGGCTGCATAATCTCCACCGGTTCATTTTTCTCTGACACCCTCTGTTTCCCTGTAGGGACTGACAAGTACTAAATTCAAAGAGCTTTATAGTTGGTATCTTTTGCCCAGGCTTTTATTCCAGTGATAATAAATGTACAGCATAAAAAAAAGATACTGTTAGAACCATGGGACTCATCCTTTTCTCCATCAGATAGTAGGGACAAGTCAAAATCCTACTGCATTCTGGCAATACGAGGTCAAGAAGGCCTGGGCACCAGGATAAAAGACCATAATAGCAGAACAGGCTTTCTTGGCCCCAGGTAAGTGTTTGTGCTTTGGTCTCACCATCTGAAAAATGGAGCTGATGATCTTTCAGCCTCATTAGTGCACTGCAAGGTTAACAAACCCATGTCTATATCTGAGAGGTCTATATGTTCTCAGAGGAAACAAAGATGACTAAGATGTAGTAACCCAAAAAACATCATTAACAGTGACTAGTGTCAATCTTCTTTGATTCTTTCTAAGTATTAAAATCAACATGGGCCAGGCACAGTGGCTCACACCTGCAATCCCAGCACTTTGGGAGGCTGAGGTGGGCAGATGACTTGAGCCCAGGTGTTCGAGACCAGCCTGGGCAACATGGAGAAATCCTGTCTCTACAAAAAAATACAAAAGTTAGCCAGGCATGTCCCAGCCACTTGGGAGACTGAGGTGGGAGGATCACCTGAGCCTAGGGAGGTTGAGGCTGCAGTGAGCCATGATCATGCCATTGCACTTTAGCCTGGGTGACACCGTGAGACTCTGTCAATAAATAAAATCAACATGAATCAAAACTCAAACTATTACTATAGAGGGGTAAAGAATAACCAAGTGAGGCAAAGGGGAGAAAGAGGACACTGTGAACGGCCTCTGTGGTAGCTATGGACATCCACATACACAAATGTATTCAGTAGGGAAGTATCCACGTGTGGGTCTGTTCCCTCATCTCCATTACATCAGCTTTTCCTATGGGTCACCATTTCCCTTCATTACTGAAACACTTCTTCTCTTCCAGAAGCAGACCCTGTGGTTACCTAAAGCATGGGGCTGAGGTTTTGTACAGAATCCCAACTCAAACCCAAGTGGGAGTCACAGCCTGATGTCAAACCCCAAGGACAGATTTCAGACATATGAGATGAGTCTAATTTCTACTTTGCTGATTACCATAATCTGTAAGATTATACCACACATAACATAAATCCTATTCAGTCTTTCCACAAATATTTATTGTGTGTGCATACCATTGTGCTAGGGATTGTTCTATGAACTGGGGATACAGAATTGAACAAAATAGCATAGACTCTTCATCATCGTCCCTGCCCTTATGGAGTTTACATTTCTAGAGGGAGAGAAAAATTAGCACTCCCTGTAATAGAACGTAATATGGTTTGGCTGCATCCCCACCCAAATCTCATTTTGAACTGTAGTTCCCATAATCCTCATGTGTCATGAGAGTGACCCGGTGGGAGGTAATTGAATCACGGGGGTGATTACCCTCATGCTGTTTTCGTGATAGTGAGTGAGTTCTCATGAGATCTGATGATTTTATTAGGGGCTTTTCCCCCTTTTGCTCGGCACTTCTCCTTCTTGCCATCATGTGAAGGAGGATGTGTTTGCTTCCCCTTCCACCATGATTCTAAGTTTCCTGAGGCCTCCCCAGCCCTGCAGTACTACGAGTCAATTAAAGCTCTTTCCTTTATAATTACCCAGTCTCGGGCAGTCCTTTATAGCAGCGTGAGAATGGACTAATACAGAAGGAAGTCAATATTAACAAAGTATTGATCTGTAGTCCTATGAGAGGAGTAAATGCATTCATGATAGTTTCTTCTTCATGTATCATTTAAGAAATTAACACTAGATTTCTCAGTGCTGTACAGGATTCTAATGAACATTAAAACATGACCCCGCAGCTTGTGTCGTATGGAAATTGAGTGATTTAGGTAGTTACCATCATATTTTTTTTCTCTCTTCTTCTCCTCATATAGAACAGAGATACCAAGGGTATCAATTCACTATGAATTATATCCAAGGGAGAGGAAAAAAAAAACCCAAATGGAATACCGAAAGCAGAGGTCCAGCAAGTAGAACTCAATCCTGTAAACCATTTGATCAAAAAGGGGTTTACTGAATGCTGAATGCCTACGATGTGCCTCAGGCTTGTGCTGTGTGCTGTGAGAAACCCCAGAAAGTATTATGGCATGAATTCCACCCTCAGAGACAAAACAGGAAACAATTAGTGAATAACACAGAAAAATTATTTTAGCTCTTTATTGACAACACAAAGCAAAGGATACAAAAATGCATCTAGAGATAGTTTTCATTTTCTTTTCTAAAGTAAATCGGGACAAAATGCTAATTCACCTGATTTGACTGACAAGTGATACTCCCAGCAGGAGACGAGGCACATTCAGGGACATTTTTCTTACTCTAGCAGCAGTTAGCCTGAAGGCAAGGGATGGGTGGAACTTAAGGATCTCTGGGTTTTCTAGATCAGGCCCTGGGAGAAAGCTGTGGAGAGGGTCTTTTTGGCAAACATGGAATGTAAAGGGAACATGCTGTCTCTGGCTCCTTCCCAGGCCCCAGCATGGACTACAGACATAATAACATGATACATACTTCTACTGCTCTAGGGCTGCCGGGTGACCTGCAGGCTCACCTGTACTGTGTATCTTCTGCAGAAAAGGGACATCAGCTTTGTGCTGGTATCATCAGGATGTGCCCTGTAGCTTTGCAGAAGTTTTCTACTCTTGAATCCTATTAACTTATGGCTCTTTGATATTTTTGTCCCCATGGCTACTAAAAGCAATGCACTTAAGCTAAATTGCTATTAGTAACATTTTCCCTTTTCATTAGATGGCGTTGGAATTTAGAAAAACCAGGAAGACGAAAAAGAAAAGAGAATAAGGAGAAATGATGTGAAAGAAAAGGCTGCTTTCCTATCTACTCTTTATTTCCCGCAAATGAAAATTTGTTAAGGATATTGCAAAGAAAATGGGTGTGACCTCATCCCTGAAACCACATGAAACATTGTGTTTCAGCCTGGGCCACAGGCAGCTGGGAGGGAGTGCCTTGAAGGTCACTGAGAGAGATTCAAAACCTCAAAGTGTAGGCTTTCCTTGGGCAAGGGATGAGAGAGGCACCCACACAATGGTAAGTGAGCAACAGAATCAGCTGGACACTCAAAAAGACCATCATCTTGAGCACCGAGGCAGCAGGAAAAGAGAGCGCTGCTGGGGCTCTCCTGGAGCTCGGCTGATGCAGGAGGTCTGGAATCCACAAAGGCCAGGTAGCTCCGGAGGTCCTCATCTATTCAGGTAGCAGGCAAGGGCTCTCTTGGGCCTTCCAGAGGACTGCAGAGTGACCATGTCTGCTTGGCTTTCAGCCCGCTGTTGAAGATGTTGGTGAACATCACCTTATTGACATCATCCAAAGTTTGCTGGGTGTTGGTCCTGGGCAGGGCAGCATCCTTGATGTTAGAAACACAGAGGTCGGGCTTCACCTCTGGCCTCTGGACTTGGCTTTCTTATTAGAGGGACAAGACATATGCTTTACAACTGTGTTTTATTGACTTTTATTTATTTATTTTTTTGAGACAGAGTCTCACTCTGTCGCCCAGGCTGGAGTGCAGTGGCGCAATCTCGGCTCACTGCAACCTCTGCCTCCTGGGTTCAAGCGATTCTCCTGCCTCAGCCTCTCCAGTAGCCGGGACTACAGGTGTGTGCCACAACACCCGGCTAAATTTTTTTTTGTATTTTTAGTAGAGACAGAGTTTCACCATGTTGGCCAAGCTGGTCTTGTACTCCTGACCTCAAGTGATCCACCTGCCTCGGTCTCCCATAGTGCTGGGATTACAGGCATAAGCCGTCGCGCCCAGCCACAACTGTGTTTTAGAGAGGCTCATGAAAGCCCTTCATGCCCCCTATTGTCCTCTTGAGGATACTTTTGCTCCTCTCCTCTGAAAGACAGAAAAAGTTATCCCCATCATCACTCTAAGTGTGGTCTTTGCTATGCTGGAGAAAAGTGAGATCAAAGTGCATTTTCTTCTACAATACTAGACTAGCAGGTTGTATCCATAGAGGCTGGACTTGAGGGGCAAGTCCATGAGCAACGAAGAGAGAATTTTGTGCCTGTCCAGTCCTTTCCCATTTAGTTTGGCAATGTTTGGTTAGGACACGGCCAAAGGTAAGAAGTTGACTCATCTCATTCTAATTTATGAGCACCTACTACATACCAGACACTCTGCTAGGAACTTGCATATTAAGTTGAAAACCACACATTTCCTTAGGGAACTTTCAAATGGGTTGAGGAAATTAATACAAATATAATACTAAAAGAATTGTATATGAATAGATCAGTCCCTCCTTTCCTGACTCTGACTTCCCTCTGATTCTATATGAAATTCTAATAAATATGTGCTTACCTTTGTACATCTCTTCAGAAATGCAGAATTGTCAAATCTTGTGCACACAAATTATAAGTCATTCTTAAAGGGGTAAATGAGGAAAAAAGGAATGGGGAGTTGAAAATAGGAAAAGGAGGTAAAACAGGGGGTATAAGAAGTAGATGTGTTTGCATTGAAGTCTTGACAAAGATAAAGTAGATGAGTATGGTGGAGTGAATGACGTCCACTCCAAAGTCATGTCACTCACAGCCTTAGAATGTGACCCTATTTGAAAGTCAGGTCATTAAAACATGATGAGGGTAAAGATTGAAATACAATCATGCTGGATTAGGATGGGCCCTAAATGAGAAGGTTCTATTCAGAGACAGAAAAGAACACAGAGTCACACACAGGAAAGCAGGCTGGGTGAGGACAGAAGCACAGATTGGATGCTGCTGCCACAAGCAAAGGAACATCAGCAGTCACCAGAGGCTGGAGGAGGAAGAGGCAAGACAGCGTTCTCCCCTAGAGCCTTTGGAGGGAGCGCAGCCCTGCTGCCAGCCTGGCTTTGGACTTCTGACCTCCAGAAATGTGAGAGGATAATGTTTCGTGACAATTTGTTATTGTAGCTGCTGGAAACACAAGGAGGAAGGGTAACCAGGTTCTTAGCACTGGGAATTGGCCTGAGAGGAAGGAGGTTGCTAAGATGGGAAAGAGGAGTTGACAGGTGTGCTTCTGCACACAGATACCAGGGCCATGCCTGAGGCGATAAACCCCAGGAGCTGGGTAGAAGGGCTGACAATTACCCACTGAGCTGGGCCTCATTGGTTAAATAAGATTGTCCTAAACCTTTCTATCTCAAGCACCAACTTACTTAACATCTCTGAATCATGACAGAATTATAAAAATGTAATGCAGCCACAAGCCAGGGAGCCCAACCTGGCAAACCTCATGGGCTGAGAGTCAGGCCCATGTGCCCCCTGGGCCAGTCACAGTCCTATGATCCCAACCTGCACACTGTAGCCAGTGGCCCGGCAGGCAGAACTAGAGGGGTGGAAAATCAACAATCCTAAGTCTGCAAGGCAAGAAGACATTGAATATGTGGATGGAAAATGAGACTCAGAAAAGGAAAACCTCTCTGCATGCATATTATCTGCAACAAATCAAAACAAATAAGCAAGCATCTCGAGATTGCAGGAAAGAAAATTTAACACTTCTTTTTTTGAAGTCAGGAATAGTAAGTGAAAATTGAGTGCTATATCCACTACTACTAATTTAAAATGTGCAAAATGTCAATCGCATTGTCTTTATTTAGACATCAGCTTTGATAATTAATGTAAAGATGACTTTCCATAAATTTACCCCCCCTCAGAGCCATATTTTTCCACGTGATCTCAAGTTCTGCAAAAGAAAAATGTCCTTTCTCCTTACCAAAACCCCTGCAGTGATTCCAGCCTGACGAAAAAGCGCACTCAGGTCCCTAAACTCAGGCAAGCTAACTAAAACATTTACATGGGACTGTGTTGACATGTGACATATTCTGCAACACTACCTCCCCTATCTTGTCACCTGCTCCTCACCTCCTTGGGTGACAGGAACTGGTATGTGCCTGTGTTCAATTAAGCATTTGATGAACTAAAGGGGACTGAATGGAAAGGCTGGCAGAAAGAAAGGCTTCGAGAGGAAGAACCACTGAAGGGGAAACAGATGAACAATCCAAGGTGGTCAGAGGTGTTTATGGGGAGAGATGGAAAATCACGGTGCTGCAGGCATTGACAGCAATCATAACATCATGTTAAGGGGTTTAAACTTTATTTTGTAGGTGATAAGTAGCTACCAGAAATGAGTAGTTGTAGTCCTAGAAACTTCACTTTGGCAGCAGAAAAGGATGAATGCTTTTGTGGGAGAGATGATGGGTTAAGTTTAAAAAAAAAGAAAAGGGAGAGGCAAAACAGCAGGTAAGAGTCCAGTTGGTCCTAGTACAGAGAAGAGATGAAGAGGGTCTGAACTAGGGGAGTGGGAGCAGGAATGGGAAAAATTAAATAAACAATTTGAAGTAGAATCAACAAGATTTGGATGATCGGTGGGAAGGGATATTTTTTATCTGAGCCTGAATTCTTCCCACCACCCACAAAAGAAGAATCGCACGGTGGCTCACGCCTGTAATCCCAGCACTTTGGGAGGCCAAGGCGGGCAGATCACGAGGTCAGGAGATCGAGACCATCCTGGCTAACACGGTGAAACCCCATCTCTACTATAAATACGAAAAATTAGCCGGGCGTGGTGGCGGGCGCCTGCAGTCCCAGCTACTCGGGAGGCTGAGGCAGGAGAATGGTATGAACCCAGGAGGCGGAGCTTGCAGTGAGCCAAGATCGTGCCACTGCACTCCAGCCTGGACGACACAGCGAGACTCCATCTCAGAAAATAAATAAATAAATAAAATAAAATAAGAAGAATCCAGGACAGAGGTGTGTGTGCCATTTGTTTATTTGGGAGCAAGAGTGAGGGATCAGGGCAGTGGAACAAGAACGAATGAAAAAGAGAAACAAGGACGCCACTAAGTGACTACTAAGTTAGCAACTGCTGCGGCTGACTGGAGCTTGATGTCTCGCTAAGGCCTTCCAAGGAGCCTTATGAAATGTGTTATCCCTTGGCTTCCATCTCCATTGGTTTAGGGTGTCCCCATGGGCATCACTCCCCCTGCACTTGAAGCTATGCATACATGACAGCTGAGCAGGCTCCTGGCTCCTCAGGTGTCCATACCAACACCAAAGAAGCCCCAGGGCAAGGCATGAGAGGTTCCTGATGTGAACCCAAGGTGAGTGTCACTGCAGCTGGACTAAGCTGGTAGCAGCCTGCTTGGAAGTGGTCAGCCAGGCAGTAGCTGGAGCAAGAGGTCTGGCTAAAGACATGAGAGAAAAGGAGCCAAAGGTGACTCCTATTCCCAGTGAGGCCATTCGTCAAGACATAAGGCCTTTAGAACAAAGGAGGCAATCTGGAGGAGACAGTTTTTACTGAAGTTTATGTGGGAACGCAAGGCCTTACATGGGCTCCCCCTGTGCCCCCAGTGTTCTCACCTCACCTACCTTCTTCCTCTCACTCACTTGGCTCCAGCTGCTGCCTCCCTGTTCCCCCTCAGACACACCATGCACACACCCCACTCAGCCTCCACAGCTGCCATTCCTTTTGCCTGGATGTCCTTCCCCCAGAGCCTCCTAGCTCACTCCCTCACACCCTTAAGGTCTCTGTTCAAATGCTGGCTCATCAGAGAGCCCTTCTCTGACCACATTAGGTAACAGTATCTCCTACCATAATGCTCTTTTTACTCTGCTTTTCTCTTCATAGCATGTCTCCATTTGACACATAATTATTGATTTGTGAATGGCTCTTCCCCTTTCTCCACTACAGTGTAAGCTCCATGAGGGCAGGGACTGTGTATCCTGCTGTATCCCCAGCTCCTAGAACAGTATCTGACATGTAACAGGAACGTTCAATAAATGTTTGCTGAAGGAATGGATGCTTACTAGCTCAGATTGGTACACGTGGAGTTGAAGGAGCTCTGGCACCTGGGCGAAAAGGCTCATTGGAGATATAAGTGTGGACTGGGAAAATGCAAGTGGCTGAGATCATGAGAGCCTGTGACCTGGGCTGGCTTTGCAGGTATGTCACTCATGTGTCACACAGCCCCTGCCGTTCTTGTGTGTTTGTGTGTGTCTGTGCATGTATCCCCATGCCTTCAGGAGAGCCCTGTGCTTGGTTTAATGTTCTACTGTCACTATCTTGAAATTCTGAATCATTATGTTTTTGAATTTGTGTCTTGTAAGTGAGGTCCAGTGGGACAATGGAACATCTGCATGAGCAGAGGGGACACATGTGCCCATCGTTCCTTGCTGCTCCCTTTGTATGATGCCCCATCCACATGGAATTCTGGTGGCCCCATGATGTATGGGAGATTAATGGGACTCAAAGCGAGTCCAAGGTAAGAGTACTATGTCTATGACTGAGTCAGCTGGGGCACTGGCAACCCCAAGAGGCCACTAGAACTTGCTTCCTATACATGAAGGTGTTGACATTCTAAAAGGACAATAGTTCCTTTTCCTTTCAGTCCTCTCTTACTCATGAGTAAGCCAAAGTCAGAAGGTGCTGGTAGAATGCACGTGGATCAAGAAGTAAAATAAAAGCAACTGAGTTAGTTTTATGCAATATTTTCACTGTTCTGGTAAGAACAAAACACAAAGGCATATACAAGCAACAAAATAAAAATTGTATAATTTCACTGATTCTGCCTATGAGTTAAATGCTCTTACATTTGCACGGTGAACTGGCATTCCCCAATATGACGATGAGTGGTAAAATTGATGCTAATGATTTAAAAGTACATTTAATGATTTTGTTTTTCTTTACTTAGAACATTAATAGAAAATTTAAAAATCCCATAACAAGTCCAGAGTCCAGGAAAGAAAGGAAGAGGCTTCATATTTTACTACCTTTAGCAGCACTTTTTTCCCTGCTTTTTGAACAAGAGGCCCTACATTTTCCTTTTGCACTGGGCCCTACAAATCACATAGCCTGTCCTGCCTTTGACTCCCACGGAGGCGGCAAACTCAGTCTCAAACACAGGTCCCACTTGACGATAGGCGAAGTGTCATTATTTTATTTGGGGGACAGCTGTGTGTGTGTGTGTGTGTGTGGTGTGTGTGTGGTGTGTGTGTGTGTGGTGTGTGTGTGGTGTGTGTGTGTTCAGTTTGCATCAGGCCCTGTGTGTGGGAACCGAGGATGGCTGTGTGTTGGAACGCAGATGTAGTAATACTGCCATCTCGTGTTCAGCGTGGTGCACAGCACATAGCTCCAGGGAAGGCTCACAGGCATGGGACCTGTGGCTGCTTCCGGAAGTGCTAAGGCCATCCACACTCTAAGGCCAAACCGGTAAACCAATAGGATTGCTATTCCGCTGGTAGCCTTTAATGAAGGCAGATGTGTAATGAGAACAGAGGTTTCACCCACTATCCATCACACCATTTCAGAGCCACGGTTGAAATGCGTGTGTGTGTGTGTGTGTGTGTGTGTGTGTGTGTGTGTGTGTGTGGTGCATGTGTCCCCGTGCCTTTCGCTCTCCTTCCACAGGTTCTTTTCCTTTATTATCGCTTTCTTCCTCTTTGTAGTTCCCTCTCATAGCCCAAGAAATCTGGTTCTTTTGAGCCATATCCAGCTCTCACGTGGAAGGCCCATGATGAAGCACCAGGGGAGTGCATTGGGGCAGGTGTTCAGGCCCAAGGTTGCTGGTGACTCAGCTGAGGCCAGCTAAGAACAAGCACACACCAAGTAAACATTCTTACTGTGTGGCACCAGAAGCTGCAGTCAAGTTAGTTTTGTAACTTGCCAGTTATAAAATAATGAAAAGGAATAATTAATTAGTCCTCTCAGAAAACAGAGAAGTTAAGGAAATGATCATTCCTGTATTAGGTAAAGATTAGACACCAAAAGGACAGTTTACTTGATGGCATACACAGAAGCCAGAGAAATGAAGACGAAGGGAAGAGTGAATGGCTTGGTACTAAATATGAACGAAGCAAGCATCCCTGAATTCTTAATTTCTTGCTGCTTTGGTCAGGGTTCGGCCTGTGCCTGTCCCCAAGAATAAGCCAAGGATATTGATGGGGACCAGGAATGACCCCTTCCTATATGCACCTTGAAAAACAGATTTTTCAAATACTTTGGGTGAAATAATATAAATATAAAAAGACAAGAACAGGTTAATATTTTTAAATCAACTTCAACACATATGTGAATCTAATAGTATAAATTATAGAGAAATTGGAAAATTTTAAAGACCATAAGAATAACCAGTAATCTGCTCACTCATCTCTACTCTTAATATTTAAGAGTAGCCTTTTTTAATCTGTCTATTCTATACCTACACCTGTATCTGTAAATATATATATATATATTTTAAATTAGAAACCCATCAGATTTTTAAATTTAGGATTATAACTTGATTTCTTCATTTAACCCTCCACTTACTGTTAAGTTATTTATTTGTTGTTATAGATAAGACAATGATAAATGTCCTTTTATATAAAATTTAGAGTTTCTCAGTATTTCCTTGGAATAAATTCCTCAAAGTGGCATAATTGGATCAATAGTTACAAACTTTGAAAAGACTTGCCAAATTGCTTTGCAGACAAGTTATGCCAATTTATATTCTTATCACTCGACTATGAAATTACCTATTTCCTCACACCTCTGACAATGCCGAATTTTTTTTAACCTTTGCTAATCTGCTAGCTTAAATAGATCTCATTATTTTAATTTGCATTTCCTTGGAAACTAGTGAGGTTGAACACATCTAATGTTATTAGACAGTCTGAAAATTGTCTACTAAGATTTAAAAGTGTAAAAAATATATTCAGCTAGGCATGGTGACTCACATCTGTAATCCCAGCACTTTGGGAGGCCAAGGCAGGTGAAATGCTTGAGCTCAGGAGTTCAAGACCAGCCTGGGCAACACGGTGAAACCCCGTCACTACAAAAAATACAAAAATTACCCAGGTGTGGTAGCCCACACCTGTAGTCCTAGCTACTTAGGAGGCTGAGGTGGAATCACCTGGAGCCCATGAAGCAGACTGAGGTGAGCTGAGATCGCACCACTGTACTCCACCATGGGTGACAGAGTGAGACCCCATCTCAAAAAATAAAAATAAAATAAAACAATAAAAATTAAAAATATATTCATTTTTATTTTCTTCTGTTTTTTAAGCCTTTGTTAGTATTTACCTTTTTATCTAAAATTTGATATGTGGTAAGAGATGAAGATATAATTTTTCCCAAATCTTTACCCAGTTGTTCTAGCACTAGTTGTTTAACAATTTTTATGCTTCCTTTAATACATAACCAAATTCTAATTGCACTGGAGTTTCTATCAGGCCTATCTATTCTATTTCACGTAACTGTCTGTTGATTTTGGCGCCAGTACCACATAAGCTCAATAACTACGGCTCTATAATGTATGGTATATTAATATCTGGTAGGGTAAGACTATTCAGTACTTTTTTGTTTTCAAAAATGTCATGGGGTGTGGTGGGTCACACCTGTAATCCCAGCAATTTGGGAGGCCGAGGCAGGAGGATCTCTTGAGCTCAAGGAGTTTAAGACCAGCCTGAGCAATATGGCAAGATGAGACCCCATCTCTACAAAAAAAATACAAAAAATTAGCTGGGTGTGGTGGCGCCAACCTGTAGTCCCAGCTACTCTGGAGGCTGAGATGGGAGGATTGCTTGCACCTGGGAGGTTGAGGGTGCAGTGAGCTGTGAACCAGCCATTAAATTCAGCCTCGGTGACAGAGCCAGACCCTGTCTCAAAAAATAAAATAAAATTCATGGTTTTCTATAAGGGAGTTTCTACCTCTCTTCCATCCACTCATCTTATATATATTTAATAAATATATAAATATTCAATATAAATATATATTAAATATATAAATATTCAATATAAATATATATTAAATATATATTCAATATATATAGAATATATATATTCAATATATATATTAAATATAAATATTCAATATATATTCAATATAAATATTCAATATATATTAAATATATAAATATTCAATATAAAGATATATTAAATATATAAATAATGTGAATATATAATATATAAATATCTAATATGAATATATAATAAATATTTAAATATCTAATATGAATATATAATAAATATATAAATATCTAATATGAATATATAATAAATATATAAATATCTAATATGTATATAATATATAAATATCTAATATGAATATACAATAAATATATATTTAATATGAATATATAATATATAAATATTTAATATGAATATATAATATATAAGTATTTAATACAAATATATAATAAATATATAAATATTTAATATGAATATATAATAAATACATAAATATTGAATACGAATATATAATAAATATATAAATATTGAATATGAATATATAATAAATATATAGATATTGAATGTGAATATATAATATATATTTAATATGAATATATAATAAATATATAAGAATATATATAGATTAAAATAGATATATATTTATCTATTTCAGTATTTCCTTGGAAAAATTCCTCAAAGTGGCACAACTGGGTAAATATATATCCTTATTAAATATAGATAAGGATATACATTTAATATATATTTATGAATATAATATATACATATATTTATATAGATATATTAATAGATTATATGTAATAAATATATTTAATATATAGTATATTTAGAGTAACATATATTATATACTATATATTTATAAAATGTTTATTAATATATATTAATATATTATATAAACACATATTTCTATATTACAGTATATATTATGTATTTATATATTTATATATTTATAAATACATAATATATATTTATATTTAACCTATATAACCTAAATATATACATTTATTATAAATATATATTTATATAATATATAGGAGTATTATATATATTGAAGTATTGACTAAAATGGCATGAAATCCATACATTAATCAATTGATACATTTTATAAGTAAGAATTCTGTGACAACAGTCAGGCCTTTATCCTGAGCCATCGCTCCTCCAGAGGACAACATGGAGAGAGGATTAAGAGCATCTGCCTTAATATAGACCAAGGCAGGCAGATCACGAGGTCAGGAGATCAAGACCATCCTGGCTAAAATGGTGAAACCCCGTCTCTACTAAAAACTACAAAAAAATTAGCTGGGCATGGTGGCGGGCGCCTGTAGTCCCAGTTACTCAGGAGGCTGAGGCAGGAGAATGGCGTGAACCCGGGAGGCCGAGCTTGCAGTGAGCCGAGATTGCACCACTGCATTCCAGCCTGGGCAACAGAGCCAGACTCCATCTCAAAAAAAAAAAAAAAAAAAAAAAGCATCTGTCTTAACGTTCTTAGCTCAGCTGGCTTGGCCTCTCTATGCCTCAATTTCATTATCTATACAATGATTCTTATAATTTAATCAGGCCCAGAATAAATATAGCAACATAACCATCTCTCACAATCAAATTTAAAAATAATTAACTCTTAAATTTTATTTTATCCACCCAAAAAGTATTTTTAAGCCTTCAAAGGAAAGAATATAAGGAAAAAGCAAAGGTAATATAACCATCCTTGGTAGATAGCTCCACTTCTGTCTAAATCTATAATCCCCAGTGGAATTACAAGTATCAGAAGGGCTGGGATTTTTTTTCAGTCTCCGATCTGACACATACTTACACATTCATATATAACAGGCATTTAGTAAATATTTTCTGAATGATTAAATGAATTATGATGGTTCTCCTGATTCTAATATTCCAGGACAGTAAAGACAACAGCCTTTCCCACATTCTGTTAAGTAGCCAGAGAATTAGAGACTCCTTGGGAAAATTCAAGGTAAACCGAGACTTCTTTAGGCCCTGCCAAGTGGCCCACACACTAAGGGGGGAGTGCACACTGGGGGTCTGGGGGGAAATCTTAGGCTGTTTTAAAAAACCAATACAATTAATTAAAGAAGACCCTGGAGTCTTGTCTCAGTACTTCAGAGTTTCCTGCCTCACTCACACCATTAGGTTGCTTTACTCTCTTCTTAAAGCAAAAAATGGCCTAACAAGATCCTAATGCTGTTTAAGATATTTGTACACACATGTTCATAGCATTATTCACAACAGCTAAAAGGTGTAAGCAAAGCAAGTGTTAATGACAGATAAATAGAGAAACAAAATGTAGTGTAGCCAAACAATGGAATATTACTGAGCCATAAAAAAGAACGAAGTGCTGAGACATGGTGCAGCATGGATAAACCCTGAGGATGTTATAAGTGAAAGAAGCCAGTCACAAAGACAAAACACTGCATGATTCCACTTAGATGAGCTACGTAGAGTAGTTGAATTCATAGGGACAAAAAGTAGAATGGTGGTTGCCAGGAGCTGAAAGGAAGGGGGAATGGGGACTTATTGTTTAATGGTAGAGTATTTTAGTTTTGGAAGACACAAAGTTCTGGAGATGGGCAATGATGACAGTTGCACAGCAGTGTAAAGGTACTTAATGCCCCTGAACTGTACACTTAAAATGGTGAGGATGGGAAAATTTATGTTATGTATATTGTATCACAATTTTTAGAAAAAAGTTACTAATGCTGTTTAAAGATGCTTTCACAAGTTGCCAGATAGCTGAATATGTGGAGGTTTCTGGAAGATGGCCCCACCAGGAAAGGGCATGGAAGCTCCAAGCCCCATCCACCGTGCCTTGTCCCACACATCTCTTCCAACCGACTGTTCATCTGTATCCTTTTCAGTATCTTTTTTTTTTTGTCTTGCTGTGTTGCCAAGGCTGGAGTGCAGGGATGCAATCTCGGCTCACTACAACCTCTACCTCCTGGGTTCAAGAAATTCTCCTGCCTCAGCCTCCCGAGTACGTGGGATTACAGGCACCTGCCACCGCACCTGGCTGATTTTTGTATTTTCAGTAGAGACTGGGTTTCACCCATATTGGTCAGGCTGGTCTTGAACTCCTGACCTCAAGTGATCCACCTGCCTCAGCCTCCCAAAGTGCTGGAATTACAGGTGTGAGCCACCATGCCCAGCCTTTTTTTAATATCCTTCATAAAATCAGTAAAAAGCCAGCAGGGCTGCACTAGCAGCTTCCAGGGTATGAACATCTCCACCACCCATAAGAGTTCTGGATCCTGGGCTACCTCTTCATCCAACAGTATTTTGCCATCTTTGAAAGGGCAAACGATCAGCTTGGCCTAACTCCCGTGGCTTAAGTCTAAGTCTTTCTGACCACTTTCCAGGAAGATCTGGCCTAAGTCCTGTGCCCGCTGTAGATGTATATAATTCTCCTGACTGTTCTTCCTATGGGATTGTAGAGGTGGACTCTTGCCCTGTTCCTGGTCACACCAATAAGGTAGAATTAAATCATAACCTACAACAGCAACAAAAAAGATGCTTTCAGAACTAGTTTTCCAGAAAGGAAGAAAAGAGTGCACAGAGCTAGCTCGCCTATTTCATGACCCGCTTATAGAAGATGACCCCAACTGTGGGTAGGGAGAGAAGGGTATTACACGGGCTGCAACACACGGGGCGGGTCTGGCTGCGCCATCAGCATCAACGCGGCGCCTTCAGATTTGTCATTTGCCCAAGTTCCGTGAAATATCGCGAGAGCTCCGATCCCAAAACTAACCCCGCTTTCCTGTAGGCCACATTCCCACCCACCTCCCAGCTCCGCCCCAGGCGGCCCAGGCCCCGCCCCTCGTGTCCTGCGCTATTCGGCAGTGTCAATAAAGTTTCAGCGGTTTGTAGTTTGTAGCGGACAACATGGCGGCCTTCATGCTGGGCTCGCTGCTGCGGACGTTCAAGCAGGTCAGGCCTCTACTTTTATCCACACCGCTACCCCTCACCGCTGAATCTCATAACCCACGGGTCCCCCACGGCTCTGCCACCTGTAGTGCTCGGTGAGGACCAGTCCAGGGGTTCTCCTTCCGCCCTCTTCCGCGCTTGGGCTTGGTTCAGGGGAGGTCCGAGCTGCAGATGTCAATTTGGTTTTCGTAAGCATATGACTAACTGGTATTGGAAGATGTGAGATTGACTCCGATTTGTAAGGGAGTAAGCAGATAGGAGACGAGTTCCGAGGATTGAGCTCTCAGAGACTTGTAACGTTAAGAGATGAGAACCGTGCAAGGGAGACTGAAAGGAGTTGTCAGCTAGGGAGATGGAAAACTAGGAGAGTGGGATGGCCGGGAAGCAAAGGATGACAGAATTTCAAAGTGTGAGGAGTGGGCAACTCTGCTCAAAGTTGATAAATCAATTAAAAAGAAGTGCTGAGAATTGAAGAGTTTAGCAGTGTGAAGGTTGTTGGGACCTTAATCACAGCTGTTCTGATGGTGTTATGGGGACGAAAGCGTTCAAGAGAATAGGAGGAAATAAAGTGGAGTATAGATAAGCCTTTAAAGGAGCTTTGCTGTAAAGGAGAGCAAAAAAAATGGGTCAATAACGGGGGCGGGGAGGGGGGTTGTTTTCTTTTAACATGGCAGGGAAAACAGCATGTTTGTGTATGAAAGGGAAAGATCCTGTAGTAAAAATTGATGATGTAGAAGAGGGAAGAATTGCTAGAGCTGTACCTTTATGTAGGCAAGAGGCAATGGAGGCTGGTTCGAGTGCAGTGGTGTTTACAACTAATTGATCACAACCAGTTACAGATTTATTTGTTCCTTCTCCACTCCCACTTTTTCACTTGACTAGCCCTAAAAAAACCAAAAACATTTAAAAAAAAAAAAAAAAAAGAGAGAGAGGCTATGGGGTCTTGTGCATGAAGTTTGGTCTTAGGAACCTGGACAGTTAATCTGTAGCAGTGTTGTTCATAGAAATATAATGTGAACCACATGTGTAATTTAAAATTTTTCTAGTAGCCACATTTAAAAAATAAGAAATAGATGAAATTAAGTTTAATATAATATTTTATTTAACCAGGTATATCCAAAATACTGTGGTTTTAACATAGAATCAATATAACAATGACTTATGAAATAGTTACATTCTTTTTTTTCATACTAGATTTTCAAACACTTAAAGCATATCTCAGTTTGGGTGCTAAATTTCCCATCATTAAAATGGGAAATATAGTTCTACCAAAATAATAAAGTTGTTTAATGTTTACAATGCTTTGGTTTTGAATTTTAATTAAAATAAAGAATTACATTCCCCAGTTGCACTAGTTATATTACAAATGTTTAATACCCCTATGTGGTTAGTGGTTACTCTGTTGGACAGAGTGGATCTCTGATAACAGGAGGGAATGTAGAACATATGATACAGATGCTAGTAAGTGAGCCACTATGTTGGTGAGCATTTATAGAAATGCTCTTTTGATTTCTTCTAATTTTATAATTAAGGAGAAAGTGAAGTCATCAGCTGAGTGTGAGGATGTGGGAGCAAGTGTCAGAGATTTAAGGGGAGAAAGACCCTGTAAGAGAGTTGGAAATGGACAGAAGGAATGGTCAGGAGAATTGGAGTAAGTACAGAGAAGTGAGAGAGGGGCCAGAGAGTTGATGGTGTATTCAAGAGAACGTTGTATTTATAGAACAATGGAATTCAGGCTAGGTGAGAGAGGAAGACAGTAAATCAAAAGCTGAGTGAAAAAAGTGAAAAATGGTAGGATCAATGGATTGAAAGTCCCAGAAGGATTGTTATTGGGGTGTTAGAAGGAGCAAGCTAGAAAGAAGTGATAATGAGTTGAGATATACAAAGTGAGATAATAGCTTGCACTTATTAATAATAAAATACCCACAACATGGGCATGGAATTGAATAGTTAAACAAGAGTGGAGGACAAAAGTCATTGAAGGAGAGGTGTTAAGAAATCAGAGTGATCAGGGTGTAATTTCATGTATATTGAAATAACCAGGAATTAAGATAGGAACAATATTGGAGAGAGTGACAATAAGCCAGGATCCAAAATCGTGGAAAAATGAAAGGGAGTGGCAGGGGCTTTGGTAGATGACTGCAACAATGAGAGGGAGTGGAAGGTAGTAAGCCCAATGGCATGAGTCAAAGCCAGGAGCTTTCAGGAAGGAAGGAGAACTCGAAGCTGCAATGAAGAGCAAGGAAGACACTTA
The DNA here is from genome assembly GCF_000001405.40 of Homo sapiens. Classification (NCBI taxonomy): domain Eukaryota; kingdom Metazoa; phylum Chordata; class Mammalia; order Primates; family Hominidae; genus Homo; species Homo sapiens. The sequence continues at coordinate 175,021,112 of NC_000001.11, read as the reverse complement.
CCTATCCCACCTCTAGGCCCAGTTATGGAAGAAAAAGGAGCTACAGGAAAAGCTGTGAGGAGGGATTTAAAATTCGGCCAGAGCAAAAGGTGAAGGAGATGTCAAGAGAAATTGAGAATTTAAAAGATTTTGATGATAGACCATGGATTGAGAGGGCCCAGTGGAAAGGTTTTAGGAGCTGAAGAGGGGTGAGAGATGGGGGCAGGATAAGATGTGTACAGAGCAGAATAGAGTGTGGCCTTAATCTATAAAGCACCATTATAAGCTGGTAAGGAAATACACCACAGTAGAAATGCAGACAAAGCACATAAAAATGTTCACAGAAGAAATAATATAATAGGCCAATAAATATTTTATTTTAAAAGTGTATTACTTTGGGATTTCAAGACCAGCCTGACCAACATGGAGAAACCACATCTCTACTAAAAATAACAAAATTAGCCGGGTGTTGTGGCACATGCCTGTAATCCCAGCTACTCGGGAGGCTGAGGCAGGAGAATCGCTTGAACCTGGGAGGCAAAGGTTGCGGTGAGCCACGATCGCGTCATTGCACTCCAGCCTGGGCAACAAGAGCAAAACTCCGTCTCAAAAAAAGGGGGAAAAAATGGATATTACTTTTCTAGTAAGAAAAAAAGGTATGCAAAATAGAGTGAAAGACTATTTTTAAAAACTAATAGAAGTCTTCTAGGAGAATTTGATTAGGAATACTTTGAAAAAGAATTCAAAGAAGAAATGCTTAATCTTGTTTTCTAAATCTCCTGTACCCTCAATTTCACAGGTAAAAGCAAACCTCACATTGCCCCTCAATGTGAACGGTTTCTTTGATTTCTCCTTGATCTTATGAATATATCTTGTTCTTTTCCATGTTTTGTTTGGACAGACTACCTTTTCTCCCCTCCCCTGTCCCCACTTTAGTCAAAATTCTGTCAGCATTTCAATGTTGAATTGCTGTCAAGATTTCAAAGCCCCTCTTTCTGTGACAAGCATGTCCATCCATGGTTACCAAGGCATTCACTGGACTCAGTCATATGCCACATCAATATTTAAATTCTATTCCTGCTTATCTTTTTTTCAAAAGGTGATTGCAGAATTGTTATATTTCCCCAAGGAACTTTTGTTTAGTAATGTGAGCACTGAAGATGTTCAGTTTATCTTTTGTTAATAGATTGAAAAAATGGTGGCTTTCTATTTATAGTATTCTTATTTTCAATTTTATATTCTGCTATACATATATTTCATTTATAAACATCAGTTATCAGAAGCCATCATTTTTCTATAGGGGCAGCTTAATTAACATGTAATATTTCCTCTGGTTTGAGAGAGACTTATCGTTTCTTGTGATCTATACTCCCTTTGCCTGTCCTGTCAGTCAGAACTGTAAATTATCACCGTGAAAATGTGAGACAACAAGGAATATACTGTCTTATTACTGGACAACTAGTGCTGAGAAGTCTTAGGTCAGTGATAGTTTTAAAGTACCCTTTGACCTAGCAGTTTTGCTCCCAATAATCTATCCTCATCAGGCACAGTGGCTCATGCCTATAATCTCAGCACTTTGGGAGGCCAAGACGGATGGATCACTTGAGGTCAGGAGTTCAAGACCAGCGTGGCCAACATGGTGAAACCCCATCTCTACTAAAAATACAAAAAACAAAACAAAAAAAACAGCCAGGTGTGGTGGCGGGCACCTGTAGTCTGAGCTACTCAGGAGGCTGAGGCATGAGAATTGCTTGAACCCGGGAGGTATAGGTTGCAGTGAGCCAAGATTGCGCCACTGCACTCCACCCTGGGTGACAGAGCTAGATTCCATCTCAAAAAAGTAAAATAAATAAATAATAATATATCTTCAAGATATATAGGAATACATATGAAATGATTTCCAAGACATTATTCACTGCAGCATTGTTTATAATAATAAATAGTGAGATCTGTCCAGCAATACGTGGCAGGTTAAATTATGATGCTTCTATATAGCAGATTATGCAATATGAAGAAAATGGGGAAGCTTTTTACATTCAGTTATTGAAAGATCTCTAAGGTATATTGTAAACTGAAAAGAGGGAACGAAAAATGGGAGGGGAGTGTATACAGACAAAAATCTCTGAAGGATATACAAGAAACTAGAAACAGTGGATACCTGTGGGGCAAGGGAGTCATTGGGCAGGTGAGGAATGAGGTGGGGGGAGACTTTTCACTGTGTGTCTTCTTATACCTTTTTGATTTTTGAACCATGTGACTATTGGCCTAAGTACAGGTCAAACAGAATAATAAAAATTTCTGAAAATCTGTCTTTCACCTTCCAATACATATGTTATTGCATTATATTATTATGATTTTGACTTAATATACATCCATAAAAGTTATTTATTCTGAATAAATTAGGAAGTCTATTATCTTAAACTATTAAACTGATCTAAAACAACTCTTAAAAGAATACTAAATGATAAATAGTGGCAGAAAGAGAATTGCAGGGTTGAGGAACACTCAGAATGTTGTCCTGGCTATCCTTCACTTGTCCCTTGTCTCTGTCTTTCAGATGGTTCCTTCATCAGCTTCAGGCCAAGTTCGAAGTCACTATGTAGACTGGAGAATGTGGCGCGATGTGAAGAGACGAAAAATGGCCTATGAATACGCAGATGAGAGGCTACGTATTAATTCACTCAGGAAGAATACCATTTTGCCAAAAATTCTTCAGGTTAGCTAATTAAGATGAGTCCCTTTGTACCACAAGATCATTAACTCAACATCAGATCACTTTTGATACTGTTTGTTGTGACTTGGTATCAATATAATTTCTGGAGAATAAGATCCACATCAATATAAACAAATAGTCTTGAAACTGATTTTGTTGAGTTTCAAATTAAAGACTATTCACTCCTAACTAGCCTTACAACTGTTTCATTATGCCAGCCTTAGAAAGTACTGGTAAATTGGGTGGTTATTTTCACCTAAGGTCTCTCCCTGACTTCATCCCAATTTTTTTTTTTTTGAGATGGAGTCTCGCTCTGTTCCCCAGGCTGGAGTGCAATGGCTCAGTCTCGGCTCACCACAACCTCCGCCTCCCAGGTTAAAGCAATTCTCCTGCCTCAGTCTCCTGAGTAACTGGGATTACAGGCACATGCCACCATGCCTGGCTAATTTTTGTATTTTTAGTAGAGACAGGGTTTCACCATGTTGGCTGGGCTGGTCTCGAACTCCTGATCTTGTGATCCACCCATCTGGGCCTCCCAAAGTGCTGGGATTACAGGTGTGAGCCACTGTGTCCAGCCGCATCCCAATCTTTTAACTGGCAAGGCATTGGGAGGCATTGCTGATGTTGAAGTCTGTGTGCCTGGTACGCGGCCTAAACTGTTCCTTACCTAGCACCATTCTGAGCCTGTCTTCCTGAACTCCCTTGCCCACCCTCTGTGTGCTGAAGTGCCTTTCCATTAAGGCTTACTTCCTTGTCACCCTGCTTGGCTTTCTGAAGCATAAAGTCCTGCACCTAAGTGGTGATGTAGCATATCTGCGTTCAAAAGGCTCATCAGGGAGATATAAATTAAACTCAAGGCCTCTCAAGTTATTGAGAACTCAGATTTTTAAAAAACTACATTTAGAGAAGTTGGCAGAATGATATACATCCTATTTATTACTATGGTTTCTTTTTAGTCTTGTCTGGATTAAGCCAGATGAGCAGAAAACTGAGAGCCTTGGACCACTGGGTTATGGCTTACACTAAAGTGGCATTAAGCTACTTTCCTACATTTAGGGAGTAATAAGAAGTGGCAGGCCAGGCACAGTGGCTCACGCCTGTAATCCCAGCACTTTGGGAGGCCGAGGCAGGCAGATCACCTGAGGTCAGGAGTTCAAGACCAACCTGGCCAAACCCCATCTCTACTAAAAATACAAAACTTAGATGGGTGCAAGTGGCACACCCTGTAATCCCAGCTACTCGGGAGGCTGAGGCAGGAGAATTGCTTGAACTCGGGAGGCAGAGGTTACAGTGAACCGAGATCACGCCAGTACGCTCCAGCCTAGGTGACAGAGCAAGACTGTGTCTCAAAACAAAAAAAAAAGGGCAGGGGGCCCCCAAGAAACTGAGCTCAAGACATTGATCATAGAGGCAGGGAAGCAGGATGATGGTTGCTTGGAGCTAGGAGGACTAGGGGGTATGGCGGGCAGGGGGAAATCAGGAGATACTGGTCAAAGGGTATACTTCCTGTTGTAAGATGAATAAATTCTGTGGAGCTAACGCACAACACCGTAACTATAGTCAATAGTACTGTATTGTGTACTTGAAATTGGTAAGAGAGTAGATCTGAAGTGTTCTTACCACACATACACAAACGGTAATTTTGTGAGGTGAAGGATGCATTCATTAACTTCATTGTGGTAATCATTTCACAATGTATATGTTTAGCAAATCATGACATTGTATGCCTTAAATATATGCAATTTTTATTTGTCAACTATACATTAATACAGCTGGGGGTGTGTTGTTTGAGTACCTTTATGAAGATACCCAGAAGACATGTCTCTGGTATGACTAGCAGCAATAACTGTGCAGAGTCTGTGAATCATGTAAACTGATCATGGTTCTCTGCTGCCTGCCAAGTAGCTTACAAGTCAAATTTATGTCCCAGTTCTAATTTCACAGCATGCACTTTTGTGTCCTGAGGCTTTTATCTTTCCTACTCTCATTTCTCTTTGCCCCAGTTTCCTCATTTGTAAACTGCCTTAAATCTTTCGGGGAACAAGAAGGAAGGGGTATGTATCAATCAATCAATCCATAATTTCTAGCCATTCTTTAAGGTCCACCTCCATGAAACTTGGCTTCAATCTTCTTGCCCAGTCATTTCTCCTCTCCAGTTCCTTGTATAGCATTTATTGTTTACTACTCAATGGCTCAATCATGGTTTTTTTTTGTTTTTTTTTTTTTGAGATGGGGTTTTGCTCTTGTTGCCCAGGCTGGAGTGCAGTGGCACAATCTGGGCTCACCACATCTGCCTCCTGGGTTCAAGCGATTCTGCTGCCTTAGCCTCCCGGCCAGATGGGATTACAGGCATGTGCCACCACACCCAGCTAATTTTGTATTTTTAGTAGAGATGGGGTTTCCCTATGTTGGTCAGGCTGGTCGCGAACTCTTGACCTCAGATGATCCGCCTGCCTCGGCGTCCCAAAGTGCTGGGATTATAGGCGTGAGCCACTGTGCCTGGCAATCATGTTGTTTTATGTAATTCTGTTAGTTCATAATGGTAACACATGCATAAGCTTTTGTTAATTTTTGGCTTTTATATACTTTCATTTAATTTGTGTTATTTTAATGTGTTATTTTGCTTGCACCGCAGTCTAGCACAGGGTCCATCTACTTGTTAGCACACTTATCAGATTAAAGTGAATATTATGAACACTCACACTCTTGAACACATACATAAGAAGAAATCTCTACTGACAAAACCTGAGCCCTAGCTACTGCTGTAATCCCTACTTTTCTCCCCTCAACCACTTTGCCCTTACCTGATTCATCCTCTACCTTGCAAATGATTTTTTTTAAATATAAACCTCATCTGATCTCTCCCCTTTACTTCTCTAGCTGTCAGAATCTTTACCATAGACATCAGGGCTCCATGTGATACTCTCCTTCCTCCTTCTCTAGTCTTATCTCAAGCCACATTCCCTCCTATTTGATCATCATTCCAGAGGTTTCACTTTCGTGATTCAAAAAACATGAGGCGGCAACAGAAATACATTCACATACTTTACAAATGAGTTAAACAAGAGTATGTAGCTGCACTATTTATATTCGCCCAAATCGTAAGATGACCATCAAATGTAGGATGGATAAATGAATTATGGTACTCATGCAATGAACATTACCTGCCAGTGGCCAGGCGCTGTGGCTCACACCTGTAATCCTAGCACTTTGGGAGGCAGAGATGGGCGGATTGCCAGAGCTCAGGAGTTTGAGACCAGCCTGGGCAACGTGGTGAAACCCCGTTTCTACTAATAATACAAAAAATTAGCTGAGTGTGGTAGTGCACACCTGTAATCTCAGCTACTCGGGAGGCTGAGGCAGGAGAATCACTTGAACCCAGGAGGCGGAGGTTGCAGTGAGCTGAGATTGTGACATTGCACAATCTAACACCCACAGCCTGGGTGACAGAGCGAGACTCTGTCTCAAAAAAAAAAAAAAAAGAAAAGAAAATTACCTGCAAGTGAGAAGGAGCAAAATACATGTGCAACAATGTAATGTGATCTGTGTAATAATGTGATTTCCCTTAGGATGTGGCTGATGAAGAAATTGCTGCCCTCCCCCGGGATAGCTGTCCTGTTAGAATCAGAAATCGGTGTGTTATGACGTCCCGTCCGCGTGGTGTGAAGCGGCGCTGGAGGCTTAGTCGTATAGTCTTCCGTCACTTAGCTGACCATGGGCAACTTTCTGGGATCCAGCGAGCGACATGGTAAATGAGCTCCAGAACCTATTGAGCTTGCAGGGAAGCCAAGCTTGCAGTTCCAGCAAGCAAAGATTTTTTTTAATAGACCAAACCCTAATCTCTACAGGGGCCCAGTACAGTTGTTTGGCCTACCTGATGCTATCTCTAAACTACTTTTAAAATGAAGACATTTGGGTGTTTCATGTCAGTGAATTATCTTTTCTCTTGGACTTAACAAACATACTGTTCCCATACATAGTACAAAGAGTAGCATAATAAATATTTTCTGTGAATGTTTTTTATACCCTCCTTTTAAGTTTAATCTTTTAGTAACATATAGGGGTTTTTGTATTAAGAGCATTATTTCATAAAATGCTATCTTATACATAATCCAACTAATTGACATGTAGCTCATGTATGGCAGTTTGTAATCCTGGACTAGCTTTGCTGACCTGCAGAGCTCCCCTTAACTATTATTGTTAGATAAACAGATTGGATAGCAAGGCTGCTGTTCTGGATTATCTAATGCTCCACTTCTTCTTGTGATGGCTGAACAAAAGAACCACTAAGTGTTTTCTTGTCCATCCTTAAGGGACTTTAAAACAAATTATGCCTCTTTAAGTCCTTGAAAGTCTCCATCTAAAGAGGAAAAGTTTGTTGGAACAGTATATATTCCCTATTTTTATGTTTATTTAATCCATAACAGAAATGAGTAAGGGTAGCACAAAGTTCTCATTCAGTAACTCAACAGTGTGATCATCAGCCCAGTGATAAAAATATACATACTGAATGGAAGTACCTACTTAACATCAGGAAAATATTCCTGGAGAACTTAATAAATCAGGAGGTGAGGGGTGAGATTTTTTTCTGCACACAGAGGGAACAAAAGCACAAAGAAGCAAAGGCACTCTGTAGCATCAGAGAACCACAGTCACTTCAGTAGATCAGAAATATGAAGCACAAGACAAGGCCCGTATTGTGGAGGATCTCACAAATCATGTGAAGGAATTAAGACTGACATACCAGGTATTACAGAGTTTTAAGCACAGGAATGACATCATCAGTTTGTAATACAGGTAAGTGACAGCTGTGTGGCAGATGGCCATGAGAGGAAAAAGCTACAGGCAAGACAACCAGTTAGGAGGATGTCTTAGTTGTTGAGGAAGATGAAGGCCTGAACTAACATTGTGGTATTAGTAGAGGAGAGAGGACAGATTTTTAAAGTTTTAGGAAAGAAAATTGGGCAAGACTTACAAGACTGATTATATCTAAGAGGTAAAGATGGTTCTCTGGGTTCCTGATAAAAGTGTCTAGATAGATGGTAGAGGGCAATTCCAAGAGGGCAACTCCAAGATAGAAAATTTGGAAAAAGAACAAATTTAGGGGAAACAGAAGATAAGCGAGTTCAGGTTCCAGTCATGCGGTGTTGGAGATGCCTGTGTCATCTGATGAAGACTAGTACGCAGCTGGATAGCAGAGTCCGAAACTCAGGTGGAGGTGAAGTTATGAGGGAATTATCACAATCTAGTTTGGATTCATATTTCTTAAATATGTATGACAACTTACCAACTGGAATGTTCTAGCTAATATCTCAACTTAGAATCCATCTCACTACCAATGGGCAAACACTTGTGTTCTAAAGTTACTTGCAAGTAGTTTATACTGCCAACTTGATATATATACATGCTATAGTTTGAACATTTTGTGTACTTCCAAAATTCACATTAAAATCTAATCCACAATGCGTTGGTATTATTAAGAGGTGGGGCCCTTAGGGGTGATTAGGCCAGGAGGGCTCCACACTCATGGATGGGATCAGTGCCTTTCTAAGAGGGCTTGAGGGAGAGAGTTTGTCCCTTTTACCCTTCTGATACTGCGAGAAGGCACCGTACTGGAAGCAGAAAGCAAGCCCTTACCAAACACCAATCTGCTGGTGCCAAATCTTAGACTTCTCCAGCCTCCAGAAGTGCAAGAAGTAAATATTATTTATAAATTCTTAGTCTATGGCATTTTGTTACAGCAGCAGGAATAGACTAAGACAATGTGTTGATAGGTTTAGGGTCATGTTTTACTTTTTCAGTCATGTTAAATTTTAGATGGTTCTAAAGTCAAAACTCTAGAAAAAGTTAAATTCACAGAATAGCTTCCATCCTCATCTCCTTCCTTCCCCTGCTAACAATTTTTATTAGCTTTGGGTTTACTCGTTTCTTTTTGAAACATAAGCAAATACACCTATGTGCATACATTCACATTTCTCACCCTTTCTTACACAAATGTAGTGGGTATACCATAAATGTTCTGCACTTTGCTTTTCCACTTACTCTATCCTGGAGACCATTTTACGTTATATAGAACTCTTCATTGTTTTGTGACTTAAGTACTCCCTCATGTGGATGCACCATAATACATTCCTGTTAAATAGACACGAGTATTTTTAATCTTTTGCATATAGCATTCCAAATTTTTCTAAATGTACCTTTCAGAGCCCAGAAAGAAGTTAAAATTCTGGGTCAAAGGATAAATGAATATGTCATTCTGATGGTTATTACCAAATACTCTTTCTGAGACAAGAGTCTTACTCTGTCACCCAGGCTGGAGTGCAGTGGCACAATCTCAGCTCACTGCAACCTCTGCCTCCCGGGTTCCAGTGATTCTCGTCCCTCGGCTTCCCAGGTTCAAGTGATTCTTGTCCTTCAGTCTCCCGAGTAGCTGGAGTTACAGGCATCTGCCACCATGCCCAGCTAGTTTTTTTTATTTTCAGTAGAGACAGGGTTTCACCATGTTGGCCAGATGGTCTTGAACTCCTGACCTCAAGTGATCCGCCCACCTTGGCCTCCCAAGGTGTTGGGATTACAGGTGTGAGCCACTGCACCTGCCCAAATATTCTTGTTAACCAAAGTTTAACTTTTGCATTCCATTCCCATATATGTGTCCTTATTTCTCCACAGCCTCAACTCAATACAGTTGTTTTTATACTTCTTTTTCAAGTGAAAGGTAAAAACACTGGTTTATTCTCTTCTGAACAAGGTGAGCATCTTTACATGTTAAAGGTCATTTACATTTCTTTTTGTATGAAGTATTCTTAATTATTGGAATCCTGTCAATACATTGTTTGCCTTGGGTTATGGTGGGGTTTTTCTTGTCCTATAAACATTTTTATGTAGTTAAAATTGATCAATAGTTTTATTTATTTCTTCTAGGTTTTAAGTCACATATAATGTCGTTTTCCTCCATTTTCTTCTAGTATTTGTATGCTTTACTTTTTACAATTAGATCGTCAGGCGGCTTGGAATATATCTATATGCCTATTTTCAGTTATCTTAGTATCATTAAAAACCCATCTTTACCCCACTTTTACCATATTCTGTAACTTTCATATGCATTGTGTCTGCTATTCTGTTCATGTGTCAACCCCAATTACAGAGGCATAATGTGTTTCAGTATTTACTTATAGCTATCCTATACATAAACTGTTTCTGTATTTTAAATCCTACCACTTCTTCCAAATTCCCATATTAATTGTAGCTTTAGTTTAGTTTACCCTTCTGGATTTTTCCTGTGTGTCTAACGGCTTTTTTTTTTTTTTTTTTTTTAATGAGACAGGTTCTCAATCTGTTACCCAAGCTGCAGTACAGTGGCATCATCATAGCTCACTGCAGCCTTAAACTCCTGGGCTGAAGTGATCCTCCAGCCTTAGTAGCTGGGATTACGGGCGCCAGCCTTCATGCCTGGCTTCAATTGCTTTCTCTGATCTAACTGTGTTGGCTAATACCTCCAGGAAAATAAAGTAATGGAGATCACAGGCACTGGTCCTGACTTCAGGGGGAATAGGAGTAATTCCTACTAAAAGCCTGATTTTTCTGACATACTCCTAGACAAATAAATCATAAAACTGTTCTAATGAAGAAAAACTTAACTTTATTGAGCATAGGAATAGACGGGCTTTCAAATTATTTTTTGCTTTATGGTTATTACTTTTATAAACCATCTGATCCACGGCAAAACTAACTGGTACCATACAAAGATATGTCTATTATTGTCATGTTTAGATTTTCTATTCCACATTCATTGACAAATATATTTAAATCTAGATAGAAACACCTGTGATTGAATTAGTGCATGGTAATGCATGGCATATACATTGCTTAAGGTGGTAATAAGGGGTCAGATGCTCTACAGCAACCTTCAAGCACAGGCACCGATTTGCATTTTATGCAAAACTTCAGGTTTTACTCAATTTTTACACTGGTGGAAGCTGATGTCAGTAACTTAAAAGGCAAGCAAATACTTTTCCAATTCTTAGCTGAACAAAAAATACACACAATGTAGCGTTTTTATTGGGCAAGACTTGCTTTTTATATTTCACGTGAGAATGCAATATAACCCTTCCTTGAACAAAATGACCAGGGTACTAATAAAACCATCTTTGCAGGAGTGTTTAATAAGCATATTTTATTTAAATAAATCCTCCAGTAGGAAATGGAGAATTCATTGCCTTTACTTAGAAGGCTATGTAAATAGCTATCTGTCAAATTTATATATGCAGCTCACCAATATTCCCTTACTGGAAACATCAGTATTTCCACATCACATCACAGTTCCCAAAACGACTTTAAAGTCTCAAAATTCCGTGTCTCCTTTGGCTTGCTTCTCTCTTGATTCCACCCAGGCTTTATTAATGGTTCGCTTCATATCATCGTCTCCATCTTCATAAATTTTCTTTAGAACATTCATCAATCCCTCACTAGGATCTGTTTCAGTGTCATAGGAGGGCTTCCTTTAAAAAGAAAACATATACAACAATGGGGAAACGAAAGCACCGGAAGATACTATCATTCAGGTTGTTAACACTGGCAGGAAGTAGAGGGATAAGAAGGAAGACAGAGTACCCAAAGATATTTACAATCAAAACGGCACGCACAAATTCATCTTAATGAAAACAACACACACGTATCAAGCATGCACACACTTGGTGCACGAAAGAGGTCATCAAAATAGTTAGGGGCTATTTTTAGGCACAGGGATTTCCCATGATTTTTTTTTTTTTTTTTTTTTTGAGACAGTCCTGCTCTGTTGCCCAGGCTGGAGTGCAGTGGCGCATCTCGGTTCACTGCAACCTCCGCCTCCCAGGTTCAAACAATTCTGTCTGCCTCAGCCTCCCGAGTAGCTGGGATTACAGGCACATGCCACCATGCCCGGCTAATTTTTGTATTTTTAGTAGAGACAGAGTTTCACCATGTTGGCCAGGCTGGTCTCAAACTCCTGACCTCAGGTGATCCGCCCGCCTCAGCCTCCCAAAGTGCTAGGATTACAGGCGTGAGCCACCCCACCTGGCCTCCTGTGATTTTTGACAGGTAAAATAAGAATTTGATTTTCTAACTTGTTTTCATTTTTTAAAAGCATGTTTCCTCATAATTTGAAAAAAAACACTTGAGGGAAAATCATAAACATTACACATGGATGTACCCTGAAGCTCATGTATTTTTTAATTAGAAAAACTCTCCTCTTAAGCCTGAGATACACAGATCTGGGCCTGGGTCTTGAATTAATTTAGTCAGTACCTTTAGAAGATGAACTGACCTAGAACGCAAGTATCATTGAATACACATTTTTAAAAGGTCATTATTAAGAAGGATAAAAATATTTTATCTTTTTCACTATAAACCAGTGACAATGAAAACTACGCATCAGAAGCATCTGAGAAATTTAAAACATACAGGGGTACCTAAGCCCCTCTCAAACTACCGAAACAGAGTATCTGGGAATGGGCACAGTTATTTGTATAGAAGCACAACTGCGCCTAGGGTTAAGAACCACACTAAAGAGCCAACCCTTAACTACAAAGACCTTAAAAAGCAACTTGCTGGACGTGCCCTCTTCAGGTAGTTTGACAGTTGAAAGCAGAAATACATTATCCATAAAGACAAACTATTAAAAATCCATGATCTCAAACAATACACTAAAATTCTTTAAAAAAATGGAAGTAGACTCACTCTTTTTCTTTGCACTCCTTTTCAACCTGGGTCAGGTAATCCCACCTTGTGTTTTCCACTTTCTTTCTACACAATATAAGAACTGTATCAGTCTTGACCTGGAAGAAAAGCAGGAAAACAAATACAGCTTAGAAGACATGGAGATAAGCATGAATATTTATAAAACAATTATCTATTCAATTGATCAAGTCCCTAGTATGTATAGACTTATTTTGGGTGCCAGTAATACTTGTATGAATAGGCCAAAATCTGAACATTCATGGTGTGAAAAGACCATAAATAAGTAAAACTTGAATACCCTGATATCCTGGAAAGTGCTATCAAGACAAAGCGGGTGTTAATGGGGGGTGGGGGCAGGAACTTCATTAGGAAGGCCTCTCTGAGGCAAATCTGAGCCGAAGCCTAAGGTCAGGAGAAGGCAGTTGGCAGAGCATGCAGAATGGCTCCAAGATGGGATCATCTTGGTGTGTTTGAGGAGCAGGAGGAGTGGCTGGATTTTAGTGACTGAAAAAGACAGTAATATAATAAGAGGGGTCGGGGATAGGCAAGAAACCAAGTCGTATAAGGCAGTATGGGGCAAGGTGAGGCATTTGAAAGTGAGAAAGAAGGGCAATGTACAGGTCTTTTAAACAATGATCAATACTAGGGATCTTTTGGTACTCTACCTATGGGACTAGCGGATGCAGAAGGGTGCAGTAAGACAGCGAATCCAACTATATTTGAGTATCACCTGTAAGCTGTTAAGTAATTATGTATTATAAAAACAGATGGCAGAATGTCATGTCTATATACCTAACGCATTAAACTTCATTTATTCACATTAGGCAGAAAACAGGGACTATCTGATTTAGTAAAAATTACAAAGAGTAGTTTTTAAAAGACAGTTTCCTTATTTTTATAGCTGCTTCTAACTCCAAGGAGGCTAAGTGCTTAAGACCTCCTTTTATGTATACGAGTATTATGCACAATGCTAACACTAGCATTAATTTAAGCACTTTACATAATGGTATTGCACTTCAGTGTATCATTTCAACTTTGTGAAATAAATTATTACTATCGCATAAATGCAGAAACTGAGGCACAGAGTGATTAAGCTGCCAAAGGTCACAAACAATAAGCTGTAAACCTGGCATAAAACTCAAGTCTCACTCTTAACTACCTTCAAACGTTTACTTCCTCCCTGATTTTAATGGAATATTCTTACAATAGCCTATTCTACAAAAGGAGTTGGCAAATGTTCTCTGTCGAGGGCCGCATAGTAAATATTTTAGGTTTCATTTAGGGCCATATGGTCTGCTGTAGCCACTTAACTCTGCCATTGTAGCACAAAAGCATCCACAAACAACACATGAACAAATAAGCCTGGCTATGTCCCAATAAAACATTCACAAAACAGGCGGTGGTCCCTGTTACAGAGGACAAATTCATTCCAGTTCATCTCAGTTCTAAATCAGCCAGGTTCAATTTGGTAAGGTTTCACAATATTACAATCAAAAAAAGCACACTCACTTTTTTTGAACTGCCTTCCACAGAGATGGGTTTCAAGAGATTGTTCACAATCATGGAGTAACTCTTCCCATTTAGATTCTTTACCAAAAGATCAAATGACCTGCAACACAATGGTGAATACATCATCTTTCTAGTTCTATGAAAGGTACCCTTACTCCATAGTTCTTGTGGGAAAAAAGCTGCTGGCTTTATTTCAGGGTGTGCATTTGGCCAGTTAACGCTCACCTCTTCAAAGTAGTTGTAAAGGATAATTAATTCTAAATTTAAGAATTTTAAAAACTGCAAAGAAGAGAGTCTCAAGATAAGGCAATGTTGACTGTTAATTCACTGTCTTTCCCATTATAATGAGAACTCACCTCTCTGTGAAATGCACCTGCACATTCTCAGTGGGAACTTGATGAACTCCAGTTAAGGTAATGTAGATTTTCACAAACTTATCTGACTGATCCCATCCTGGCAACGACAACAAAAGATGGGACGTAAGTAAGCCTCTGAAACTATCTTTAGAACAGCAAATGCACATGGCTCATAAGTCAGGAAAGTAAAATTATGAAAATCCAGTCATATAAACATGAAAAAATTTGAAATATAAGAAATTTTCTAGGTTGAGAAATGGAGCCTCAAAGCAGTTAAGTACTCTACCCAAAGCTAGGCATCTAACAAGTGGTAGAATTCAGATTCAAATCCAGGTTTCTGAATACAAAACCTATGCTCTTTTTATCCCTCAGAATAAAAATATGATCACTAAATACATTCTTTAAGATTAGTTCATTTACAGCTTTTATGGAAACAATTTTGTCCGACATCTAAATATTGGTAGTTCTCCACTAAGCTGGATGGCTAAGTATCAATACTAATTCCATAACCATTTCTACTTCTGTAAGTAGTCAAACAAATGGAATCCTAGCTCTCTTAATTCCTTTCCAGGGCAAAGTAGAATGTAAAAGACTCCAATTCTTCATCCAAATCTGACAAACCTACTGGTATCTGTTAAATGCCATTTCAGTATGTATTATCAAACTACCAGCACGTCTCTGACCTAGAAGAACTCTGTCAACATAAAAGACATATATATAAATACTTCACAAAATACCATCACATTTGTAGAAAATAAAAAACTTCACAAAAAAGCATCTTCTGTTTATCAAGAATATATACATACATATCCCTGACTATTGCTCACTTAGTCCTATAGAATAGAAACATGCCCCATCCTCCATGACGTTTTTCACATTGCATGCCTATATCAAACATCTCATGTACCCCATAAATATATACACCTACTATGTACCCTCGAAAATTAAAAAGAAACAGTGTTGATGAAAAAATGCCCTAGTGGGGTCCAGAGAACTTCATTTATTAATAGTTTCTTCCCATTCAGTCAGTCCATCCTCCGGATTGACAAGTTTCTCCCTCAACACAAATCTATGTTCCTGGTTAAAATACCATAATCCTCAACACCTTCAGACCAGTTTCCTATACTCAACTGAGTACACGGTGCAATTTCCTATATTACTATATAGTACATCTCTTAAGCACGACATACACATGCTTTTCACTATTAACAATATTCAAAATAGATCATGCCTTCCAACTCTCTATTCACATTCTCTGCTCATGCTGTTCCCCTCCTTTTTGACTTGCTGAATGTACGACTCACCCTTCACACTCAAATCTCTCTAATTCTCCCTGTTCCTCACCTCCAGAATTATTTCTTCAGCTATGTTACCTATTATGTGCTAGACATTATTAGCACAAAGAAAAACAAGACTGTCCTTGCTCCAATGAGAGCTCATCATTCATATTCAAGTTGCGCTGCCGCCAAAACAAAAAACTGTATACACCATTGAAGGAAAACAGTATTACTACATTGTTATACTACGAGTTATACGTCAATGTCCCAACCACAACATGAGCAAGGACTGGGTCTTAGTCACTGTTGTGTATCCGTAAGTCAAAGCACAATAGTGATACACATTAGGTGCTCAAAAATATTTCCTGAATTTAACTGGATTCCTCTCCTCAGTTAATTGTGGTGGTTGGCAGAGTGAAACATAAAACATGATTAAAAACCACCACCACCACCACCACCACCAAAGCTGTGTCTTATACTGAACAATTTCAGAATAAGTTCCTTCCTTGTTGTTACATTTTGTAGTGAATCACCTTACTCTTGTTAACAGCTTCTAGAACGCATCCTTTCCTATTTATATCTTAAAAAAGTTTTATTAAATAAAAACTGATGGGTCTTGCTCCAAACCACCAAAAACACAGACTCAAAACTCATTGGGGATGAATTTGTTAGACCACTATGAGGAATAGGTTGCTCGGAGGCAGAACTGGCTATAGGGAAGCAAGTCATACCATAATTACTGATTTTCACCGTATAGCCCGTTGTAATGGGAGCAACCACAGCAGCTGGTTTTTCATTATCAAGAAGTTCTGCTTTCTTCTGTGATTTCTGTTGCATCTTGTTCTTGATTTCTGTCTCAATCTTGGATTTTTCAGCTGTAAGGGCATCACGTACTCTTTTCCTAGTAGCCTTTTCCAGCAACACCTTTACCTCTTCTAGATCTTTCTGTAGCTGTGTTAAGACAAAAAATAAGTTAGCTATGATAAATAAGGAAATGGCTTGATATTGTGCGTATCACTCATTTCAACTTACTGAAATAAGCACTAAGAATTAAGAAGTTCATCTAAATTTTCTAGGATTGAGTTGCAACTTCAATTCTTCCATCTGGCTTATTAACTGTAATTAACTCAAGCTTCCTTTTTTTCAAAAGGAAAACTTTGAACAATCTTGAACAAACAATAAATAGGTCTTCAAACCTAAATTTTCCAGTTTATGTTTTAAAATATTTACAAGAAACGTCTGCGACCTAAAAAGTAAAACAAAGAACTTTTTTTTGACAAAGGATTCATAGATTTCCTTGTAACATCTAATCCGAGTGTCATTAGATGTTAGACACTTTTAAAATATTTAAGAGATGAGAGAACATGCAGTGACCATGGTAAAATGCTTTTATAGCAAACTTAACTGAGGTAATGAATGCTCCACTTTCTGTCACTGATTGGTCTTCATTATCTTCCCACCTCAAATACCTCACATAAAAAAAGTCTTAATTTTTAAGACAAAAGATAAAAAAAAAAATTTCTGCTTTTGAGGAAAAGTCTTGCTCTGAAGCTGGGTCAGTCTTACACTCAGAAGTGTAGGAGTTGGTTGCAC
Organism: Homo sapiens; assembly: GCF_000001405.40. Taxonomy (NCBI): domain Eukaryota; kingdom Metazoa; phylum Chordata; class Mammalia; order Primates; family Hominidae; genus Homo; species Homo sapiens. The sequence continues at coordinate 175,003,971 of NC_000001.11, read as the reverse complement.
AGAAGGTGACAAAAGACCGAAAATGCAACATACTCTTGGAAATTATCTTTTGAAAAAGCCACCACGTTCTCATTTTCTTCTCTTGCCAATCCATCATCTATTAAAGTCTACTACTTTCTACTTTCTAGAGATAGAGGCAACATTTTATGAAATTCAAGAGTTAAAGACAATGTTAGAAAATTATTGAGCCTAAGTTTTTTTTCCCCCAATTACCCTCTGACATACTGCAAATACACAAGATCTTTCCAAACAGCTGTTTCACTTTTCTTACAATAACTTTACACTCTGGCTTGACACTACCAACTTGACCAAAAAAATCTTGTGTCACAGCTTGATATCAAAAGCTCAATTTAAAAAAGTCTTTTAGTGCTTTATAACTCAGAATATCAGACGCACAACAGAGTTTGAAAGCCTGTTTCTTAATAGTCTTATAAAATGCAATAACAGAACTAATTCTTTTCTTTTACTACAAGTCTTTTGTTATCTCATTTAACTCAGATGCCCTAGTTTTGCCTATCTATAACAGATGACATGGTATAAAAAGTTCAACTCTGGCCAGGTGCAGTGGCTCACACCTGTAATCCCAGTACTTTGGGAGGCCAAAGCGGGTGGATCACTTGAGGTTAGGGGTTCGAGACCAACATGACCAACACGGCGAAAGCCCGTCTCTACTTAAAATTCAAAAATTTGCCGGGTGTGGTGGCACGTGCCTGTAATCCCAGCTACTCGGGAAGCTGAGGCAGAAGAATCGCTTGAACCCGGGAGGCAAAGGTTGCAGTGACCCGAGATCGCGCCATTGCACTCCAGCCCGGGCAACAAGAGCAAAACTCGGTCTCCCAAAAAAAAAAAAAAATCAACTCTGCCCAACCCTCTTGTCCACACTCTCGACCCTTCCAAGAACAGCTCATATTACTATGACAAAAAATCTTGCAAACTCATCTTTTGAGCATAGAACCAAAATGTTTCAGTTCAAAGTAATATTTTTATTGTAATGGTTTCAAAAAAACGCTGATTCTACAACTCCTAATTCATAATAAAAATATTGAAATGTAAAATGAAATATATTAAGTCTAAGCAAGAGGTTTTGCTTTTTGACTGAAATAGGAATACTTTATCTAGCAGAATGAGAAAGGTACTTCGAATTAGGCAAGGGATTCCCCCAATGGCTGAATTCCCAAGCCCTCTTTATTGCCAGTTTTGACT